>NC_000024.10:8446094-8746504 GCF_000001405.40 Homo sapiens | reverse complement strand
AACAAGGAAACTCTTGTTCTCCCAATTCTTTTGGAGGGCTGCATGTTTACTGTAGGATGAGAAGCATGCAGAATTGTCTGGCTTTCGCCTGGTAATTTACAGTCTGTATCATTTCAACTGCAAGACCTTTCTCATTGTGGAGGGTATCTTTAATTGGGCCATTGCTGGACGTGACTGCCACTCACCACAAATCTTTTGGCTGTTACTGATTTTAGGGAGCAAAATGCACTTTGGGTAGGCTGGCTGCATTTCTGGTTGTGGGCCTTGGTCTCATTCTGGAGGATGAAGTTGTTTGCACTTTGCGGAAGGCTTTTGGGTCCTCTGACAGGAGTTTTTGAACATTGCTTGGACTCCAGCAAAAGTCAACTCATTCTCTTAGGCAAGCCTTGAGTTTTTTTATATGGAGAAACACTAGCAATTCTGTCCATAGGGCCCCTTGAATTTACTTCATTTTCGGTTCCTAGCCGAGCATGATCTTCACTTGGTGAAGGGGCACTCCTCCATCATCTTCAGATATCTTTTTAGGACAGAGAGTTTGAGTAGCCATATCATCAGATAAAGGTGAGGATATAAGCTGGTGAGAGGTGGATGGGGTCCTGCACCTTCACCTACAAAAAATGACACAGAAGGCAGATGACACAGAAGGTGCTTCCAACTGCATCCCCACATTACTTTAATTACATAACCAGTCCACACCATGGGCCAGTGTACAGGTGGGAGCACCCTAATATGCATGGAATGTTTGGAGTGCAAACTGGGCCATCCCAGAAAACTCCCTATTTGAAGGATTTCACACCTGGATCCAAATGGGAGACAAATCCTTTTATGCAAAGTTTGATATGGTCAACTCACTTGCCTCTTCTTTTCCCAACTTCCATGTTCCTCATTGGCATAGGGGCTCCTAGATCTGACTCTATGTCTTCCATGCTAAATGTTTCCCATTTCACAGAAGACGACACTCAAGGGAATCCATTCCATAAGTGTTTTCTTCTAAACACTGTCAGGTTTTAATGACTGGGCAGCTTTGATATTTTTAAAACTGTAAATTTCTTTTATAGTCTCTAACAAGGAAACTCTCGTTATCCAGCTTTTATCGGAGGGCTGCTTGATTCCTGTAGGATGAGGAGCAGGCAGTCATATCTAGCTTTTGCCTGGGAATCTAGGCTCTGTTTCATTTCATCTGCTTGTCTTTTTTCATTGTGGAGGAATCTTTCATTGGGCTGTTGCTGGATGGGGTTTCCTTCCATCAGATATTTATTGGCTGCCAGAGATTTTGGAGAACAAAAAGGACTTCAAGTATGCTGGCTGTGCTTTAGGTTTGGGATCATGGTTTTGTTGTGGAGGCTGAGGTTGTTAGCACTTTGCAGGAGGCTTTTGGGTCCTCTGACAGAAATCTCTGAATGTTGCTTGGACCACAGCACAAGGCAGCTCATTCTGTTATATAAGCCTTGATTATCCTTTGCTTTCATGGGAGGTCCACAGTGCCATTCAACAGCACTATCTGACAATATTTTCAGGATTGCAATCACCAGAGATGATCCCTGAGACACAGTCTCATCCTCTTCTGCACCCATGAGAGGGAGGCCAGTTCAAGGTATAAGAACTCTGCTCTACTTTTGACTTGCCTTTGTCATGCTGCCTGCCTTTCCCCAAGAGCCCCTGTGAGCCCCAGGAGGAAGGGAGGCAGTGAGGTTAAAGTCCCAGCCATCTTTCACTGACACCCACCTCTGGGGTCACAGGTATGATTCTATCACCCAAACAACCCTCCACAACTCACGAGACAACATTCCAATTCACATGGGACCTGATTCTCCCACACAGTCTCTTCCAGGAATGAAGTCAGAAGAGCAGATCTCAGTAACCTCCTCAGAGTCTTGAAATGCCTCCTTCTCCAGTGGGACTAGATCATGGGTATGACCCGAAGGGTCCTTAAGTTCGAGACTTTTAGGGTTCTACAGTGGGTTATCGCATGAAGCAATTTGTCCTGATACGAGGCCTGCCCTGCCTGTACCATTTTTGTCTGCTTAGGTGGGCTGACAGCTCTGCCTGTCAGGTGCTGAGAATGCATATACACTAGTCTCAGGACACCAAGCCTGAGCTGTAAGCTCTGGCTAGTGTCACAATGAATGACAACATTGCCTAGTGAGAAGTCACTGCAGCTTGGCAAAGAAGGAGACTTTCTTGGAGGTGCATCGGCAGTGGACTTTCACCTGTCTGCTCTGTGGGATCCAAGGGATATTCCCGTGATCCTAGAAGAGGGCAGACATGAGCCAACTGGAAGACAGGTCAAGCCAACCCCAGGAATAAAATGTGAAATCTCTATCTATAGAATGCCTCAGGCCTGCCTAGGCATGTAGAGGAAAGTCTTTTTGAAACTTGCCTCACTGTGGTTTCTAGGTGCACCATACCTGTGTTCCCCACAATTGCTCTCTCCCAGGTAAGTCTTCCTGCCGAACCATGCAGCCTCAGAAACTGCAGCCTCAGAAACTGCCAGGCTGTGTGTTTCTGTGAAAGTGTTGTGAGTCTTTGATGTATGCATGTGGGTGTGGCTTTTTTGGTATTGTGTGTTTCTGTGTGTGTGTTTGTCTGTGTGTGTGCTTGTAAGTGGAATTTGCTTAAAGGTATGTGGCTAGCACACTGAACTCTTTTTTTTTTTTTTGAGTCTCCCAACCTTTAGGTGGCTTGTGTGGCTCTACTTGGGCTGCAGGTCTCCGTGTTTTTTTATTTTTCCCTGTATCATGAATGCAAAATGAACTGGGAGGCTGCTTGTGACATGCCAAGGTCCGCATCACCTCTGCCTGCAAAAAAAGCTACTCTTCAAGAAAGAAGAGGAGCACACCATACCCAAGGACAGACTTCCCTCAGTAATTCATTGTTCTGCTGCCATTCCAGGAAGAAACACCTGCATGCTTGTCCACAGGGCCCCTTGAATTTATCTCGAATTTGGTTCCTAGCCGAGCAGGTGCTTCAAGTCATGAGAGGGCACTCCTAGATCATCTTGGCATTTCCTTCAGGGACAGAGAGTATAAGCAGCAAAAAGGTCAGATAGGGTTGAAGATGCAATCTGGTGAGGGGTGGATGGGGTCCCACTCCTTCACCTGGAAAAAATGTAAAGACAGATGACACAGAAATTGATTCCAACTGCATCCTCACATGTCCTTAATTACACAAGTAGTCCACACTATGGCCTGATGTTCAGGTGGGAGTACGCCAACATGCAGAGAATATTTGATGTGCAAACTGGGGCCATCCTGGCAAACTCCCAATTTGAGAGCTTTCCTACTTGGCTCCACTTGAAAGTGAGATTGATAGATGCAAGATGGGATATGGCCACCACACTTGCTTCTTCTTTTCCTGTCTTCCATGTTCCTTGTCAGCCTAGGGTTTCCTTGGTCTGGCTCAGTGTCTTCCATGTTAAACGTCTCCCAGTTCACAGAAGACGACCCTCAAGGGAATCCACTGGGTGAGTGTTTCCTTCTAAACACTTTCACGTTTTAATGACTGGGCAGCTGTGATAATTTTTAAACCATAAATTCCTATTACATCCGCCAACAAGGAAGCTTTTGTTCTACAACTTTTATCGGAGTGCTGCATGATTCCTGTAGTATGAGAAGCAGGGAGCCATGTCTGGCTTTTGCCTGGTAATCTATGCTGTGTCTCATTGCATCTGCATGTCCTTTCTCACTGTGGATGTGGTCTTTCACTGGATTGTTGATGGATGGGTCTGCCTCTTGCCACAGATCTGTGGGCTGCCAGGGATTTCAGGGAGCAAATGGGACTCGGGTTAGGTTTGGTAGCACTCCAGGTTGTAGGTCAGAGTCTCATTGTGGGTGCTGAGGTTGGTTGCACTTTGCAGGAGGCTTTTGAGTTCTCTGATAGGAAATTTTAAATGTTTCTTAGACTCCACACAAGCCATCTTTTTCTCACTCATGAGGCTTAATTTTTCTTTGCTTTCCTGGGAAGTCCACAGTGCCCCTGAAAAGCACTACTGGACACTCTTTTGAGGCTTGGCATCACCACAGATGTCCTCTAATACACTGTCTCAACCTCATCTGCACTCATGAGAAGCCTGTTTGAGGTGTGAGAACACTGCTGCATTTTAGACTTCCTTTGTCATGCTTCTTGCATTTCACAGAGAGTGCCTGTGAGGTCCAGAATGGAGGGAGGCAGTGAAGATAAGGGCACAAACATCATTTGTGGGCACCCAATTCTAGGGTCTCGGGTATAATTCTGTCACCCACATCATTTGTGGGCACCCAATTCTAGTGTCTCAGGTATAATTCTGTCACCCAAAGACTCCTCCACAACTCATCAGACTACATTACAATCCCCATGGGACCTGATTCTTCCACACAGCCTCTTTTGGAAAGGGAGTGAGAAGAGCAGTTTCCAGTGACCATCTCACAGTCTCTAAACACCTCCTCCTGTGGGAACAGACCACGGAGACAGCCTGAAGTGTCCCTAACATCGAGACTTCTAGGGTCCTGCAGTGCATTGTCGCAGGCATCCTAATTCCCGACACCAGGCCGGCTCTGCTTGTAGAGTTTTTTTCTGCTTCCACAGTTTGACAGCTCTAACAGCCGGGCAACCCTTGAATGCGCATGCGCTAGTCTCAGGGCACCAGGCCTGATTGTGAGCTCTGGCTAGCATCACAATAAATGTCACCATTACCTAGCGACAAGTCCTGGCAACTTGGCTGAGAAAGAGATCTCCGTAGAGGGGTGACAGCGGTGGACTTTCGCCTGTCTTCTTTGTGGGACTCACGGGATAGTCCCATGTTCCTAGAAGAGGGCAGACATAAGCCAGCCTGAAGAAACATCAAGGAGAGCCAAAGGAATAAACCGCGAGTCCTAAGGTTACAAAAAAATTAGCCAGGTTTCTCAGTCCTGCCTAGACGTTCTAGGGTTGAGACTTTTTGAAACTCATCCAACTGTTATTTTTAGGTAAAGTCCACTGTGTTCGTCAGAGTTTCTCTCTCCCAGGTGGGGCTTTCTGCATACACGTGCAGCCTCAGAAGCTGCCAGGCTCTGTGTTTCTGAGGGAGTGTTCCAAGTGTTGGATGTCTGGGTGTGGGTGTGACTTTTTGGTTTTGTGTGTTTGAGTGTGTGTGCGTGCACGCACGCACACACACCTGTAAGTTTAGTCTGCTTAAAGGGATGTGGATAACGCACTGCAGGGCTTCTTCTATTTGAGACTCCCAACACTTCGGTGGCCTACCTGTGTGGCTCTGCCTGGGATGTAGGCCTACCTGTTTATTTTTCTGTGAATCGTGAATTCACAGTGAATTATGAGGCTGGCTATGACCTGCAGGGGTCTGCATAACTGATCACTGCAAAAAAAGCCACCCTTCTAGAAAGAAGAGCAGCATGCCACACTCAAGAACAGAAATCTTGCAATGTTTCATTGTCCTGCAGCCATCCTAAGGAGAAATGCCAACAGTTCTGTCCACATGAATTTACCTCGAATTTGGTTCTTAGCTGAGCAGGTACTTCCCATTGTCAGGGGTCACTCCTCCATTGTCTTGGAATTTCATCCTAGGGCATAGAGTGTAAGCAGCAATAAGATCAGGTGGGGTGAGGATACAATCTGGTGAGGGGTGGATGGGGTCCCGTACCTTCACCTGCAAATAGTTAAAGACAGATGACACAGAAGGTGCTTCCAGCAGACCCCACATTTCCTTAATTGCACAAACAGTCCTCAAGTTAGCCCAGTATTCAGTTGGGAGTACTCCAACTCCAACATGCAGGAAACATTTAGAGTGCAAGCTGGGGCCATCCTGGCAAACTCCCAATTTGAGGGCTTTCATAGGCAGAGCCAAATGTCAGTGAGATCCACTGCTGCATGGTGGGATGTGACCTCCACACTTGCTTCTTCTTTTCCTGACTTACATGTGCCTCCTTGGCCTAGGGATTCGTGGGTCTGGCATACCATCTTCCATGCTAAATATTTCCCAGTTCATGGAAGGTGACCCTCAAGGGAATCCATTGCATGAGTGTTTCCTTCTAAACACTGTCAAGTTTCAATGACTGGGCAGCTGTGATAATTTTAAAACCATAAATTCCTGTTACAGCTGCCAATAATGAAACTCTTGCTCTCCAACTTCTATTGGAGGCCTACATGATTTCTGTAGGATGAGAAGCAGGCAGCCATGTCTGGATTTTGCCTGGTAATACAGATTCTGTTTCCTTTTATCTGCATGTCCTTTCTCAATGTGTAGAGGGTCTTTCATTGGGCTGTTGCTGGATGGGGCTGCCTCCCACTATAAATTTATTGGATGCCAGGGATTTCCCAGAAGACAAGGGATTTCAGATAGGCTGGCAGCATTCCAGGTTGTGAGTCTTGGTCTTGTTATGGGGGATAAGGTTGTTTGAACTTTGCAGGAGGGTTTTGGGTCCTCTAACAGGAATCTTTGAACGTTACTTGGACTCCAGCCCAGGGTAGTGTGTTCTCTCATGCAAACCTTGATTTTTCTTGATTTCACGGGGGGTCCACAGTGCCACTCACTATCACTACTGGACACCATTTCTAGGGTTGCAATCACCACAGATAGCCACTGAGACCCTCTCTCAACTTCATCTGCATGTGTGAGAGGCCAGTTTGAGGTGTGAGAGTACTTCTCCAATTTGGACTTGCCTTTGTCATGTTTCCTGCCTATCTGAGAGAGACCCTGTGAAACCCAGGATGAAGGGAGGCAGTAAGGTTAATGGCCCAGCCATCTTTTGCTGACACCCATCTCTGGGGTCTCAGGTATGATTCTATCACCCAAAGACACCTAAACAAATCACCAGACTACATTCCAATCCCCATGGGACCTGATTATTGCACACAGCTTCTTTCAGCAATGAGTCAGAAGAGCAGTTTTTCAGAACCAACTCACAGTCTGAAAAAGCAACCTCCTTTTTCATATATACACTTAACATCTTAAAAAAAAAAAAGCAACCTCCTCCAGGGGTACCCAAGAACAAAGATGATCCAAGGGGTCCTAAGGATGAGACTTTTAGCATTCCACAGTGGGTTACTACAGGAAATATTTTCCCAGATACCAGTCTGGCTCTACATGTACCAATTTCCTCTGCTTAGGCAGGGTGACAGCTCTTACAGCCAGGCTTCCAAGCCTGCCCACAAAGGCACATGCTCCAGTCTCAGGGAACCAGGCCTGATTGTGAGCTCTAACGAGTGTCACAATGAATTTCACCATTGCCTAGTGACAAGTCCCTGCATCTTGGCATATAAGGAGACTTCTGTGGAGATGCATTGGCCATGAACTCTCGCCTGTCTTCTCTGTTTGATCTATGGGATTGTCCCATGACCCCAGGAAATGGCACATGCAAGCTTGCCTGAAGAAACATCAAGGAAAGCCCCAGGAATAAACTGCAAAATCTCTAGGATCCAAAAAGATCTGCAGCATTTCTCAGGCATGCCTAGACATTGTAGAGGTGAGTCTTTTTGAAACTTGCCAAACTGATTTCTAGGTATAGCCCAACTATGTTTCCCTGGGTTGCTCTCTCGCAGGTGAGGTTACCTTCAGAATCACACAGCCTCAGGAGCTGCCAGCCTGTGTGTTTCTGTGGGAGTGTTGTGAGTGTTGGATGTCTGCGTGTGTGTGGCACTTTGTCTGTTTCTCTGTGTGTGTTTGTGAGTGTTTGTGTGTGTTTGTGTGTGTGTGTGCCTGTAAGGGGAGTCTGCTTAATGCAATGTGGCTAACATAGTTCAGCGTTATTTTTTTGAGTCTCCCAACATTTTGGTGGCCTGTCTGCGTGGATCTGCTTGGGCTACAAAGCTTCATGTTCTTTATTTTTCTGTGAATTATGAATCCAACATGAATTGGAAGTCAGGCCAATTCCCCATGGCGTCCAAATCATCTCCCCCTGCAAAATAGCCACACTTCCAGAAAGAAGAGGAGCACACCACACACACACGCACACAAAAAAAAAGAAAGAAAGAAAAAAGAAAAAACAGGCATTTTTCAGTGTTTCATTGTCTTGCAGCAAACACAAGGGGAGACACTAGCAGTCCTGTCTGCAGGGACACTTGAACTTACCTTGAATTAGGTTCCAAGCTGAGCAGGTACTTCACGTTGTAAGGGGGTACTCCTCCATCATCTTGGGATTTTATCCTGGGACATCGAGTGTGAGCAGCAATAAGGTCAGATATGGGTGGAGATAAAATCTGGTGAAAGGTGGTTGGAGTCCTGTAATTCATCTACAATAAAAATACAGACAGATGACACAGAAGGTCTTCCAACTCCATCCCTGCATTCCCTTAATTGCACACACAGTCCACACAATGACCCCATGTTCAGGTGGCGATACTCCAATGAGCAACAGACATTTGGAGTGCAATTTGGGTCCATCCTGGCAAACTCCTGATTTGAGGGCTTTCATATTCCGAGACCAATTCCAGTGGAATGGATTGATGCTGGCTGGGATGTGGCCTCCATATTTTCCTCTTTTTTTGTGTGACTTCTATATTCCTCATCCACTTAGAGTTTCCTGTGTCTGGCTCAACAACTTTCACACTAAAGGTTTTCCAGTTCACGGAGAATATCCCTCATGGGAATCCATTGCATGAGTGTTTCCTTCTAAACACTGTCACGTTTTAATGACTGGGCAGCTTTGATATTTTGAAACCAAAAATTCTCATTACTGCTGCCAACAAAGAAACTCTTTTTCTCCTACTTCTTTTGAACGGCTGCATAATACTTGCAGGATGAGAATACTTGTCTGGTTTTTGCCTGCTAATCTAGCCTCTATTTTCTTTCAACTGCACAGCCTTTTCATTGTGGAAGGGCTCTTCCATTGGGCTGTTGCTGGATGTGACTGCCTCTCACCACAGATTATTTAGCTGCCAGGGATTTCAGAGAGCAAAAGCGACTGTGGGTAGGCTTCCTGCGCTCCAGGTTGTGGGTCATTGCTTCCTTGTGGGGGCTGAGATTGTTTGCACATTGTAGGAGGCTTTTAGGTCCTCTGATGGGAATCATTGAACATTGCTTTGACTCCAGCAGAAGGCAGCTCATTCTTTCAGGCGAGTCTTGATTATTCTTTGCTTTTGTGGGTAATTCACAGTGAATCTTGACAGCACTAATATTCAGCATTTTCATCCTTGCCATCACCACAGATGGTCTCGGATACACTGTCTGAACCTCATCTGCACCCTTGAGAGGACAGTCCAAGGTGTGAGAACATTACTCCACCTTGGACTTGCCTTTGTCATGTTCCTGCCTTTCCCAGAGAGCCAATGGGAGGCCTGAGATGAAGACAGTCAGTGATGTCAAGAGCCCAGCCATCTTTCACTGTCACATGCCTCTGGGGTCTCAGGTAAGATTCTATCCCTCAAAGAACACTCAACTACACACCAAACTATATTCCAATCCGCATGTGACCCAATTCTTGCACACACACATTCTCTTTTGGGAATATAGTGAGAAGATCAGTTTCTAGCAACCACCTCACAGTCTTGAAATGCCTCCTCCTCCAGTGAAAACTGACCATGGAGATGGCCCGAATTGGTCCTGATGTCTAGACTTTTAGGGGCCTGCAGTGGGTTTTTGCAGTCAGAATTTTTCTGATACCAGGCTGGCTCTGCCTGCACTATTTTCCTCTGCTTAGACAGGATGACAGCTCTGACAAATGGGCACCAGAGCCTGCCTCACGAATGTGCATGTTCTAGTCTCAGGGCACCAGGACTGATTGTGAGCCCTTGCTAGCATCACAGTGATTGTGACTGGTGCATAGTGACAAGTGCCTGAAGCTTGGCAGAGGAGACTTTTGTGGAGGTGCATCGGTGGTGGACTCTTGCCTATCTTCTCTGTAGATCCATGGGATAGTCCCACGAATCTAGGAGGGAGCAGACACGAGCCAGCTTGAATAAACCTCAAGCCCAGCCCCCGGAATAAACCGCGGAATCCCTAAGGATCTAAAACGTTCTTCAGGATTCCTCAGACCTACCTAAATGTTGTAGGAGTGAGGTTTCTTGAAACTTGTCCCACTGTGATTTCTAGGTACATCCTGACTGTGTTAGCTGGGGTTGCTCTCCCCGACGTGGGGCTACCTGCAGAACCACACAGCTTCAGGAGCTGCTTGGCTATGTGTTTCTGTGAGAGTGTTTTCTGCATATGTGTTTAGCATTTTGTGTGTGTTTGTGTGTGCCTTTTAGCGGAGTCTTCTTAAAGGAACATGGTTAAAGCACTTCAGTGCTTCTTTTTTTTGAGACTCCTAACCTTTTGGTGGCTGCCCTGTGTGGCTTTTCTTGGGCTCTGGGGTCTTGTTTTCTTCATTTATCTGTGCATTATAAATCCACTGTGAATTGGGAGGCATGCCAAGACCCATCAGCATCCAAATAACCTCCCTCTGGAAAAAAAAAAAGCCACTCTTTTAGAAAAAAGAGGAAGACACCACACCAAAAAACAGACATTTTTCTGTATTTTATTGTCCTGCAGCCAACCCAGACAGACAGACTAGGCATCCTATCTGCTGGGCCCCTGTAATTTACCTTGAATTAGGTTCCCATCTGATCAGGTACTTCACTTTGTGAAGAGGCACTCCTCCATCATCTTAGGATTGCATCCTGGGACATAGAGTGTTAGAAGTAATATGGTGAAATAGGTGTGAGGATACAATCTATTGAGGGGTGGATTGGGTCCTGCAACTTCACCTGCAATGCAAAGGAAGACAGATGACAAAGAAGGTGCTTTCAACACCATTCCCACATTCCTTCAATTGCACAAGCAGTCCACACCATGGTCTGATGTTCAGGTGCATGAACCTGCAAGAAACTTTTGGTGTGTAAATTGGGGCCATCCTAGCTAACTCCTGATTTGATAACTTTCATACCCAGAGTCAAATGGGAGTGGAATGGATTGATGCTGTGTGGAATTTGGCCTCCAGACTTTCCTCTTCTTTTTCTGACTACCATTTTTCTCATTGACCTAGGGTTTCCTGAGTCTAGCTCAATTAATTCTACACTAAACATTTCCCAGTTCATGAAAAACGACCCTCAGGGGTATCCATTGCATAAGTGTTTTCTTCTTAACACTGGCTCTCTCACTTCCATTGGAGGGCTGCAAGATTCCTGTAGGATAAGAAGCAGGAAGCAATGCCTGGCTTCTGTCTGTTAATCTGGCCTCTTATTCTTTTCATCTTCATGGCCTTCTCATTGTGGAGGGGCTCTTTCATTGGTCTGTTGCTGGATGGGACTGCCTCTTAACACAGGTTATTTAGATGCTAGGGATTTCAGAGAGCCAAATGGACTTTGGGTAGGCTGGCTGCATTATAGGTTGTGGGTCATTGTTTCTTTATGGGGGCTAAGAATATTTGCACTTTGTAGGAGGCTTGTGGGTCCTCTGACAGGATTCAATGAACATTGTTTGGACTCCAAAACAACAGCTCATTCTCTCAGGCAATCCTTGATTTTTCAAGTCTTTCATGGGGCATCCACTGTGGCCCTCAACAGCACTACTGAACACACATTTCAGGCTTCCATCTCTATAGACATTCTCTGAGATACAGTTGTAACCTCATCTACACAGAGAGAGGACAGTCCGAGGGTTAAGAACGCTGTTCCACCTTGGAATTGCCCTTTTCTTGGTTCTTGCCTTTCCCAGAGATGCCCTTCAAAACCCAGGATGAGGGAGGCAGTGGATCAAGAGCCCAGCCATTTTTCACTGACACCTGCTTCTGGGGTCTCAGGTATGATTCTATCACCCAAAGTACCGTCAAAAACACTCCAGACTATATTTCATTCCCCATGGGACCTGATTCATGCACACAGCTTCCTTCAGGAATGGAATAAGAAGAGAAGTTTCCCTTGACCACTTCACAGTCTCAAGTGGCCTCCTCCTCCAGCAGGACTTGACCATTGAGACTGTCTGGAGGAGGACTGAATTTGAGACTTTTAGGATCCCACTGTGGCTTTTCACGGCAGCATTTTTCCAGATAACAGGCCGGCTCTTGCTGTGCTTAGGCAGGCTGACAACTGTGACAGCCACCGGCCCGAGCCTGCTTTATGAATGCACAAGGGCTAGTCTCAGGTCACCAGGCTTGATTGTGAGCTCTGTCTAGCATCACAACGCAGGTCACCATTGTGTAGAAAAAAGCCCTGCATCTTGGCGGAAAAGGAGACCTCCATGGACATCTGTCAGCAGTGGACTCTCACCTGTCTTCTCTGTGGGATCAAAGGGAGAGTTCCATGATTCAAGGGGAGGGTAGACATGAGCCATTTTGAAAATATGTCAAGTACAGTGTGTGAAGAAGAATGTCAGATAGGGATGAGGATACAATCTGGTGAGGGGTGGATGGGGACCCACAACCTGACTTGCAAAAAAAAAAATAAGGATAGGTGACACAGAAAGTGCTTCCAACTCCATCACTGCATTCCCTTAATTGCAAAAGCAGCCCACACCGTGGCCCGGTGTTCAAGTCAGAGTACTCCAACATTGAAGAAAACTTTGGAGTAGAAGTTGGAGCCATCATGGCAAACTCATGATTTGAGGGATTTTTATTCAGAGACAAATGTGAGTGGAATGGATTGATGCTGGGTGGATGTGGCCTTCACACTTGCCTCTTCCTTTACTGACATCCATGTTCCTCCTTGGACCAGGGCTCTCTAGATCTGGCTCAACGGCTTCCACAATAAATGTTTCCCAGTTCACAGAAAATGACCCTCATGAAAATCCATTGCATGAGTGTTTTCTTATAACCACCATCATGTTTTAATGACTGGGAAGCTTTGAAATTTTTTTAAACTCTGAATTCCTGTTACAGCCACAAACAAGAAAACTCTTGTTCTCCCACTTCTATCAGAGGGCTGCATGATTCTTGTAGGATGAAAAGTGGGCAGCAGTGTCTGGCTTTTGCCTGGTAATCGAGCTTCTGTTTCATTTAATCTGCATGACTTCCTCATTGTAGAGGATCACTTTCATTGAGCTGTTGCTGGATGGGACTGCCTCTGGCCACAGATTATTTAGCTGCCAGGGATTTCAGAGAGCAAAAGGAAAATTCGGTGTTCTGGCTGCAGTGCAAGTTGTCTGTCATTGTCTTTTTGTAGAGGCTGTGAATGTTTGCACTTTGCCAGAAGTTTGTGGGTTCTCTGACAGGAATCACTGAACATTGCTTGGACTCCAGAAGAAGGCAGCTCGTTCTCTCAGGTGAGCCTTGATTTTTCTTTGCTTTCATGGAGAATCCACATTGCCCCTTAACAGCACTACAGACACTCTTTTCAGGCTTGCCGTTGCCACAAACCATCTCTGAAACACTGTCTCAACTTCATCTGCACTCCAGAGAGGGCAGTACGAGATGTGAGAACACTGATCCAACTTTGAATTGCCTTTATCATAGTTCCTGCCTTTCCCAGAGAGCCCCTGCGGGGTCAAAGATGAAGGGAGGCAGTGAGGTCAAGAGCCTGGCCATCTTTTCATGACACCAGCCTCTGGGGTCTCAGGTATAATTCTATCACACAAAGAACCCTCAACAACATACCAGACTATATTATAATCCCCATGGGACCCAATTCTTGCACACAACCTGTTTTGGGAATAGAGTCATAAGAGCAATTTCTAGTGACCAACTCACAGTCACAAAATGCCTCCTCCTCCAGCAGAACCCAACCATGGAGATGGGTCAGAGGGTCCCTGAGGTAGAGAGTTTTAGGGTCCCACAGTGGCTTTTCTCAGGCAGCCTTTTTCCTAATACCATGCAGATTCTGCCTGTATGAATATGCTCTACTTATGCAGGCTGATAACTCTGAGAGCCACGTGCCCTAGCCTGCCTCATGAATGCAAGTGTTCATGTGCTACCCTCAGGGCACCAGGCATCATTGTGAACTCTGGCATGCATCAATATGAATGTCATCTTTGACTAGCGACAAGTCTCTGTAGCTTGGTGAAGGAGACCTCCATGGATGTGCATAGGGAGTGAAATGTTGCCTGTCTTCTCCGTGGGATCCATGGGATAGTCCCATGATTTTAGGAGAGGACAGATGTGACCCAGCCTGAAGAAACATCAAGCACAACCCCAGGAATAAACAGCAAAATCCCTAAGGATCCAAAATGATCTGCAGGATTCCTCAGGCCTGCCTAGACGTCATAGGGTTGAGTTTTTTGAAACTTGTCCCACTGTGATTTCTAAGTACAGACTGCCTGTGTTCCCTGGGGCAGCTCTCTCCCGATAGGGGTTCTTGTAGAACCACATAGCCTCAGGAGCTCCTGGTTTATGTGTTTCTGTGGGACAGTTGTGAGTTTGCAATATCTGCATGTTGGAATGTCTGCGTGTCTGTGTGGCATTGGGTGTGTGTGTGTGTGTGCCACATAAGTGGAGTCTGCATATAAGCAAATAAGAATGTGGCTAATGCACTAAAGCATTTTTGCTTGTTTGTATGTTTGTCTTCCGAAGTTTTGGTAGCCTGTCTGTGTGGCTAACCTTGGGCTGTGTCACCGCACATTCTTTATTTCTCTGTGGATCATGAATCTGCAGTGGATTGGGAGGCATGCTGAAAAGTGTCGGCATCCAGATAAATAACCTCCCTCTGAAAAAAAAAAAAAGAAAAAAAAAAAAAAAACCATGCCACTCCTCTAGACAGAAGAGGAGCACACCATACCAAAAAAAAACCAGACATTTCCCAGTGTTTCATCATCCTGCAGCAAACCCAGGGAGAGACATTAGCAATCCTGTTCAACAGGGCACCTTGAATTTGCCTCACATTCGGCTCCCAGCTGAGCAGGTGCTTCATGTCATGAGTGGGCACTCCTCCATCATTTTGGGATTTCAACCTGAAACAGAGTGTGAGTAGCAATAAAGTAAGATAGGGTGAGGATACAATCTGGTGGATGATGATGGGGCCCTGCAACTTCACCGGCAAAAAAAAAAAAAAAAATGAAGACAGATGACACAGAAGATGCTTTCAAACTTATCCCCACATTCCCTTAATTGCACAAGCAGTCCACACCATGGCCTGGTGTTCAGATGGTAGTATTCCAATGTGCAAGGAGCATTTGGAGTAGAAATTGGGGCCATCCTGGCAAATTCCCAATTTGACAGCTTTCATACTGGAGCCAAGTGGGAGTGGAATGGATTAAAGCTGGGTGAGATGTGACCTCCACACTTGCCTCTTTCTTTTCTGATGTTTATGTTTTTTATTAGCATAGTGTTTCCTGGGTTTGGCTCAATGATGTACAAACTAAAAGTTTCCAGTTCACAGAGAACGATCCTTGTGGGAAACCATTGTGTGAGTGTTTTCCTCTAAGCACTGTCAAGTTTTAATGACTGGGAAGCTGTGATAGTTTTAAAATCATAAATTCCTGTTACAGCCACCAACAAGAAAACTCTTATTCTCCCACTTTTATCTGAGGGCTGTGTGATTCCTTCAGGATGAGAAGCAGGCAACTGTATCTTGCTTTTTCCTGGTAATATAGGCTGTTTCAGATCATCTACACAGACTTCTCATTGTGAAGGGACTCTTTCATTGGGATGTTGCTAGATTGGACTGCCTCTCACCACAGATTATTTAGCTGCCATGGATTTCAGAGATTTCAAAAAAAATCAGTGCTCCAGGTTGTGGGTTCTTGTCTCATTGTGGGGCTGAGGTTGTTTGCACTTTGCAGGAATCTTTTGGGTCCTCTGACAGGAATCACTGAACATTGCTTGGGATCCAGCACAAGGCAGCTCATTCTCTGGCAAAAATTGATTTTCCTTTGCTTTCATGGTGAATCCACAGTGCCCATCAATAGCACCACTAAACACCCTTTTCAGGCTTGCCATCACTACAGATGGCGTCTGACACACTGTCTCAACCTCAAATTTGCATTCATGAGAGGCCAGTCTGAGGTGTGAGAACACTGCTCCAACTTGAGCTTGCCTTTGTCCTGGTTCCTGCTATTACAAGAGGGTGGCTGTGAGGCCCAGGATGAAGAGAGGAAGTGAGGTCAAGAGCCCGACCTAATCTTTCACTGACACCTGCCTCTGGGGTCTCAGGTATTATTCTGTCACCCAAATAACCCACAACAACACTCCCAACTGTATTCCAATCTGGTTGGAACACAATTCTTGCACTCAGGTCTTTCTTGAATGGAGTCAGAAGAGAAGTTTCCTGTGACCACCTCACATTAACAAAACGCTTTTGCCTGCAGGAAGACCCAACCACGGAGACTGCCTAGATAGTCCATCAGTTCGAGTTTTAGGGTCCCACAGTAGGTTTTTCCAGGCAGCCTCTTTTTTGATACCAGGTCGGCTCTGCCTGTACCATTTTCCTCTGCTTAGGTAGGCTGATAGCTCTGACCGCCTGGCCCCCAAGCCTTGCGCACAAATGTGCACGTGCTAGTCTCAGGGCACCAGGCCCGATTGTAAGCTCTGGCTAGCATCACAGTAAATGTCACCGTTGCCTAGCAACAAGTCCCTGCAGCTTGGCAGGGAAGTAGACTTCCGTGGAGGTGCATCAGCTTTGATCTCTCGCCTGTCTCTGCTGTGGGATCCCTGAGACAATCCCATGATCCTAGGAGAGGGCAGATGTGAGCCAGTCTGAAGAAAGGTCAAGTACAGCCCCAGCAATAAACTACAAAATCTGTAAGGATGCAAAAGATCTGCAGGATTCCTCAAAACTGCCTAGAGGTTGTAGGAGTGAGTCTTTTTGACACTTGCCCTAGAGTGATTTCTAGGTACAGCCCGAATGTTTTTCTGGGGGCTGCTCTTTCCCTGGTGGGGATTCCTGCAGAACCACATAGCCTTAGGTACTGCCAGTGTGTGTTTATATGAGGGAGTGTTGTGAGTGTTGGATGTCTGTGTGTGTTTTTGGTATTGTGTGTTTGTATGTGTGTGCCTGTGTGTGTGTGTCTATGTGCCTGTAAGTAGACTCTGCTTAAAATAATGTGGCTAATGCACTTCAGCACTTCTTCTCTTTTGAACCTTCCAACATTATGTTGGGTGATCAATGTGGCTGTGCTTGGGATGTGGGGCTCCGTGTTCTTTACTTTTCTGTGGATCATGAATCCGCAGTGAATTGGGAGGTGGACTGAGACTCTCAGCCTTCCAAATCACCTCCCAGTGAAAAAAAAAAAAGCCACTCTTCTAGAAAAAGAGGAGCACACCACGCAAGAAAAGAGACATCTCCTAGTGATTCATTCCTTCAGCCAACCCAGGAACCCAGAGAGAGACACTAGCAGTCCTGGCCACAGGCCCACTTGAACTTACCTCGAATTCGGTTCCTAGATGAGCAGGAGATTCACATCTTGGGGTTGCACTCCTCCAAGCTGCTTGGAGGAGTCACGCACAGCTCCAGGAACACACAGTGAAATTCCTAAGGATGCAAAAAGATATGCAGAAATCCTCAGGCCTGCCTAGATGTACTAGGGGTGAGTCTTTTTGAAACTTGCCCCACTGTGATTTCTGGGTACAGTTCTCCTGTGTTTCTTGGGGTTGCTCGCTCCCAGGTTGGGATTCCTGTAGAACCACACAACCACAGGCACTGCCCAGCTTTATTTTCTTTTGTGGGAGTGTTGCAAGTGTTGAATGTCTGTGTATGTATCGGGCATTGTGTGTTTGTGTGTGTGTGTGCCTGTAAATGGTCTGTGCTTAAAATAACGTGGCTAACACACTTCAACCTTTCTTTTTTTTTTTTCAATCTCCCAACCTTTCTGGTTGAGTGCTGTGAGGGTTGAATATCTGTCTCTGTGTGTGTGGCATTGTAAGTGTGTGTGTGGGGGGGTATGTGTGTGACTGTAAGTGCAGTCTGCTTAAAGGAATGTTGCTAACACACTTCAGTGCTTCCTTCTTTTTTGAATTTCTCAACCTTTTGGTGGCTTCTGTGTGTGGCTCTGCCTGGGCTGTGGGGCTCTCTCTCAGGTGGTGCTTCCTGCACAACAATGCAGCCTTAGTAGCTGCTGGGTGTGTGTTTCTGTAGGAGAGTTATGAATGTTGGATGTCTGAGTGTGTGTGGCATTTTGTGTGGAAAAAAGCCATTCTTCTAGAAAGAAGAGGAGAACACCACACTGAAAAACAGATATCTCCCAGTGTTTCATTTTCTTGCAGCCAACCCAGGGAGAGACACTAGCAGTCCTTCCACAGGGCCACTTGAATTAACCTCGAATTCACTTCCAAGCTGAGCAGCTGATTTACATCTGGGGATGGGGGGAGCACTTTTTATCATCTTGGGATTTCATCCTGGGACATAAAGTGTGAGCAGATATAAGGTCAGATACTGGTGAGGACACAGTCTGTTGAGAGGTGCATGGGGTCTCACAATTTCACCTGAAAGAAAAATGAAGACAAATGAAATAGAAGGTGCTTCCAACTCCATAGCCCAGTGGTCAGTTGGAAGTACTCCAAAGTGCAGGAAACATTTGGACTGCAAGCTGGGGATGACCTGGCAAACTCTGGATTTGAAAGCTTTCATACCCACAGACAAATGGGAGTGGGATGGACTGATGCTGAGTGGGATGTGGTCTCCACACTTGCCTCTTCTTTTCCTGTCTTCCATGTTCCTCATCAGCCTAGGGTATCCTGTGTGTGACTCAACCTCTTTCACACTAAACATTTCCCACTTCACGGAGGTCAAACTCATGGGAGTCCATTGCATGAGTGTTTCCTTCCAAACACTGTCACATTTTAATGACTGGGCAGCTATATATTGCCTAAAAGCATAAATTCCTATTAAAGCCACCAACAGGGAAACTCTTGTACTCACACTTTTATTGGAAGGCTTCATGATTCCTGTTGGATGAGTAGCAGGGAACCATGCCTGGATTTGCCTGGTAATCAAGGCTCTGTTTCACTTCCCCTGCATGACCTTTCTCATTGTGGAGGGAGTCTTTCATTGAGCTTTTGCTTGATGGGACTGCCTCTCACAACAGATCTTTTGGCTGCCAGAAATTTCAGGGAGCAAAAGGGATCTTGGTAGGTTGGCTGTCTTCCAGATTGTGTTTCATGATCTTCTTTTAGTGGCTGAGTTTCTTTGCACGTTGCAGGAGGATTCGGTTTCTCTGCCAGAAAACTTTGAATGTTTCTGTGAATCAAGCACAAGTCAGCTCATTCTCACAGGTGAGCCTTGATTTTTCTTTGCTTTCATGACTGGTCAACATTACAGTACCACAACATTACTGGACACATTTTTCAGGCTTGTAATCATGACAGAAGTCCTCTGCAACACTGTCTCAACCTTTTCTGCATGCATGAGAGACCAGTTTGAGGTGTGAGAAGACTGCTCTACCTTGGACTTGCTTTTTTCATGGATGCTGCTATTTCTAGAGAGCCCCTGTGAAATCCAGGATGAAGAGAGGAAGTGAAGTCAAGGGTATGGCCTTCTTTCACTGACACCTGCCTCTGGTGTCTCAGCTTTGATTTTATCATCCAAAGACCCCTCAACAACTCAACAGACTACATTCTAATCCCAATGGACCTGAGTTTTCACACAGCCCCTTTTGAAAATTGAGTTAGACAAGCAGTTTCCAATGACCACCACACAATCTCAAAATGCCTCCTTCTCCAGTGATATCCGACTACAGAGACAGCCCTAAGAGGCCATAAGTTCATGACTTCTAGGGTCCCACAGTGGGTTATCACAGGCAGCAATTTTCCTGTTACCATGCCGGCTTTGCCTGTACCAGTTTCCCCTGTTTAGGCAAGCTGACAGCTCTGACAGCAGGACAGCCTGAATCAGCCTCAGGAATGCCCATGCACTAGTCTCAAAACACCAGGCCTGAGCTGTGAGCGCTGCTTGACTCACAATGAATGCTACCATTGTCTAGCGACAAGTCCCTGTGGCTTGGCAGAGAAAAAGACCTTTGTAGAGTTGCGTCGGCTGTGGACTCTCACCTACTTATTCTGTGGGATATCTGGGTTGGTCCCACAATCCTAGGAGAGGGCAGACATGAGAGACCCTGAAGAAACGTCAAGCAGAGCCCTAGAAATAAACCGGGAAATCACTAAGAATCCAAAATGATTTGCAAGATGCCTCAGACCTGCCTAGACATTGTAGGGGTGAATCTTTTTGAAACTTGACCCACTGCGATTTCCAGATACAGCCCTACTGTGTTCCCTGGTATTGCTCCCTCCCAGGTGGAGCTTCCTGCAGAACAACACAACCCAAGAAAGTGCTGTGCTGTGTACTCTCTGAAAGTGTTGTGAGTGTTGGATATCTGCATATGTGTGTGTCTTTGTGTATGTATGTGTATGTGTGTGTACACGCACCTGTAAGTGGTGTCTGCTTAAAGGAATATGGATGACGCACTTCAGCGATTCTTGCTTTTGAGTCTCCCAACCTTTTGGTGGCCTGTGACTCTGCTTGGGCTACGGGGCTCTGTGTTCTTTATTTTTTTGTGGATCATGAATCCGCAGTGAACTGGGTGGTGGGCCATTACCCGCTGGCATCCCAATCACCTCCCGCTGAAAAAAGCTGCTCTTCTAGAAAGAAGAGGAGCACACCACACAAAAAAACAGACATTTCCCACTGTTTCATTGTCGTACAGCCAAACCAGGGAGAGACACTAGTAGTTCTGTCCACAGGGCTTCCTGAATTTATCTTTAATTCAGTTCCCAGGTGAGCAGTGCTTCATGTCATGAGGGGGCACTTCTTCATTATCTTGGGATTTTATTCTGGGACAGAGTGTGAGCAGCAATAAGGTCAGATAGGGGTGAGAATACAATCAGTTGAGGGTTGCTGGGGTCCCACACATTAACCTGCAAAAAAGGTGATGACAGATGACACAGATGGTGTTTCCAACTGCATCCCTGCCTTGCCTTAGTTGTACAAGTGGTCTACACAGCAGCTCCATGTTCAGGTGGGAGTACTCCAACATGCAGGGAACATTTGGAGTATAAACTGGGGCCATCTTGCAAACTTCCAATCTGAGATCTTTCATACCAGGAACCAAATGGGAGTGGGGTGGATTGATGCTGGGTGGGAGGTGGCCTCCACACTTGCCTCTTTCTTTCCTGACTTCCATGTCCCTCGTCGGCCTAGGGTCCGTGGGTCTGGATCAACGTCTTCCACACTAAACATTTCACACTTAATGGAGGACACTCTCATGGGAATCCATTGCATGAGTGTTTCATCTTAACACTGTCATGTTTTAATTTCCTGGCAGCTGTGATACATTTGAAACTGTTAATTCCAGTTACAGCTGCCATCATGGAAACACTTATTCTCCTACCTCTATTGGAGGGCTGCAGAATTCCTGTAGGATGAGAAGAAGACAGTTGTGTCCGGCTTTTGACTGTCATTCTGGGCTCTGTTCCATTTCATCTGGAAGTCCTTTCTTATTGTGGAGGGAGTCTTTCACTGGATAGTGGCTGGATGGGACTGCCTCTTACCACAGATCTTTTGGCTGCCAGGGATTTCCAGGTGAGAAAGGGACTTTGAGTAGGCTTGCTGCACTTTTGTCATTCATGATCTCATTGTGGAAGCTAGGGTAGTTTGCACTTTGAAGGAAGATTTTGTGTATTCTGACAGTAGTCTTTGAATATTACTTGCACTCCAGCACAATTTACCTTCTTCTTTCAGGTGAGCCTTGATTTTTCTTTACTTTTATTGGGGGTCAAAATTGCCCTTCAACAGCACTACTGGACATCCCTTTCAGGCTTGCAATGGCCACAGATGGCCACTGAGGTTCTGCCTCAACTCCATATGCATCCTTGAGAGGCCAGTTCAAGGTGTGAGAACACTGCTCCACCCAGGATGTGCCTTTGTCGTGGTTCCTGCCTTTCCCAGAGAAACCCTGTGAGTCTCAGCATGAAGGGAGGCAGTGAGGTCAAGAGTCCGACCATCTTTCTCTGACACCCACCTCTGGGGTCTCAGATATGATTCTATCACCCAGAGAATTCTAAACAACACTCCAGCCTTAATCCAATTTCCATGGGAAATTCTTTCATACACCCTCTTTCAGGAATGGAGTCAGAAAAGCAGTTTTCAGTGACTTTGTCAGTCTTGAAATGCCTCCTCCTCCAGTAAGACCTCACCACTGAGAAGGCACAAAGGCGCCCTGAGGTAAAAAATTTTAGGATCCCGGGATGGGTTTTGACCGACAGCTTTTTTCTGATAACAGGCCAGCTCTGCCTGTACCATTTTCCTCTGCTTAGACAGGCTGACAGCTCTGATAGTCAGGTACCCTGACTTCTTCATGAATTGGCATGCATATTCTCAGGGCCCCAGGCCTGATTCTGAGCTGTGTCTAGCATCACAATGAATGTCATCGTTGCCTAGAGACAAGTCCGTTGGTCTTGGTGAAGAAGAACACCATGGAGGTGGGTTGGTGGTGGGCTTTTGTCCATCTTCTTTATGAGATCCATAAGATAGTTCCATGATTCTAGGGGAGGGCAGACATGAGACAACCTGAAGAAACATCAAGCACAGCCTCAGGAATAAAATGTGAAATTTCTAAGGGTCCAAAATAATCTGCAGGATTCCTCAGGCTGCCTAGACATTGTCATGGTGAGTCTTCTTGAAACTTGTCCCACTGTGATTTCTAGATACATCCCTCCTGTTCTTCCTGGGGTTGCTCTTTCCCAGTTGGGGCTTTCTGCAGAACCACAAAACCTCAGGAACTGCAGGCCTATTTGTTTCTGTGGAGTGTTGTGAGTGTTGGATATCTGCCTGTGTATGTGGCATTGTGTGTTGTGTGTTTGTGTGTGTGTGCCTGCAAGTAGAGTGCACTTAAAGAAATATGGCTAAAGCACTTCGGCTCTCCATTTTGTTTTTTTGAATCTCCCAACCTTTTGGTGGCCTGACTGTTTGGCTGTGCTTGGGTTGTGGGGCACATTCTTATTTTACCATGAATCATGAATCTGAAGTGAAAGGAGGGGTGTGCCAAGACCCGCCGACGTCCTAGTCACCTCTCCCTGCAAAAGAAGCCACTCTCCTAGGAAGAAAAGGAGCACAACACACAAAATAACAAACATATCCCAGTGTTTCATTGTCCTTCAGCCAAGCCAGGGAGAGACAGTAGCAGTCCTCTCCACAGGGGCTCTTGAATTTAACTCGAATTCTATCCCCAGCAGAGCAGGTGCTTCACATCATGAGGTGGTATTCCTCCATCGCCTTGGGATTCCATCCTGGGACATAGAATGTGAGGAGCAATGAGGACAGATAGGGGTGAGGATACAATATCCTGAGTGGTGGATGAGGTCTTGCAGCTTCACTTGCAAAAAAAGAAATGAGGACAGATGACAGAGAAGACACTTCCAACCCCATTCCCACATTCCCTTAATTGCACAAGCAGTCCACACCATGGCCCAGAGTTGAGGTGGGAATACTCCAACGTGCAAGAATCATTTGAGTTGCATATTGGGGCCATCCTCTGATATGAGGGCTTTTATACCTGGTAGCAGAGGGTAGTGGAGTGGATTGATACTGGGTAAGATGTGGTCTCTACACTTGCCTCATCTTTTTCTGACTTCTATTTTCCTCATCAGTCTAGGCTTTTCTGAGCCTGGCTCAATGACTTTCACACTAAACATTTCCTAGTTCATGGAGAACGACCCTCATGGGTAGCCATTGTGTAAGTGTTTTCTTCTAAACACTGTCACGTTTTAATTCCTGGACAGCTTTGATATGTCTAAAACAGTGCTGTGTTTGGCTTTTGCAGGGTAATTTATCCTCTGTTTCTTTTCATCTGTGTGGCCTTTGCGTTGTGGAGGACCTCTTTCATTGGGCTTTTGCTAGATGGAACTGCCTCTCACCAAAGACTATTTAGGTGCCAGGGATTTCAGAACAAAGGAAACTTCAATTAGGCTGGCTGTTCCCCAGGTTAAAAGTCATTATCTCATTGTAAGGGCTGAGGTTATTTGCAATTTGCAAGAGGCTTTTGGGTAATCTGATCAGGATCATTGAACGTTGCCGGGAATCCAGCAAAGGCAGCTCATTCTCTCAGGTGAGCCATAATTTTTCTTTACCTTCACAGGCAATCCACAGTGACCCTCATTGGCAATACTGGACACTGTTTTCAAGCATGTCATCGCAAAAGACGTCCTCTGAGACACTGTCTGAACCTGATATACACCTGTGAGAGGCGAGTCTGTGGTGTGAAAACACTGTTCCAACTTGCTCTTGCTATTGTCATGGCTCCTGCCTTTCCCAGAGGGCCACTGCAAGGCCCAGGAGGAAGAGAGGCAGTGAGGTCAAGAGCCCAGCCATTGTTTGCTGATGTCAGCCTCTGGGTCTCAGGTATGATTCTATCTCCCAAAGAGCCCTAAACAATACCAGACAGTATTCCAATCCCCATGGGACCTATTTCTTGCACACTGCCTCTTTCAGGAATGGAGTCAGAAGATCAGTGACCAACTCACAGCCTCCAAATGCCTCCTTCTTCAGCGGAACCCGACCACAGACATGACACAAAAGGGTCTTGAGGTAGGCAATTTTAGAGCCCCGCAGAGGGTTTTCACAGAAAGCCTTTTTTTCCCAAAACCAGACCAGCTCTGCCTGTACCATATATTTTTCTGCTTAGGCAGGATGAGAGTTCTGAAATCCAGGCACCTGAGCCTGCATGATGGATGCATTTGTGCCAGCCTCAGGGCACCAGGCCTGATGGTGAGCTCTGACCACCATCATAATGAATGTCATCATTGCCTAGTGACAAGTCCAGGCGGCTTGGCAGAGAAGACATCCGTGGAGGTGAGTCGGTGGTGAATTCTCGCTTGTCTTCTCTGAGGGATCTACGACATACTCTCATGATTCCAGGATAGGGCAGATGTGAGCCAGCCTGAAGAAACGTGAAGCACAGATTCATGAATAAACCGCAAAATCCCTAAGGATCCAAAACAATCTACAGGATTCCTAAGGCCTGCTTAGAGGTTGTAGGGTTGAGTCTTTTTAAAACTTGCCCCACTGTGATTTCTAGGTATAGCCCGCCTGTGTTCCCCGGGGTTGTTCTCCCCACGGTAGGGCTTTCTGCAGGACCAGGCAGCCTCAGGAGCTGCCGATCTGTGTGTTTCTGTGGGAGTGTTGTGAGTGTTGGATGTTTGCCTGTGTGTGTGGCATTGTGTGTGTGTGTGTGTGTGTGTTTCTGTGTGTGCCTGTAAGTGGAGTCTCCTTAAAGAAATGTGTCTAACACACTTCAGCCTTTTTTTTTTTTCGTATATCCAAAACTTCTGATGGCCTCTCTGTGTGGGTTTGCTTAGGCTTTGGGACCCCATGTTCTTTATTTTTCTGTGGATCATTAACCTGCAGTGAATTTGGAGGCATGCCGAAACCACAAGCGTCCAAATCACCTGCCGCTGCAAAAAAAAGCCACTCTTCTAGGAAGAAGAGGAGCATACCACACCAAAATAACAGACATCTCCCAACATTTCATTGTTCTGTGGACTACTGAGGGAAGAAAACTTGCAGTCTTGTATGAAGGGCCCTTGAATTTACCTTGAATTCAGGTCCCAGCCGAGCAGGGTCTTCATGTCTTAAGGCAGTACCCCTCCATTGTCTTGGGATTTCATCCAGGGACATTGAGTGTGAGCTGCAATAATGTCAGACACAGGTGATAATAGAATCTCTTGAGGGGTAAACGGGGCCTCACAACATTATCTGAAAAAAAAGTAAGGACAAACAACAAAGAAGTTTCTTCCAACTCCATCCCCACATTGCCTGAATCGCACAAGCAGTTTATATCTTGGCCCTGTTCTCACATGGGAGTACTCCAATGTGCCAGGAATATTTGGAGGGCAAACTGAGGCTATCCTGGCAAAATCCCAAATTGAGGGCTTTCATACTCGGAGCCAAAAAT
Source organism: Homo sapiens (assembly GCF_000001405.40). Taxonomy (NCBI): domain Eukaryota; kingdom Metazoa; phylum Chordata; class Mammalia; order Primates; family Hominidae; genus Homo; species Homo sapiens. Next base: position 8,720,811 of record NC_000024.10, on the reverse strand, counting down.
GAGTGGAAAAGACTGATGCTAGGTTGGGTGTGGCCTCTACACTTGCCTGTTCTTTTCCTGACTTCCATGTTCCTCATCGACATAGGGTTTCCTGGATCTGGCTCAGCAACTTCCACAATAAACATTTCCCAGTTCATGGAGAACGACCCTCATGGGAATCTATTGTGTGAGTGTTTTTTTGTAAACACTATCACGTTTTAATGACTGGGAAGCTTTGATATATTTACAACCATAACTTTCCATTAGAGCCATCAACAAATAAACTTGTTCTTCCACTTCTATTGGAGGGTGGCATGATTCCTTTAGGATGAGAAGCAGGCAGCTGTTTCTAGCTTTTATCAGGTAATCTAGCCTCTGTTTCATTCATCTTCATGGTCCTCTCATTGTGGAGGGGCTCTTTCATTGAGTTGTTGCTGGATGGGACTGCCTCTCACCACAGATTATGTAGCTGCCAGGGATTTCAGAGAGCAAAAGGGACTTCAGGTAGGCTGGCTGCCTTACAGGTTGTGGGTCTTTGACACGTTGAGAGATTGAGGTTGTTTGCAATTTGCAAGGGGTTTTTGTTCCTCTGATAGGAATCATTGAACGTTTCTTGGACTTAAGAACAAGGCAGATCATTCTCTCAGGTGAGCCTTGATTTTTCTTTGTTTTCCTGGGGATTACACAGTGCCTCTCAACAGCACAACTGGACTCCCTTTCCAGGCTTGCCATTATCACACGCAGCCTTTGATATGCTTTTGTCATGGTTCCTGCCTTCCCGAAAGAGCCTCTGCGAGGCCCTGGATGCAAGGAGGCAGTGAGGTCAAGAGTCTGGCCATTTTTCACTGACATCAGCATCTGGGGTATCAGGTATGATTCTATCACCCAAAGAACCTTCAGTAATACACCTGACTAGATTCCAATCTTCATGGGAGTGGATTCTTCTACACAGCCTCTTTCAGGAATGGAGTCAGATGAGCAGTTTCCAGCAACCTCCTCTCAGGCTCAAAATGCCTCTTCCTCCTGCACCACCTGGCCATGGAGACAGCCTGAAGGGGCTCTGAGGTTGAGAAGTTTTGGGTCCTGCAGTGCATTTTTGCAGGCAGCCTTTACCCAAATACCAGGCTGGCTCTGACTGTACCATTTTTCTCTGCTTAGGCAGGCTTACAGTTCTGACAGACAGGTGCCTAAGTCTGCCACACAAATGCACACACACTAATCTCAGGGCACTTGGCCTGACTGTGAGCTCTGGATAGCATCACAATTAATGTCATCATTGCCTAGCAACAAGTCCCTTCAGCTTGGCAAAGAAGGAGACCACTGTGGAAGTGTGTCTGTGGTGGACTCTCACCTGTCTTCTCAGTGGGATCCACAGGATAGTCCCATGATTCTTGGAGAGGGCAAATGTTGGCCACTCTGAAGAAATATCAATCAGAGCCCTAGTAATAAATTGTGAAATCCCTAGGTATCCAAAAAGATCTACAGGATTCCTCATTCATTCCTAGATAATGTAGGTTTGAATCTTTTTTAACTTGCCCACCGTGATTTCTAGGTACAGGCCCACTGTATTTCTCAGGGTTGCTCTGTCCCATGTGGGGCCTCCTACATAACTAAGCAGCCTCCTGAGCTTCCATATTGTGTGTCTCTCTGGAAGTGCCTTGAATGATGGAGGTCTGTGTGTGTGTATGTGGCATTGTTTGTGTGTGTTTGCTGTGAATGTAAGTAGAATCCGCCGAAAGAAATGTGGTTAATTCACTCAAGCGATTCTTTTATATTAAGTCTCAAAACCTTTTGTTGTCCTGTCTGTGTGGCTCTCCTTGGGATGCAGGGCTCCATGTTCTTTATTTTTCTGTTGATGATGAATCTGCGGTGATTTGGGAGGCATGCCATTACCCACAAGCATCCAAGTCACTTTTACCTTCAAAAAAAGCAACTTTTCTAGAGAAAAGAGGAGCACAACAAAACAAAAAAAACAGACATCTCCCAGTGTTTCTTTTTCCTGCACCAAAACATGGAGAGATACTAGCAGTCCTAAATGCATGCCCCCTTGTATTTACCTTGAATTCACTTCCCAGCTGAGCAGGTGCTTCATATCATGAGGGGGCAATCCTTCATCATCTTGGGATTTCATCTTGATACATAGAGTTTGAGCAGCAATAAGATCAGATTGGGTGAGAATACATTCTGATGAGGGGTGGATGGGGTCCCGCAACTTCAGCTGCAAAAACAAAATAAATGAAGACAGATGACACAGAAGCTTCCAGCAAATCTGACCTCACATTCTCTTTGTAGCAGGATGAGCTGCAGAGAAAATCCGTCAGACACCAGATTAAAGAAGTAAATGGCTTTATTCAGCTGGGAGCATTGGCAGATGCATGTTTCAAGAACTACGTTCACGGAAGAAAGAGTTTCTGGCCTTTGTAAAGGCTTACAACTCTAAGGGGTTCCACATGAAAGTTTAATGACAGGTTGAGATCTATAGATAGCACGTGTGGTTAGAGTATTGGGCTGATATTTTAGTGACAGACCTGGTCATCAATAGCACTGGCTGATCTTGCCACTGATTTCATTCCTGTTGTTTTTCAGCTTTTACTTCCTGCTTCTCTTCAAAGAACAGGAGACAGTAAGAGAAATGGCCTCTCTCCTCATTCCCCTCTTTGAGAACCTCACTCACTAGTGGGAATTCTCACTCTCATCTTCACTATTCAGGTCTTCCTGAGAGACAGATCGCCAGCAATTCATGTAACACACTTGTGCTGTGGTCTTTTGATGAACTAAGTTGCTAGAAATATGCTAAACAGTGGAGTAAACACCAGCTTTGGAGAGTGCCTGTGGACCTCTCATTAGATTAAAATATTTACTCAGGGATAGAGTCTAGTTGCATTGATTCCTAGAATTACTTACTCTCCTGTTTTCCACTAGGGATCGAGTAGTTCTAATGGGTTATCACACATAAGGCTGGTAATTTCCTGTGCTGCATACCTTCTGTTTTGTGGCATTATACAAACAAGTCCCTTTTAAAGTTCCAGTACATTCATAATAATCATAAAAACAGAAAGACTCTTTTAACTCTTTGCCCTACCTCAGTAACTTGAACAGTCTTCAGTCTGAGAAGGTCAAGTTGAAGTCCTTACTGTACAAGTCCAAAATTTAAGGAAAATGAGTCTCACGATGAGTTTCCTCATGCTTCAACCATGCATGGACCAGTCAGCTTCAGGGTGTGACTGGAGCAGGACTTGTCATCTTCAATGTCAGCTTGCAGGTGTTGTCTGGGCTTGGCCTCACCTTCCAGGTCTCAGGTGCTGTAGGTTTTATGTGGCTGTGGTGGATCCAGGATAGGATTTTCTCTATCTTTATAGCTGTGGGAGTGGTCAAGATGATGCTCTAGGGTTCTTTCCTCCTGTGGCTGCAAGAGTGCTACATTACAATCTTTGATCCAAACCTGATCACCTGAGGAGAAAGGATGAACTGCAGAGAATAAGCTGACAGGACAGCTTTCATTTGCCCTGGCTGAAATTGTTTGTGTAATTTTCCCTAAAGCCTTCAGCTGTCACTGTAAGTCAATTTCACCTAGCTCTCGAGAAATGCCTGAGAGTCCCCATTGTACGGGAAGGAACCTATGATATAATTCTTTATAAGGGGAATATTCTGTAATTTTAGAAGGGGTACATCTAGTCTTAAACAATACCATAGGGAGAGCTTGTACCCACTTTAACCTTGTTTCTTGACACACTTCCCTAAACTATTTTGATAGTCCGATTTATCTGCTCCACTTTTCTGGAGCTCTACAGTTGGTAAATTGTATGTATGTCCCATGTGATCCCCAACACCTTTGCTATCTTTTTTACCAAGTCAGCCACAAACACTGGCCCATTCTCCAAGCTGATTCATAAGCATAGTCCAAACCTAGGGACAAGATCTTGGAGAAGCACATGGGTTACCTCAGAAGCTTTCTCAGTTCATGTTGGATAGACCTCCACTCACCTAGAGTATGTACACACTAGAACTAGCAAATACTTGTTACCTCCACATTTGGACATGCCCGTGAAGTCTAATTGGAGATCTTCAACGGGGGTTGCTCCATAAGGTTGTATGAAGGTTGTATGAAGTTTGGAACTTACCTAGCATTGTGCTGTGGGTAGCGACAGATGCTAGACATAGAAGTACCAGACTAACAACTTTTCAAGTGACTCTTGGTCTAAGTGGGTAGTCTCATGCACAGACAGTATGACTGCAGCCCCTAGCAGTTGTGGCACAGCTATTCTTCTGTCCAATAACTGGATGCATCCCTCTTCTCTCACTGGCCCTCCCTCTGCTTGGGGAAAGTCTTTCTCTTCTTTAGAATAAGTAGATTCAAGTACAGGTGACTGAGGGAGCAGGGGCTGTGACAGATGCCTGGTAGGGTGTAGATAGTGCTTTTTGAGCCTCTGAGTCAGCTCCAGAGTTCCTCAAGGCAATCAAGATGGAAGCTCACTGGTATTCTCTGTAGTTCATGACTGTTTTCCTTGTAGGTTGACCTGCTTTCATTCTTATCACAGGCTGTGCTCCCCCTGCCAGATAGTAAATCCCAGGTAATGTAAATGCAGTCAGCAGATCTGAGCTTTTTTCTTGGAGAGCTTATACCCACAGTCCTCCAGTTGTTAGAGAAGGGTAACAATTCCCTTGATGCACCTGACTGCCTTGGGGTTTCCCCACAAGAGGTCGTCAATGTACTGGAGCAACACACAGTCTAGGTCTCTGATGGAAAACTTCTGGAGGTCTCAAACCAGTGCCTTCCCTAAAGATGGTGGGGGAGTTCTTAAACCCTTGGGGAAGACAGGTCCAAGTGTACAGAGTGATGACACCTGACCCCAGATCCTCCCACTGAAAGGCAAACAATTTCTGGATCTAAGGGGCTAGTCTGATGCTAAAGAAAGCATCCTTCAGCTGTCCTCAGCTGACAGAATTCCCAACAATGTGTATGGGTTAAGTACCATTGTGGGCAAAGTCACTGTACCTTGGTTGACCAAGTGCAAGTCCTGTACCGGCCTGTAGCCCTTGGTCTCTGGCTGGAGAGCAGACAGGAGGGGGGTGTTCCTTGGAGATTGACAAGGGAGTCTAATTTCAGAGGCCCCCAGGCCCTTGAGATGCACCTGGGTACCTTCAAGAGCTTCTATGGGAACTGGGTACTTATGTTGCCTGACTGGCTGTCACAGGCTTAACTTCTCTGAGTATGGGGGCTTAGTTGACTGCCAACCTTGGAAGGCTGTCTCCCACCCACACCGTTGGCCATCACTTAGCCAGAGCTTGTCCTATCTTTGGGCCTGGCTCCTGAAAAACTGTAATGGTCATTATGACTCACACTCCAGTTAACTTTATCTGTAAGGAGCTGTGCTTTGTAAAGGGACAGTGGCTCTCATTTTGTTAAGTAGGTCCTTTCCTACCGAAGGCAAGAGGAAGTCAAGCATGTACAGGAACTGGTGAATCACTTCATGCCCCCCTACAGTGCAGGTCTGGGGCAAAGAGAAAGCTTGCTTTGCTGAGACCCCTGTGGCTTCGGTTATATCAATAGTCTTTTTGGATAAGAGGGCAACCAAGGTGGTTAGTAGTGCACATGAGCCTGGTCTCCCTCAGTCCAGTTTGAACTGGACTTCCAGATTGAAGGAGGTTCCTTCATCCTTGTCTGATGCCTCCTGCTCAGAGTCACCTTGTTTTCCTTCCAACTGGGGCACTTGTCCTTCCAATGTCCTATTTCCTTACAGTAAGCACACTGGTTATGCTGCAAGCCTGGATGACCAGACTGGGTATTTTTCCTGTGGCCCCCTCTCTTGCCCCTTTGGGGGAACCCCTCTAATAGCTGCAGCTAGCAGGTTGGCATTTCACTGGGCTTGGCATTCACTCTCTCTCTCTCTGCAGTTCTCTCTGTATCTTAGTGAATCTCTATTTACAAACACCTGGTTGACTATCTCCAATAACTGTGAAGTATGTATGTCTGCAAACCCAGCCTGTTTCTGCAATTTTCTTCTAATGTCTTGTGTACTTTAACTAACTAAATCCATGTTAATCATGTTCTGATTATCAGGGCCATTGGGATCAAAGGGAGTAAACATACAATAGGCCTCATATAGTCTCTTGTAAAACATTTGTGGCCTTCTGAGCTCCCTTCTTTAACCCTTCCAGAAGGGGTGCCCTGTACAAGTTTAACCTTTGCATACCCTCTTTTTCATTTGGGTCCCACTGTGGGTCTGTTCCTGGTAATTAGATCCTCACATAGTTTTGAGTGTTTTCGTAATCAGCTGAAATATGTTCTTCCTTCCACTTAGTTGCTGCTTGGAACACTCTCCTCCTTTAATCTGTGTTAAAAGGGTACATGAGCAACTGGGGGCAATCGGCCCACGTGGGGTTGTTGGTCTGGATAATAGTTTTGAGCAAATCAATTATAGCTTGATGATTTTTCGTATAGGATGGGATATTGTATTTCCAATTGAGGAGATTGGCAAAGCTGAAGGGTAAGTACACAAAGGCTCACCTTTCCACCATATGCCCATCCTCATCTACCACTGCTCTCTCAGGCACATTTGTATTTCAATTCTAGACCTCAAACAGGCTATGAAGGGAGGAGTTTCTCCTGAGGTCTCACATCCTTTCCTTTCTACTCTGGGTGGCCTAGGGTTATGTAGGTCTTGTGGAAGCTCAGGTGTAGTGGGCTCAGGAGGCCTTCCTTCTTGGTGAAGTGGGGGCAACTGGATCCATTTCTTGCCATGAATCCTCTGATGTTGGGTCAAGACTTTAGGAGCCAATTCCCTTCAGTGGATGGAGTGGGATTCTTTTTTGGCTGTCTGCCACTTTGCTGCTAGTACTACTGCTGCATGTCCTCTTAACCACTGTGAGGGGTCTAAAACCAGCTGTAACCAAGTATTTATGTACAGAAACTGGTCTGGGTATCCCAGCTTACCAGTTACCTTGTGCCACACTTTTGAAACAAGGTACCTATCCAGGCTTCCTTCTGATGACCAAACCACTTGTAATCTTCAAAAATTTATTTACAGAAGCAGAAATTTCAAATACAACACTGGATAAAAATGTTGGAAGGCCAGTGACAGCAGAGAAGCTCACTTGCACTTTACATATCTCTGAATTAACATCATTAATTAAGAATCACAGATGTAATTACAATTGCTAATCCAAATCTACACCTTGTCAATGGGAATGAGCCATAATTAGCTTTATTGGAAGAAAATGCCTGAATTCAACTTCTAGCCTTCTTCTGACTACAAAGCAGGTACACTATATTGAATATTACTACAGAAATAAGAGTCATCTAAAACTGCTCCTAGAATATATCTTCCTGAACTATAAAAATACTAAAAACATACTTAAAACTGTCTTGCACCACAATTATCATGAACATCAAGTATTCTTCTAATCAGTTTTCTATGATTCATTCCAATTAAATGTTTATTTACCCTCAAGTTTTGTTGTAGTGCCAGAAGCTAGCCAGTCTATCTCACACAAAGTTCTAAGTTTTGCTGGTTTCTTGAAATTTTTCAGCATAGTTTCTAACGGAGTGGGCTTACTTTATGTTCCATCCATCTTCTTCCTGAGTCAAGACAACACACATCAGAAGAAGGAAAGGGTAAAGGGTTCAGTCACTCATCTCTCCCATCTGAAACTCAAGCACTCACTCAATTTCTTTTTCCTTTTTGCAAGCAAGTCAAGCCAAATCAAAATCAATACCAAAGTGTTGATAAGGACACATTGTGGGTAATCAGACCATGTTTCCACTTAAATGGAGTGAGCAAGTTACCAGGACTCCTTCTACCATATTCCAGATGTCTGGACTCCAAGAACCAGTTTATTCGCAGAGTACAGCCACTGTATTGATCCTTTGTGGGGGCCTGCAGTGTACTGCTCTGATGAAGTGTTCCACCTGGGAAAACATCTAACCAGGAGCACTCTCAGGATACATGTTACTCAAGCTGGCTGGAGTTACCCACAGGGATATGTTGCAGGGCAAGCCTAAGCTGCCTTGGGGGCTGCCTTGATTGTGCATTAATCACCTCATTTCCAGGTCAGGGAACCAAGAAATGTAGCAGTACGAGTGGTGGGGAAAACAAAAACAAAAACAAAAATAAAAACTTAGACAACAGGTAAAAGAAGAAAGTGGCTCTATTTGTTTGGGAGCATTGGCAGACCCACGTCTCAAGGACCAAGCTCCCTGAAGAAAGAGTTCCAGGCCCTTTTAAGGGCTTAGAACTCTAAGGGCTTCTACAGGAAAGGGGCATAATAAATTGAGATTTATAGATACAAATGTGGTTAAAGTGGTGGGTTAATCATTTAGCCTCAGGACTGGTCATTAGTGGTGCCAGCTGGTCTTGCCACTGCTATCATTCCTGTTGTTTTTTTTAGCTTTTACTTCCTCCTTCTCTTCAGAAACAGGAGGCAGTAAGAGAAATGATCTCTCTCCTCACCTTAATTGCAGAATAAGTCCAAACCAGGTCCCAGTGTTCAGATGGGAGTACTCCAATATGCAAGGAATATTTGGAGTGCAAATTGGGGCCATCCTGTCAAACTCCCGATTTGAGGGCTTTCAAGCCCAGAGCAAAATGGGAGTGGAATATATTGACACTGGGTGGAATGTGGCCTCCACACTTGCTATTCTTATATTAACTTCCATGTTCCCCTTTGCCCTAGGGCTTCTCAGGTCTGGCTCAACGACTTCCACAATAAACCTTTCCTAGTTCACAGAGAACAGCACTTCTGGAATCCATTGCATAAGTGTCTCATTCTAAACACTGTCATATTTTAATGACTGGACAGCTTTGATACATTTAAAACCATAAATTTCTGTTACAGCCACCAACAAGGAAACTCTTGTTTTCCCACTTGTGTTAGTGGACTGCATGATTCTCGTAGCATGGGAAGTAGGCAGCCATGTCTACCTTTGGCCTGGTAATCTAGCCTCTGTGTCATTTCATCTGCATGGCCTTCTCATTGTGGAGAGCCTCTTTCATTGGGCTGTTGCTGAGTGGGGCTGCCTGTTACCACAGATTATTTAGCTGGAAGGGATTTCAGACAGCAAAACGGACTTCAGGTAGGCTGGCTGTGCTCCAGCATGCGGGTGATTGTCTCATTTCCAGGGCTGAGGCTGTTTGCACTTTGCAGTGGACTTTTGGGTCCTTTAAGAGGCATCATTGAACATTGCTTGGACCCAGCACCAGTTAGCTCATTCTCTCATGTGAGCCTTGGCCTTTCTTTGCTTTCATCAGGAATCTACTGTGCCCCTCAACTGCACTACTGGAAACATTTTCAGCCTGGCCGTCAACACAGACAATCTCTGAGACAGGTCTCAACCTCACCTGCATGCCTAAGAGGCCAGTCCAAGTTGTGAGAATACCGCTTCACCTTGGACTTGCCATTGTCCTGGTTCCTGCCTTTCTTAGAAAGCCTCTGTGAGGCCCAGATGAAGGGGAGCAGTGAGGTCAACAACCTGGCCATCTTTCACTGACAATAGCTTCTGAGGTCTGAGGTATGATTCTATCACCCAAAGAACATGCAACAGCACACCAGACAATATTCCAATTCCCATTGGACCTGATTCTTGCACACAGCGTTTTTCAGGAGTGGAGTCAGAAGAGCAGTTTCCAGAGACAACCTCATAGTCTTCAAATGCCTCCTGACACAGCAGGATTCAACCATGGGGTCCACCCAAAAAGGCCCTGAGCAGTGGATTTTCACAGGCAGCTTTTTTCCTGATACCAGGATGGGTTTGGCTGTACCACTTTCCTCTGCTTAGGCAGGCTGACAGCTCTCAAAGCCTGACTCCTGAGTCTGCCTCAGAAATGGACATGTGCTAGTTTGAGGGGACTAGGCCTGATTGTGAGCACTGGTTAGCATCACAATGAATGTCACCGTTGCCAAGAGACAAGTCCCTGTGGCTTGGCAGAGAAGATGTCTGTGGAGGTGCATTGGTGTTGGACTCACCTGTCTTCTCTGTGGGATCCATGGGTTTGATCCATGATCCTAGGAGAGGGCAGACATGAGCCAGCCTCAAGAAATGTCAAACAGAGCCTGAGGAATAAACCATGAAATCCCTAAGAATCCAAGAAGATCTGCAGGATTCCTCAGGCCTGCCTAGATGTTGTAAAGGTGAGTCTTTTTGAAACTTGTGCTACTGTGACTTCCTGGTATAGCCCACCAGTGTTTTTCAAGGTTACTCTTTGTGTATGTGTGTGTTTGTGTTTGTGTGTGTGAATGTAAGTGGAGTCAGCTTAAAGGAATGTGGGTAAAGCACTTTAGCACTTTTTTTTGGAGTCTCCCCAGCTTTTGGTGGCCTGCATATGTGGCTCTGCTTGGGTTGTGGGGCATGATGTTCTTTATTTTTTATTTTTAGTTGAATGTGTCCAAATCAACTCCTTCTGCAAAAGCAAAAAAACAAATCAGAAAACAAAACAAAACAAACAAAAGCCACTCTTCTAGAAAAGGAATAAGAACACATCATGCCAAAAGACAGACATGCCCGTGTTTCATATTCCTACAGTCAACACAGGGAGAGACACTAGCAGTCCTGTTGATTGGGCCCCTTAAATTTACCTCAAATTCAGTTCTGAGTCAAGCAGGTGCTTCACATCCTCAGGAGGTACTCCTCCATTGTCTTGGGATTTTATCCTGGGATATAGAGTGTGAGCAGCAATAAGATCAGATAGGAATGAGGATACAATGTAGTGAGGGGTGGATGGGGTCTTGCAACTTCACCTGCAATAAATAAATAAATAATAAATAAATAAATAAAGACAGATGACAAAAAAGTTGCTTCCAACTTCATCCCCACATTCCCTTAATTGCAAAAGAAATCCACACAATGGCTCAGTGTTCAGGTGGGAGTACTCCAATGCACAAGAACATTCAGAGTACAAATAGGGGCCATACTGGCAAACTACTCATTTGTGGGTTTTCATACCTGGAGGCAAATGTGAGTGGAATGGATTGATGCTGGGTGGGATGTGGCTGTGACTTCTAGACATGCCTTTTGTTTTTGTGACTTCCATGATTCTAATTGCTTTAGGGTTTCCTAAGTCTGGCCCAATGACTACCACCTTAAATGTTTCCCAGTTCATGGAGAACGATCCTCATGGGAAATTGCATGAGTGTTTCCTTCTGAACATTGTCATGTTTTAATGACTGGGAAGATTGATACTTTAAGACCGTATATTCCCTTTAGAGCCACCAAAAGGAAATTTGTTATCTCACATCTATCTGAGGGGTGCGTGATTCATGTAGGATGAGAAGCAGGCAGCCATATCAGGCTTTTACCTGGCAATCTAGACTTTGTTTCATTTCATCTGCTCAGCCTTTTCATTTTGGAGGGGCGCTTTCATTGAACTGTTGCTGGAAGGGGACTGCCAGTTGCCACAGATTATGTAGCTGCCAGAAATTTCAGACAGCAAAAGGGACTTCCATTTGGCTGGCTCCAAGCCACATCGTGGGTCATTATCTTGTTGTGGGGGCTGAATTTGTTTGCACTTCGCAGGAGGGTTATGGGTCTTCTAACAGGATTCATTGAACACTGCTTAGAGTCCAGCAGAAGGCAGCTCATTCTCTCAGGCAAGCCTTGTTTATTTATTTATTTTTATTGGTGCTTTCATGTGGAATCCACAGTGCCCCTCAACAGAACTAATGGACATATTTTTCAGGCTTGCCATTCTATAGACAGCATCTGAGACACTGTATAAACCTCATCTGCACCTGTGAGAGGACAATATGAGGTGTGAGAACACTGCTTCACATTGGACTTGCCTTTGTGTTGGTTCCTACTTTTCCCAGAAAGCCTCTGCAAGGCCTAGGATGAAGGGAGGCTGTGAGGCCAAGGGCTTGGCCATCTTTCGCTGACTTCCAACTTTGGGAAGTATGATTCTATCACCCAAAGAACCCTCAACAACACACCATACTATATTCCAATCCCCACAATACCCGATTCTCGCAAGCAACATGTTTTGGGAATGAAGTCAGAACAGTTTCCGTGACCACCTTAGAGTCTCAAAACCATTCCTCCTCCAGCAAGACCCGACCATGGAAACCATCTAAAGGAGTCCTGAGGTCTAGACTTTTAGTCTCTCACTGTAGGTTTTTGCAGGTCTCCTTTTTCTTGATATCAAGCTGGCTCTGCCTGTACCATTTCTTACTGCTTAGGCAGGCTGTCAGCTCTGACAGGGAACCAGGTCTGACTGCTATCTCTGGGTAGTGTCACAATTATTGTCATTGTTGCCTAGGGCCCAGTCCCTGTGGCTTGGAGAAGAGGGAGACCTCTGTGTAGTTGTGTATGCCATGGACTCCTACCTCTCTTCTCTGTAAGATAGACGAGATAGTCCCATGATCCCAAGGGAAGACAGGCATGAGAGTCTGAAGAAACATCAAGCACAATTCCAAAAATAAATTGTGAAATCCCTAAGGATGCAAAGAAATCTGCAAAATTACTCAGGCCTGCCTAGACATTGTAGTGGTGAGTCATTTTAAAACTTGACCTACTGTGATTTGTAGGTATAGCATGCCTGTGTTCCCCTTAGTTGCTGTCTCCCACCTGGGGCTTCCTGCAGAAGCACACTGCCTCAGAAGTTGCCATGCTATATGTTTCTGTGGGAATGTTGCAAATATTGGATGTCTGCATGTTTGTGTGACATTGTGTGTTTTTGTGTGTGTATGTGTAACTATAAGTGGTGTCTGCTTAAATGAATGTGGCTAATGCACTTCATCGCTTCTGTTTTTTTGAGTCACCAAGCCTTTAGATGGCCTGTTTTTTTGGCTCTGCTTGGGCTGCCAGTCTCCAAGTTCTCTATTTTTCTGTGGACCATGAATACACAGTGCATTGTGAGGCAGGCCGAGACCCACTGGAGTTTAATTCACCTCCCTCTGCAAAAAAAAAAAAAAAAAAAAAAAAAAAATCCACAATTCTAGAAAGAAGAGAAGCACACCACACCAAAAAACAGACATCTCCCAGTATTTCATTGTCCTGCAGCCAAACCAGGGAGAGACTCTAGCATTCCTGTCCATAGGGCCCCTTGAATTTACATTGAATTCGGTTCCCAGCCAAGCAGGAGCTTCACATCATGAGGGGCACCCTTTCATCATCTTGGGATTTTATACTGGGATATATAGTGTGAGCAGGAATAAGTTCAGAAAGAAGTGAGGATAAAATCTGATGAGGGGTGTATCTGGTCCTGCAACTTTAACTTCAAAATAAATAAATAAAGACAGATGACACAGAAGGTGATTCCAACTCCATCTCCGCACTCACTTAATTGCACAAGCAGTCCACTCTATGGGCCGGTGTTCAGGTGAGAGTACTCTAACATGCTAGGAACATTAGGAGTGCAAATAGGGACCTTCATGGCAAACTCCCGATTTGAGGGCTTTCATACCCATAGCCAAATGGAAGTGGAATGAATTGATTCTTGGTGGGATGTGGCTTACAGACTTTCCTATTCTTTTTCTAACTTCCGTGATTCTGATCACCCTAGGGTTTCCTGATTCTAGCTCAAGGAATTCAGCAATAAACGTTACCCAGTTAACAGGGAGCAACACAAATGGAAATCCATTGCCTGAGTGTTTCCTTCTAAACATTGTCAAATTCTAATGACTGGGAAGCTTTGATACTTTTAAAACTATAAATACCCATTAGAGCCACAAACAAGTAAATGTTGTCTCCTATTTCTATCTAAGGGCTGCACGATTTCTGTAGGATGCGAAGGAGGCAGGCATATCTGTCCATTGCCTGGTAATCTAGCCTCTATCATTGCATCTACATGGCCGTTTCATTGTGGAGGGGCTCTTTCATTGAGCTGTTGCTTGATGGGACTGCCTCTAGCAACAGATTATTTAGCTGTCAGGAATTTCAGAGAGTGGAAGGGATCTTGGATAGGCTGGCTGCATTCCAGGTTGCGGTTGTTGTTTCCTTGTGGGGGCTGAAGTGGTTTGCACATTGCAGGAGGTTTTGGGCCCTTTAACAGGAATCATTGAATTTTGCTTGGACTCCAGAACAATTTAGCTCATTCTCTCAGGTGAGCCTTGACTTTTCTATGCTTTCAAGAGGAATCCACAGTGCCCCTCAACAGCACTACTGGACACACTTTTCAGGCTTGCCATGGCCACAGGTGGACTCTGAGGTACTGACTCAAACTCATCTTTATCTGTGAGAGGCCAGTTCACAGTATGAGAACACTGCTCCACATTGGACTTGCATTTGTCTTGGTTTCTGCTTTTCCCAGATAGTCCTGGTGAGGACCAGGATCAAGGGAGTCATTGAGATAAAGAGCCTGGCCATCTTTTGTTGACACCCACTTCTGTGGCCTCAGGTATGATTCTATCACCCAAGGAACCCTCTACACTACACCAGACTGTATTTCAATCCACAGGGGACCCGATTATTGCACACAGCCTCTTTTGGGAATGGAGTCAGAAGAGTACTTTCTAGCGACCACTTCACAGCCTCAAAACAGCTCCTCCTCCAGTGAGACCTTACCATGGAGATGGTCAGAATAGGTCCTGAGATCTAGACTTTTAGTGTCTGACAGTGGGTTTTCACAGGCGGCCTGTTTTCTGACACCAGGCCGGCTTTGCCTGTAACATTTTTCTCTGCTTAGGCATGCTGACGGCTCTGTCAGCCAGGGGCTCTAGCCTACCTCATGAATGTGCATGTGCTAGTCCCAGGGCACCTGGCCTGATTGTCAGCTCTTGTTAGTGTCACAATGAATGCCACTCTTGCGTAGTGAAAATTCCCTGTGGCTTGGCAGAGATAGAGACCTCCGTAGAGGTGTGTCAGTGGTGAATTCTCCCCTGTCTTCTCTGTGGGATCCATGGGATTGTCCCATTGTTCTAAGAAGAAGTATACATGAGCCAGCCTGAATGTCAAGCAGAGCCCCAGGAATAAACCACAAAATTGCTAAGGATCTGAGAAGATCTGCAGGGTTATTAAGCCTGCCTAGACATTGTAGGTGTGAGTCATTATGAAAATTACCCTACTATTATTTCTAGGAGCAGCCCGTCTATGTTTCTCAGGGTTATTCTCTCCCAGATGGGGCTTCCTGCAGAACCACGCCACATCACAAGATGCCAGGCTGAGTGTTTCTATGGGAATGTTCCAAATGTCTGACGTGTGTGTGTGTGTGTGTGTGAGAGAGGCATTATGTTTTTGTGTCTTCTGTGTGTGTGTGTCTGTCTGTTACTGGAATCTGCTTAAAAAAATGTGGCTAACGCACTTCAGCACTTCTTTTTTTATAAGTCTCCACACCTTTTGGTGGCCTGTCTGTGTGACTCTGCATGGTCTTCACTGCTCTGTGTTCTTTATTTTTATGTGGATCATGAATCTGCAGTGAATTAGGATGTAAGTCTGGAATCGCTAGCATCCAAATAAACTCCCTCTGAAGAAAAAACAAAAACAACAAAACAAACAACAACAACAACAACAAAAACTGTTCTAGAAATAAGAGGAGCACACCATATTAAAAAAAAACAGACATGTCTCTGTGTTTCATATCCCTAAGGCCAACACAGGAAGAGACACAGCAGTCCTGTCAGCAGGGCACCTTGAATTTACCTCAAATTTGGTTCCCAACTGAGCAGGTGATGCATCTTGTGAGGCAGCACCCCTCCAGAGTTTTGGGATTTTATCTTGAGACAAATAATGTGAGCAGCAATAAGGTCAGATAGAGGTGAAGATACAGTCTGTTGAGGGGTAGAAGATGTCTTGCAACTTCATCTGCAAAATAAATAAATAAATAAAGACAGATGACACAGAAGGTGCTTCCACATCCACCCCCCATTCTCTTAATTGCACAAGCAGTCCACAACCTGGCTCAGTGTTCAGGTGGGAGTACTCCAATGTACAAGTAACATTTGAAGTGCAAATTGGGGCTATCCTGGCAAACTGAGGATTTGGGGCCTTTCATACTTGAAGCCAAATGTGAGTGGAATGGATTGATGCTTTGTGGGATGTGGCTTTAAGACTTGCCTCTTCTTTTTAGAACTTCCATGATTCTCATTGTCCTAGGGTTTCCTGGGTCTGGCCTAACGACTTCAATACTTAATATTTCCCAGTTCATGGATAACAACACTCATGTTAATCTATTGCATGAATGTTTCCTTCTAAACACTGTCATGCTTTAATGACTGGAAAGTTTGATACATTCAAAACTGTATATTCCCATTACAGCCACCAAAAGGAAACTTGTTCTCTCTTACATATTGAAGAGCTGCATGATTTCTTTTGGATGAGAAGCAGGCAGTTGTGTCAGTCTTTTACCTGGGAATCTAGACTATTTCATTTCATCTTCATGGCCTTCTCAATTTGGAGGGGTGCATTCATTGAAGTGTTGCTCAATGGGACTGTCTCTTGCCACAGATTATGTAGCTGCCAGAGATTTCAGAGAGGAAAAGGGACTTTTATTAATCAGTCTGTGCTCCAGGTTGTGGATCGTTGTCTCATAGCAGGGGCTGACGTTTGCACTTTTCTGAAGGCTTTTGGGTCTTCTGAAAGAAATCACTGAACATTGCATGGACTCCAGCACAAGGCAGCTGTTTCCTTCAGGTGAGCCTTGATTTTTCTTCCCTCTCACAGGAATCGAAAATGCCCCTCAACAGAACTAATGGACATTATTTACATGCTTGCCGTCTCTACAGACGGCATCTGAAACACTGTCTAAACCTTATCTGTAACTGTTAGAGGATGATATGAGATGTGAGAACATGATTCTGCATTGAACTTCCCTTCGTCGTGGCTCCTACATTTCCCAGAAAGCCTCTGTGATGTCAAGGATGAATGGAGA
Source organism: Homo sapiens (assembly GCF_000001405.40). NCBI lineage: Eukaryota > Metazoa > Chordata > Mammalia > Primates > Hominidae > Homo > Homo sapiens. Next base: position 8,704,036 of record NC_000024.10, on the reverse strand, counting down.
TGGTGAGGTCAAGAGCCCAGCCATCTTTCACTGACATCCACACATGTGGTCTCAGGTATGATTCTATCACCCAAAGAACCTTCAACAACACAACAATTCCAATACGGTACTATATTCCAATCTCTGTGGAACCAGATTCTCACACACAGCCTTTTTTGGAAATGAAGTCAGAAGAAGCTTTTCCAGTGACCACCTCAGAGTCTCAAAATATTTTCTCCTCCTGTGAGACCCGACCATGTAAATGGTCTGAAGGGGCCCTGAGGTCGAGAAGTTTAGTGTCCCATAGTGGGTTTTCACAGGCCACCTTTTGCCCTATGCCAGGCTGGCTCTGCCCATACCATTTCCCACTGCTTAGGCAGGCTGAAAGCTCTGAAGCCTGGCACCAGATCCTGCCTCACGAATGCACATGCACTAGTCTCAGGGCACCAGGACTGTTTGTGAGCCCTGGGTAGCATCACAATTGATGTTATTGTTGCCTGGTGCCAAGTCTCTGTGGCTTGGAGGAGAAGGTCACTTCCGTTGAGTTGCATTGGCTGCGAACTCTTGCCTATCTTCTTTGGGATAGATGGGATAGTTCCATGATCCCAAGAGAGGGCAGACAAGAGCCAGCCTGAAGAAACGTCAAATACAACCCCAGGAATAAATTGTGGAATCATTAAGGACACAAAAAATCTGCAGGATTCCTTGGCCTGCCTAGGGGTTGTAGATATGAGTCTTTTTGAAACTTGCCACAGTCAGATTTCTAGCCTGCCTCTGTACCTTAGGTTGGCTCTCTTGAGGTGGGGTTTCCTGCAGAAACACACAGCCAAGGGAGTTGCTGGGCTGTGTTTCTGTCAGAGAGTTGCTAATGTTGAATGTCCGCATGTCTGTGTGGCATCGTGTATGTGTGTGTGTGTGTGTAATCACTTCTTCCTTTTTTTTTTTTTTGAGTCACCAACCCTTTAGTTGATGACCTGTCCATGCGGCTTGGCTTGAGCTGTGGGGCTCCTTGTTTATTATTTTTATGTGGATCATAAATCTACTGTAAATTGGGAGGCGGCCTGAGACCTGCAGGTGTTTACTTACATCACCTCCCACTGCTAAAATAAATAAATAAATAAAAAATAAAAGCCACTCTTCTAGAAAAAGCAGCTGCACACCACACCAAAAAAGAGACATCTTCAAGTGTTTCATTGTCCTGTGGCCAAACCAGGGACAAACACTAGCAGTCCAGTCCGTTGGGCCCCTTGACTTTACATCGAGTTTTGTTCCCACTGGAGCAGGTGTTTCATGTCATGAGGGGGCAATTCTCCATCATCTTGGGATTTCATCCCAGGAACTAGAGTGTGAACAGCAATAAGGTAAGATAGGGGTGAGGATAAAGTCTGGTGAGGGGTGTATGTGAACCCACAACTTCACCTGCAAAAATAAAAATAAAAAAGATGACACAGAAGGTGCTTCCAGCTTCATCCTCGCATTCCCTTAATTGTACAAGCAGTCCACACCATGGCCTGATATTCAGGTGAGAGTATTCCAACACTCTAGGAAGATTTGGAGTGCAAATTCAGGCCATACTGGCAAACATCTCATACAAGCACTCTCATACCTGGAGCCAAATAAAAGTGGAATGGATTGATGCTGGATGGTATGTGACCACCAGACTTGCCTCATTTTTTCTTTTTTTTTAGACTTCCATGATTCTCGTTGCCATATTGCTTCCTGCTTCTGGCTCAACTACTTCCACACTAAACATTACCCAGTTGATGGGGCGTGTCCCTCATAGGAATCCATTGCCTGAGTGTTTCCTTCTAAACACTGTCATGTTTTAATGACTGGGCAACTTCAATAATTTTAAAACCATAAATTCCCATTACAGTCACAAACAAGGAAACTTTGTCTCCCATTTCTATCAAAGGGCAGCATGATTCCTGTAGAATGAGAAGCAGGCAGCCATGCCTGGCCTTTGCCTGCTGATCTAACCTCTGTTTCATTTAATCTGCACTACCGTCTCAATGTGGAGGGGATTTTTTATTGAGCTGTTGCTGGATGGGAATGCCTATCACCCTAGACTATTTATCTGTCAGGGACTTCAGAGAATGAAAGGGAGTTTGGATAGGCTGGCTGGTTTTCAAGTCGTGGGTCATTGTCTCCTTGCAGGTGCTGAGATTGTTTGCACTTTGCAGGAGGCTTTCTGTTACTCTGACAAGAATCATGGAACATGGCTTGGACTCCAGAACAAGTTGAATAAGTTAGCTTGTTCTCTCAGACAAGTCTTGATTTTTCTTTACTTTTATGGGGAATCCACAGTGCCCCTCAATAGCACTACTGGGCACCTTTTTCAGGCTTGCCATGGCCACAGATGGACTCTGAGACATGGATTCAACCTCATCTGTACCCAAGAGAGGCCAGTCCGAGGTATGAGAACACTGTTCCATCTTGGGCTTGAATTTGTAATGGTTCCTGTTTCACCCAGAGAGCCCCTGTGAGGCCTAGGATCACAGGAGGCATTGAGGTCAAGAGCCTGGCCATCTGTCACTGACACCTGCCTCTCGGGTCTCAGATATGATTCTATCACCCAAAGAACACCACACAATACACCAGACAGTATTCCAATCCACATGGAACCTGATTTTTGCACACAGCCTCTTTTGGGACTGGAATCAGAGCAGCAGTTTCCAGCGACCAACTCACATTCTTTAAACACCTCCTCCTCCAGTGGGGCCTGACCACGGAGGTGGCCAGAAGGGGATATTAGTCTAGACTTTTAGTGTCCTGCAGTGGGTTTTCACAGACAGCCTGTTTCAGGATACTGGGCCAGCTTTTCCTGGTACATTTTCCTCTATTTAGTCAGGCTGACAGCTCCAACAGCCAGGGACCCTAGCCTACCTCATAAATGGGCATGTGGTATTCTCAGGGCACCTGACTTGATTGTGAGTTCTGGCTAGAGTCACAATGAATGTCAGCATTGCCTAGCGACAAGTCCCTGCTAATTGGCAGAGATGGAGACCTCCGTGGAGGTGTGTCAGTGTGGACTCTGCCCTGTCTTATCTGTGAGATCCACGGGATGGTCCCATTGTCCTAGAAAATAGAAGACATGAGCCACACTGAAGAAACATCAGGCAAAGCACCAGGAATAAGCTACAAAACTCTAAGGATCCAAAAAATCTGCAGAATTCCTCAGGCATGCCTAGATGTTGCAGGGGTGAATATTTTTGAAACTTGGTCTGCTGTGATTTCTAGGTATAGCCTGACTGTTAACTGGGGTTGCTCTCTTTCAGATGGGGCTTCTTGCAGAACCACACAGCCTCAGGAGCTGGTGGGCTGTGTGTTTCTGTGGGAGAATTGTGAATGTCGGATGTGTGCATATGTGTGAGGCATTGTGTGTTTTTGTATTTGTGTGTGTGTGCATGTAAATGTAGTCTGCTTAAAGGAATGTGGCTAACTTACTTCAGCACTTCTGTTTTTAAGTCTCACCATGTTTTGGTGGCCTGTCTATGTAGGTCTCCTTGGGATGCAGGGCTCCTTGTTCTTTATTTTTATGTGGATCATGAATCTGCAGTGAATTGGGAAACAGGCTGGAAACTGCTAGCATCCAAATCAGCTGCTTCTGCAAAAAAAAAAAAAAAAAAAAAACCAAAACAACAACAACAACAAAAAAAACCAAAAAAAACAAACAAACAAAAAAAAACAAACCACTGTTCTAGAAAGAAGACGAGCACACCACGCCAAAAACCCCACGTCTTTCCATGTTTTATAGCCCTATGGCTAACACAGGGAGAGTCCAACACAAGGAGTTCTGTTGGCAGGGCCCCTTGAATTTACCTCGACTTGAGTTCCCTGTCGAGCAGATGTTTCACCTCATGAAGCCTCACTTCTCCATCATTTTAAGATTTCATCCTGGGACAAGGAGTGTCAGCAGGAAAAAGGTCAGATAGGGGTGAGGATACAATCTGGTGAGGGGTGGATGGGGTCCCACAACTTCATCTGCCAAAATAAAAATAAACACAGATGACACTGAAGGTGCTTCCAAATCCATCCCCACCTAATTGCACAAGCAGTCCACACCGTGGCTCAGTGTTCAGGTGAGAGTACTCCAACGAACACGGAATATTTGGAATTCAAACTGGGGCCATCCTGGCAAACTGCCATTTTAAGGTCTTTCATACCCAGAGGCAAATGTGAGTGGAATCAATTGATGCTGGGAGGGATGTGACTTCCAGACTTGTCTCTGCTTTTCCAGACTTCTATGATTCTCTTTGCCCTAGGGTTTGCTGGTTCTGGTTCAATGACTGCCACAGTAAACGTTACCAAGTTAACAGGGAGCATCCTTTGTGGGAATCCATTGCCTGAGTGTTTCCTTTTAAACTCTGTCACATTTTAATGACTGGGCTGCCTTGATACTTTTAAATCCTTAAATTCCCGTTATAGCCTCAAACAAGGAAACTTTTTATCCTATTTCTATCCAAGGGCTGCATGATTCCTGTAGGATGAGAAGCAGGCAGCCATGTCTGTCCTTTGCCTGCTAATCTAGATTCTGTCTCATTTCATCTGCATGGCCATCTTAATGTGGAGGGAATTTTTAATTGAGCTGTTGCTGGATGGGGCTGCCTGTATCCACATATTATTTATTTGCCCACGATTTCAGAGAACAAAAGGGACTTTGGGTAGGATGGATGTGTTCCAGATTGTGGCTCATTGTCTCCTTGTGGAGGCTGAGGTTATTTGCACTTTGCAGTACTGTGAGACACTGCCTCCACTTCATCAGCACATGTGAGAAGCCACTCCGGGGTTTGAGAACACTGTTCCAGCTTGGACTTGCATTTGTCATGGTTCCTGCTTTTTTCAGAGAGTCTCTGTGAGGCCCAGGATCAAGGGAGTCTTCTGGTCAAGAGCTGGCCATCTTTTGCTGACACTTACCTCTGGGGTCTCAGATATGATTCTATCACCCAGCAAGGCTCTACAAGACACCAGACTATATTCCCATTCACATGGGACCTGATTCTTGCACACAGCCTCTTTTGGGACTAGAGTCAGAAGAGCAGTTTCTAGTGATGACCTCACAGTCTCAAAACACCTCCTCCTCCAGTGAGACCCGACAACAGAGACAGCCAGAAGGGGCCCTGATGTCTAGATGATTAGTGTCCCACAGTAGGTGGTCACAGGCAGCTTGTTTCCCAATACCAGGCAGGTTCTGCCTGTACCATTTTTCTCTGCTTAGACAGGCTGACAGCTCTGATAGCCAGGGCATCAGCCTACCTCACGCATGTGCATGTGCTAGTCTCAGGGCACCTGGCCTGATTGTGAGCTCTGGCTGGCATCACAATGAATATCAGCATTGCCTAGCAACAAGTCCCTGAGTCTTGGCAGAAATAGAGACCTTTCTGGACTTGCATCAGTGATGGACTCTCTCCTGTCTTCTCTGTGGGATCCACAGGATTGTCCCATTGTCCTACAAGCGGGCAGACATAAGCCAGCCTGAAGAAACATCAAGCAGAGTCCCAGGAATAAACTGCAAAATTCCCAAGGATCCAAGAAGATCCTCAGGATTCCTCAGGCCTGCCTAGACAGTGCAGGGGGTGATTCTTTTTGAAACTTTCCCTACTGTAATTTCTAGGTACAGCCTGCCCTGTGTACTCAGGGTTGCTCTCTCCAGGTGGGGCTTCCTGTAGGACCATGCAGCATCCAGAGCTCCTGGGCTGTTGGTTTCTATGGGAGTATTGAGAATGCCAGGTGTGTGCATATGTGTGAGGTATTTTGTGTTTGTGTCTTTGTGTGTGTGTGTCTGTGAGCATGCACCTGTAAGTGTAGTCTGCTTAAAGAAATGTGGCTATCACACTTCAGCACTTTTTTTTTGAATCTCCCCACTTTTCAGTGGCCTGTTGATGTGGCTCTGCTTGGGCTGCAGGCCTCCATGTACTTTATTTTTATATGGATCATGAATACTCAGTGAATTGGGAGACAGGCTGGGACTACTGGCATCCATATCAACTCTCTCTGCTAAAAGAAGTCACTGTTTTAGAGAGAAGTGGAGCACACCACAGCAAAAGACAGACATCTTCCGGTGTCTCATAGTCCTATGGCCAACACAGGGAAAGGCCAACAAAGGAGTCCTGTCAGCAGGGTCCCTTGAATTTACCTCAGATTCAGTTCCCAGCTGAGCAGGTGCTTCATGTCCTGAAGGGGCACTCCTCCATCGTTTTGGGATTTCATCTTGGGACATAAAGTGTGAGCAGAAATAAGGTCAGATAGGGGTGATGATACAATCTCTTGAGGGATGGATGGGGTGCTGCAACTTCACCTACAAAAAAAAAATAAAGACAGATGACAAGGAAGTGCTTCCAAATCCATTCCCCACTCCTTTAATTGCATAAGCAGTCCACACCATGGCTCAGTGTTCAGGTGGGAGTACTCCAATGCACAAGTAACATTTGGAATGCAAATTGGGGCCAACCTGGGAAACTGGTGATTTGAGGCCTTTCATACTGGGAGGCAAATATGAGTGGAATCAACTGATGCTGGGTGTGATGTGGCTTCCATAAATGCTGCTTCTTTTCATGACTTACATTAATGTCCTCACCTTAGGGTTTCTTGGGTCTGGCCCAATGAATTCTACTCTAAATATGTTCCAGTTCACAGAGAATGACCCTGATAGAAATCCATTGCATGAGTTGTTCCTTCTAAACACTGTCACATTTTAATGACAGGGACCTTTAATACTTTTAAAACTTTATATTCCTGTTACAGTAAAACAACAACAACAACAAAAAAGTTGTTCTCTCACATTTATCAGAGGGGTGCATGATTCCTGTAGGATGAGAAGCAGGCAGCTGTGTTAGGGTTTTACCCGGTAATCTAGACTCTATTTCATTTTATCTGCACAGCCTTCTCATTTTTGAAAGGCTCTTTCATTGAACTGTGGCTGGATGGGACTTCCTCTTGCCACAGATTATGTAGCTGCTAGTAATTTCAGAGAGCAAAATGGACTTCCTGGCTGCACTCTAGATTGTGGGTCTTTCTCTCTTTGTTGGGGCTGAGAACGTTGGCACTTTGTAGGAGGCTTTTGGGTCTTCTGACAGAAATCACTGAACATTGCTTGGACTCTAGCACAAGGCTGCTCATACTCTCATGTGAGCCTTGATTATTTTTTTTGCCTTCATGGGGAATCCAAAGTGCTCCTCAACTGCACTACTGGACACCCCTTTCAGGCTTGCCATCACTCCATCACTGCAGATGGCATCTGAGACAAACCTCATCTGTACCCATTAGTGGACAATAAGAGATATGTGAACACTGCTCCACTTTGGACTTGCCTTTGTTGTGGTTCCCTCATTTCCCAGAGAGCCTCTTAAAGTCCCAGGATAAAAGGAGGCAGTGAGCCTGGGAATCTTTTGCTGACATCTGCCTCTGGGGTCTCAAGTATGATTCTGTCACCCAAAGAACCCTAAACAACACACTGTGCTATATTCCAACCCCCATGGTACCCGATTATCACACACGCACTCTTTTGAGAATCAAGTCAGGAAAACAGTTTCCAGGGACAACCTCAAAATCTTGAAAATCTTCTTCCTCCAGGGAGACCCAACGACATCAGATCCTGCCTCACAAATGCGCATGCGATTGTCCCAGGGCACTAAGCTTGATTGTGAGCTCTGCATAGCGTCACAATTAATGTCCTTGTTGCCCAGAGCCAAGTCCCTGCGTTTTGGAAAAGAAGGATACCTCCGCTGAGGTGCTTCGGCAGTAGACTCCTGCCTGTCTTCTCTGTGGGAAAGTTGGGGTAGTCCCATAATCCCAAGAGGGCAGACATAAGTCAGCGTGCAGAAATGTCAAGCACACCCCCAGGAATAAATCGAGAAATGGTTAAGTATACTAAAAAGCTTGCAGAATTTCTCAGGCCTGTCTAGGCATTGTAAGGGTGAGTCTTTTTGAAATTTGACCCACTCTGATTTCTACGTACAGCCCGCCTGTGTTCCCTAGGGTGGCTCTCTCCCAGGTTGGGGTTTCCTACAGAAACATGTAGCCCCAGGTATTGCCGGGCTATGTTTCTGTGGGAGTGGTGCAAGTGTTGGATTTCTGCGTGTGTGTGTGTAATTGTGTGTGTGTGCGGCATTGTGTGTGTGTGCCTGTAAGTGGCGTCTGCTTAAATAAATGTGGCTAATACACTTCATCTCTAATTTTTTTTTCTTGAGTCACCAACTTTTAGGTGGCCTGTCTGTGTGGCTCTGCTAGGGTCTGTGGGGCTCCGTGTTCTCTCTTTTTCTGTAGATCATGAATGTGCAGTGAATTGGGAGGCGGGCTGAGACCTACCTGTGTTTAAATCACCTGCCTCTGCAAAAAAAAAAAAAAAAAAAAAGCCACTCTTCTAGAAAGAAGAGGAGCACACCACAGCAAAAAAAACAGACATCTTCCAGTGTTTCACTGTCCTTCAGCCAAAACAGGGAGAGACATTAGCAGTCCTGTCCACAGGGCTTCTTGAATTTATGTCAAATTTGTTCCTAGCTAAGCTGATGCTTCACATTATGAGGGGGCACTCCATCATTTTGGGATTTCATCCTGGTACATAGAATGTGATCAGCAACAAAGTTAGTTAGGGGTGAGAATAAAATCTAGTGAGGGGTGTATGTAGTCTTACAACTTCATCTGCAAAAAAAATGAAGACAGATCACAGGACACCAGGCCTGATTATGAGCTCTGGGTAGTGTCACAATTAATGTCATTGTTCCCTAACGCCAAGTCTCTGCAGATTGCTGGAGAAGGAGACCTCCAAGGAGGTGCATTGGCTGTGGATTCTCACTTTGTGGGATCCATGGGATAGTCCCATGATCCCAAGAGAGAGCAGTCATGAGCCAGCCTGAAGATACATCAAGCAGAATCCCAGGATTGAACCACAAAATCCCTAAGGATACAAAAAAATCTGCGGGGTTTCTCAGGTCTGCCTAGGCATTGTAGATGTGAGTATTCTTGAAACATTCCCCACTCTGCTTTCTAGTTACCACAAACCCTTGTTCTCCAGGTTTGGTCTCTCCCAAGTGGGTCTACCACAGAACCACAAAGCCTCAGGAGATGTCAGGATTTGGGTTCCTGTGGCAGTGTTGAGATTGTTGCATGTCTGCATGTGTGTATGTCATTATGTGTTTGTTTGTGTGTGTGTGTGTGTGTGCCTCTAAGTGAAGTATGCTTATGCTTAAAGGAATACAGCTTACTCACTTCAGCACATTTTTTTTTTTTTTTTTGAGTCTCAAACCTTTTATTGCCCTGTCTGTGTGGCTCTGCTTTGGCTGTGTGGCTTTGTGTTCCTTATTTTTATGTGCATGTTGAATCTGCAGTGAAGTGGGAGGTGGGCCAAGAATGTCCGGCATCCAAATCACCTCCCACTGCAAAAAAGCCACTCTTCTAAAAAGAAGAGGAGCACACCAATTAACAGATGTCTTCCAGGGTTTCATTGTCCTGTGGCCAAACCAGAAAGAGACACTAGTAGTCCTGTCTGCAGGGCTTCTTGAATTTAACTCCAATTCGGTTTCCACCCAAGCAGGCACTTAACATCTCTAGGAGGAACACCTGCATCATCTTGGGATTTCATCCTGTGACAAGGAGTGTCAGCAGCAATAAGGTCAGATAGTGGTGAAGATACAAACTGATGAAGGGTGGATGGGGTCCCACAACTTTACTAGAAAAAAAAATGAAGACAGTTGATATAGAAGGTGCTTCCAACTCCATCCCCACATTCCCTTAATTGCACAAGCATTCCACACCATTGCCCATTGTTCAGGAGGGAGTACTCTAAAGTGTGAGAAATATTTGGAGTGCAAATTGGGGCTATCTTTGCAAACTGCCAATTTCAGTGGGGAGTAGAATGGATTAATGCTTGTTGGGATGTGGGTTCTTGACTTGCCTCTTCCTTTTGTGATTTCCATGTTCCATGTCAGCCCAGGGTTTTCTGATTCTGGCTCAATTACTTTCACATGAAAAGTTTCCCAGTACACGGAGAATGGCACTCATGGGAATTCATTGCTTGAGTGTTTCCTTCTAAACACTATCACGTTTTAATGGCTGGACAGCTTTGATACTTTTAAAACCATAAATTTTCATTACAGCCTCCAACAAGGAAACTCCTGTTCTCCCAATTCTATTGGAAGGCTGCATGATTCCTGTAGCATGAGAAGAAGGCCGTCATGTCTGGCTTCTTACTGGTAATCTAGCCACTGTTTCATTTCAACTGCACAGCCTTCTTTTTGTGGAGGGGTATGAAATCCCTAAGGATACAAAGGGACCTTCAGGATTCCCCAGGCCTGCCTGATGGGTGAGTCTTTTTGAAAGTTGCCCCTCTGTGATTTCTAGGTACATCCCCACTGTGTTCCCCGAGTTTACTCTCTCACAGGTGGGGCTTTCTGCAAAACCACACAGACTCAAGAGCTATCTGGCTGTGTGTTTCTGGGGGAGTGTTGTAAGTGTTAAATGTCTGTATGTGTGTGTGTGTGTGGCATTATGTGTTTGTGTGTGTGTGCATGCCTGTAAGTGGAGCTGGCTTAAAGAAATGTGGCTAACGCACTTCAACACTTCTTTTTCATGTGTCTACCAATTTTTTTGTAACCTATCTGTGTGGCTCTGCTTGGGCTGTGGGGCTCTGTTTTTTTTATTTTTCTGTGGATTATGAATACGCAGTGAATTGGAAGGCTTGCAGAGACTCGTTGGAGTCCATATCAACTCCTACTGCAAAAAAAAGAAAAAAAGAAAAAAATTTACTCTTCTATAAAGAAGAGGAGAACACCACATCAAAAAATGGACATCTCCCTGTTTTTCTTTGTCCTGAGTCCAGCCCAGAGAGAGATACCGGCAGTCCTGTCCACAGGTTCCCTTGAATTTAACTCGAAATCGGTTCCCAGCCAAGCAGGTGCTTCGCATCATGAGGTGGCATTTCTCCACTGTCTTGGAATTTTATTCTGGCATATAAAGTGTGAGCAGCAATAATGTCAGATAGGGGTTAGCATACAATCTGATGAGGAATGGATGAGTTCCCACAACTCCACCTGCAGAAAAAATAAACACAGATTACACAGAAAGTGCTTCCAACTCCATTCCTTCATTCCCTGAATTGCACAAGCAGTCCACACTATGACTGTGGGTTCAGGTGGTAGTACTCTAATGTGCAAAACACATTTGGATTTCAAATTGAGGACATCCTAGCCCACTATCAATTTGAGGGTTTTCATTCCTTGATCCAAATGGGAGTGGAATTGATTGATGCTGGGTGGGCTCTGACCTCCATCCACACTTGCCTCTTTTTTTTCCTAAATCCCATGTTCCACATTGGCCTAGGGTTTCCTGAGTCTGGCTCAATGACTTCCACACTAAACATTTCCTAGTTCACAAAGAACGAACCTGATGGGAATCCATTGAGTTAGTGTTTCCTTCTAAACAGTGTCAGGTCTTAATGACTGGGCAGTTTCATATTTTTAAAACTGTAAATTCCCATTACAACTGCCAATAGAAAAAATCTTGTTCTCCCACTTCTATCAAAAACCTGCATGATTCCTGTAGAATGAGAATCAGAAAGCTGTGTCTGGCTTTTGCCTGGTAATCTACCCTATGTTTCATTTTATCTGCATGGTCTTCACATTGTAAAAGAGCTCTTTCATTGTGCTATTGCTGGATAGTACAGCCTGTCACCACAAATTATTAAGCTGCCAGGGATTTCAGAAAGCAAAAGTTACTTCAGGTAGGCTGACTGTGCTCCATGTTGTGGGTTGTCTCGTTTTAGGGACTGAGGTTGTTTGCACTTTGCAGTAGGGTTTTGGGTCCTCTAACAGGAATCATTGAATATTGCAAAAACTCAAGCACAAATCAGCTTGTTCTCTCAGGCTAGCCTTGATTTTTCTTTGCTTTCAAGAGGAATCCACAGTACCCCTCGACAGCACTACTGGACAGTTTTTTCAGGCTTACCATCACCACAGATGGCCTCTGAGACACTGTCTCAACCATATCCACACCAGACAGAAGCCAGTCCAAAGTGTGAGAACACTGCTTCATTTTGAGCTTGCCTTTTTCCTGGTTCCTCCTGTTTTTCCCAGAAAGCCCCTGCAAGGCCCAGGATGAAGGGTGGCAGTGAGGTCAACAGCTAGGCAATCGTTCACTTACACCCACCTCTGGAATCTAAGGTATGTTTCTATCACTTAAAGAACCCTCAACAACACATAAGACTATGTTGCCATTCCCATGGGGCATAATTCCTGCACACAGCCTCTTTCAGAAACAGAATCAGAAGAGCAGATTCCAGCGACAACCTGACAGTCTCAAAACAACTAGTTCTCCAGTGGTATTCCACAACGGAGAAGGCATTAAGGAGATCTGAGGTCTAGACTTTTAGGGTCCTGCAGTGGGTTTTCACAGGCAGATTTTTCCCAATATGAGGCTGGCTTCACCTGTACCATTGTTCTCTGTTTAGGCAGGTTGACAGCTCTGACAGTTGGGCACTGGAGCCTGCCTCTCAAATACACAGGCAGTAGTCTCAGGGCACCAGACCTGATTATGAGTTCTGGCTTGCATCACAATGAATGTCACCATTGCCTAGCAACAAGTCCCTTGGCGGAGAAGGAGACCTTGTGGAGGTGCTTCAGTGGTGGACTGTCAGCTGTCTTCTCTGTGGGATCCATGGGATAGTCCCATGATCCTAGTAGAGGGCAGACATTAACCAGCAGGAAGAAATCTCAAGCACAGCTGCACAAATAAACCATGAAATCCCTAAAAATTCAAAAGATTCTGCAGGATTCCTAAAATCTTCCTACACATTGTAAAGGTGAGTCTTTTTGGAACTTGCCCCACTGTGATTTCTAGATACAGCCTGCCTGTAACCTCCAAGGTTATCACAGGCAGCCTTTTTCCCAATAGCAGGCTGGCTCTTCCTGTACCAGTATTCTCTGCTTAAGCAGGCTTACAGCTCTGACAGCTGCATGCCCGATTTTCCCTCATGAATGACCATGCACAAATCTCAGGAATGTGGGATTTATGAACTAGTACCATGATCCTAGAATAGGGAAGGCATGAGCCAGCATGAAAAAACCTCAATTACAGTCCCAGGAATAAACCTTATTATACCTAAGAATCTCAAATTATCTGCATTATTTCTGAAGCCTGCCTGGAAATTGTAGGGGTAAATCTTTTTGAAGCTTGCCTATTGTGATTTCTAGGTACAGCCCACCAGTGATCCCTGGGGTTGCTCTATCCCAGGTGAGGCTTCCTGTAGAACCATGCAGCCTCAGGAGCAGCCAGGCTGTGTGTTTCTGTGAGAGAGTTGTAAGTGTTGAATGGCTGTGTGTGTGTGGCATTGTATTTGTGTGTGTGTACATGTGTTTGTGCCAGTAAGTGGAGTCTGCTTAAAAGAATGTGGCTAATGCAGTTTAGCAATTTTTTTTAAGTCTCCCAACCTTTTTGTGGACTGTCTGTGTAGCTTTTCTTGTGCTATGGGAATCCACATTCTTTATTTTTCTGTGGTTCATGAATCTGCAGTGAATTGGGAGGCTAGCTGGGACCAGACAACATCTAAATCACCTGGCCCTGCAAAAAAAAAAAAAGCCACTCTTCAAGAAAGAAGGGAAGGACACCACACCAAAAAAAAACAGACATCTCCCAGTGTTTTATTGTCTTGCAGTGAACCCAGGGATAGAAACTAGCAGTCTTGTCTGCAGGGCCGCTACAATTTACCTCAAATTCAGCTCCCTGAAGAGCAGGTACTTCAGGTCGTGAGGGTGCACTCCTCCATCATCTTGGGATTTGGTCTTGGGACATAGAATGTGAGCTGCAATAAGGTCAGTTAGGGGTGAGGATACAATCTGGTGAAGAGTGGATTGGGTCTCACAATTTCACCTGCAAAAATAAAAATAAAAAAAGATGACACAGAAGTTGTTTCCAAATCCATCCCTGCCTTCTCTTAATTACGCAAGCAGTCCATACCATGGGCCTGTGTTCAGGTGGCAGTACTCCAGTGTGCAAGGAACAGTTAGTGTGCAAATTGGGGACATGCTGGCAAACTCCCAATTTCAGGGCTTTGATACCCAAAGACAAATGGGAGTGCAACGGATAGATGCTGGGTGGTATATGGTACCCACACTTGCCTCTTGTTTTTCTGACTTCCATATTCCTCATTGGGCTAGGGTTTCCTGGATCTGGCTCAACGACTTCCACACTAAACGTTTCCTGGGTCACAAAGAATGACCCTCATGGGAATCAATTGCATGAGTGTTTTTTTCTAAACACTATCAGGTTTTAATGACTGTGCAGCTTTGATACTTTTAAAACCATAAATTCCCATTACTGCTGGCAACAAGGAAACTCTTGTTCTCCCATTTCCATCAGAGGGCTACATGATTCCTTTAGGATGAGAAGTAGGCAGCCTTGTCTAGCTTTTGCCTGGTAATCAAGTCTTTGTTTTATTTCATTTGTATGTACTTCTCATTGTGGAGGGGCTCTTTCATTTGACTGCTGATGGATAGGATGGCCTCTCAGCACAGATTATTTAGCTGCCAGTTATTTCAGAAAATAAAAGTGACTTTGGGAATGCTAACTGCACTCCTGTTTGTGGGTTGTTTTCTTGTTGTGGGGACTGAGGTTGTTTGCACTTTTCAGGAGGCTTTGCGGTCCTCTGACAGGAATCACTGAACATTACTTGGACTCCATGACAAGGCAGCTCATTCGCTCAGACAAGTCTTGATTTATCTCTGTTCTCATGGAGAATCCACAGTACCCCTCAACAGCACTACCGGACACTCTTTTCAGGCTTGCTATGGCTACAGATGGCCTCTGAGACAATATCTGAACCTCATCTCCAAACTCAAGTTGTCAGTCTGAGGTATGAGAACACTGTTCCACTTTGGACTTGCCTTTGTTGTGGCTCTTGCCTTTCCCACAGATCCCCTGCAAAGCCCACGATGAAGGGAGGCAGTGACGTTAAGAGACCAGGCGTCATTTGCTGACAATCACCTCTGTCATCTCAGGTATGATTCTATCACCCAAAGAACCCTCAACACACCAGACTATATTACAATCTTTATGGGATCCGATTCTACCACATAGCCTCTTTTGGGAATGGAGTCAGAAGAGCAGATTCCAGCGACCACCTCTCAGTCTCAAAACTCTTCCTCCTCCAGTGGGACCCGTCCACAGAGACAGCTTGAAGGGGACCTGAGTTTGAGACTTTTATGCTCTCACAGTGTGTTTGTGCAGGTAGCCTTTTACCAAACACCATGCTGGTTCTGCCTGTACCATTTTCCTCTGTTAAGGCAGGCTGACAGGTCTGACAGCCAGGTTTTCAAGCTTGTCTCACAAATGAGTGTGAGCTAGTATCAGGGCACCAGGCCTGATTGTGAGCTCTGGCTAGTCTCACAGTGAAGGTCACCGTTGCCTAGTGACAAGTCCCTTTGGCTTGGTGAAGGAGGAGACCTCCATTGAGATGTGTCAGCTGTGGACTCTCACCTGCCTTTTCTGTGGAATCCCTGGGTTAGCCTATTGATCCTAGGAGAAGGCAGATGTGAACCAACCTGAAGAAACATCAGGCACAGCCCCAGAAATAAACTACAAAATCCCTAAGGATTCCAAAGGGTCTACAGGATTACTCAGGCCTGCATAGGCATTACAGAATTTAGACTTTTTAAAACTTGCCCAGCTACTTGGGAGGCTGAGGCAGGAGAATGGCGTGAACCCGGGAGGCGGAGCTTGCAGTGAGCCGAGATCCCGCCACTGCACTCCAGCCTGGGCGACAGAGTGAGACTCCGTCTCAAAAAAAAAAAAAAAAACTTGCCCAGCCAGGAGTGGTGGCTCACACCTGTAATCCCAGCACTTTGGGAGGCCCAGGCTGGTGGATCATGAGGTCAGGAGATTGAGACCATCCTGGGTAACCCAGTGAAAACCCATCTCCACTAAAAATACAAAAAAATTAGCTGAGCCTCATGGCAGTTTCCTGTAGTTCGAGCTACTCGGGTGGCTGAGTCAGAAGAATGGTGTGAACCTGGGAGATGGAGCTTGCAGTCAGCTGACATAGTGACAATGCACTCCAGCCTGGGTGACAGAGCAAGAATCCGTCTCAAAAACAAAACAAAACAAAACAAAACAAAACAAAACAAAACAAAAAAAACTTGCCCAACTATGATTTTCAGTTACAGCCCGACTATGTTCCCTGGGGTTGCTATCTCCCAAGTGTGGCTTTCCGCAGAACAACACAGTATCAAAATCTCTCAGGGTGTGTGTTTCTGTGGGAGTGTTGTGAGTGCTGAATGTCTGCATGTGTGTGGCATTGTGTATTTGCGTGTGTTTGTGTGTGGATGTGTTCATGTAGGTGAAATCTGCAAAAGGGATTTGGCTAACACACTTCAGCACTTCTTTTTTTTTGAGTCTCATAACCTTTTGGTGACCTCACTGCATGGCTCTGCTTGGGCTGAAAGGCTCCGTGTTTTCTATTCTTCTGTGGATCATGAATCAGCAATGAATTTGGAGGCAGGTTTAGACCCAATGATGTCCAAATCACCTCCCTCAGCCAAAAACAAAAACAAAAACAAAAACAAAAAAACACTCTTCTAGAAATAAGAGGAGGACACCACACCAAAAAAGAGACATCTCCCAGTGTTTCATTTTCCAGAAGCCAACCCACTAAGAGACAGTAGAAATCCTGTCCACATTGCCCCTTGAATTTATCACGAATTCAGTTCCAGCCAAGCAGTTGCGTCACGTCGTGAAAAGGCACTCTTTCATCATCTTGGGATTTCATCTTGGGACATAGAGCTTGAGCAACAATAAGACAGATAAAGATGTGGATACAATCCGGTGAGGAGTGGATGGGGTCCCACAACTTCACCTGCAAAAAATAAAGACAGATGATACAAAAGGTGCTTCCAGCTCCATCCTTGCATTCCTTTAATTATACAAGCAGTCCACACCATGGCCAGGTGTTCAGGTTGGGGCACTCCTATGAGCAAGTATCATGTGGAGTGCAAATTGGGGTTCTACTGGCAAAATCCCCATTTGAGTACTTTCATACCCAAAGCCAAATGGGAGGGAAATGGAGTGATGCTGGGTGGGATATGGCCTCCACACTTTCCTCTTCTGTTCTTGACTGCGATCTTTTTCCTCGGCCTGTTTTCCTCATTCTTACTCAATGACTTCCACACTAAACATTTCACAGTTAATGAGGAACAACCCTCAGGAGAATCCATTGCATGAATATTTACTTCTAAACACTGTCACCTTTTCATGACTAGGGTTTGATATTTTTTAAATCGTAAATTCCAGCTACAGGTGCGAAATTAAAACTCGTCTTCTCCCCTTTTTATTACAGGGCTTCATGATTCCTGTGGGATGAGAAGCAGGCAGCTACTTCTGGCTATTGCCTGGTAATCTAGCCTCTGTTTCATTTCATCTACATGGGCTTCTTATTGTGGAGGGGCTGTTTATTTGGGCTGTTGCTGGATGGGACTGGTTTTGTTACAGATTATGTAGCTGCCAGGGATTTCAGAGAGCAAAAGGGACTTTGGGAAGTTTAGCTATGCTACAGATTGTGGGTCGTTGTCTCCTCGTGGGGATTGAGGGTGTTTGCACTTTGCAGGAGGCTTTTGGGTCCTCTAAGAGGAATCATTTAACATTGCTTATACTCCAGCACAAGGCAGCTCATTCTCTCAAGCAAGCCTTGATTTTCCTTTGCTTTCCCATTGAGGGTCCACAGTGCCCCTCAGCAGCACTACTGGACACCCTTTTCAGGCTTCCATCACCACAGGGGCCTCTGAGACACTTTAAACCTCATCTACACCCATGAGAAGCCAGTCTGAGTTGTGAAAACACTGCTCCACAATAGAACGTTAAATGTTTGCGTGTATGTTGTAGCATTGTGTTGAGGTGTGTTTGCGTGTGTGTATGTGCCTGAGACCACCTCTTGGGTCTCAGATATAATTCTAAAGACCACTCAACATCTCACCTGACTATATTCCAATCCCCATGGGATTCAATTCTTGCACAAAAACTTTTTCAGAAATGGAGTTAGAAGAACAGTTTCCAAAGACAAACTCAGTGTTATGAAATGGCTCTTCCTCCAGCGTGACCCTAACATGGCTATGGTGCATAAGGGCCCTAAGGTCAAGACTTTTAGGGACCTGAAGTGGGTTATCACAGGCAGTCTTTTTTCCCAATACAAGGCCAGCTCTGTCTGTACCATTTTCCTCTGCCTAAGAAGGCTGACAGTTCAGTCTGTCTCACTAATATGCATGTGGTAGTCTCATGACACCAGGCCCAAGCTGTGACCTGTGGCTAGCATCACAATGAATTTGACCTTTGCCTAGTGACAAGTCCCTGCACCTTGGTGGAGAAAGAGACCACTGTGGAAGTGCATCAGTGGTGGACTCGTCTTCTCTGTGTTATCCACCAGATAGTACCAGGATCCAAGGAGAGGGCAGATGTGAGCCAGCCTGAAGAGATATCAAGCAGAGCCCCAGAAATTGTGAAATTCCTAAGGGTCCAAAAGAATCTGCAGGATTCCTCATACTAGCCTAGTTGATGTAGGGGTGAGTCTTATTGAAACATGCCCCACTGTGATTTCTAGGTTCAGCCCTCCTGCTTTTCCTGGTGTTGCTCTCTTTCAGTTGGGGCTTCCTATAGAATGAGACAGCCTCAGAAGCTACCAGGCTGTGTATTTCTGTGGGAGTATTGTGAGTGTTGGATATCTGTGGGTGTGTGTGGCTGTGTGTGTGTGTGTTTCTGCCTCTAAGTTGTTTCTCCTTAAAGGAATGTGGCTAACACACTGCAGGGCTTTTTATTTTTTAGCGTCTTAACCTTTGGGTGGCCTGTCTGTGTGGCTGTACTTGGGCTGTGGGCTCTGTGGGCTCCCTGTTCTTTATGTTTCTGTGGGTCATGAATCCACAATGAACAGGTAGGCTAGTTGTGACCAGCCAGGGTCTCCATTATCTTCCCCTGCAAATAAAGGCACTCTTCTAGAAAGAAGAGTGGAATACAACACCCAGGAACAGACATCGTCTGGTGTTTCATTGCAATATGACCAATCCAGAGAGAGACACTAGCAGTCTTGTCCACATAGACCCTTGAATTTATCTCAAATTCGGTTTCCAGCTGAGCAGGTACTTCACATCATGAGCGGGCACTCCTCCATCATCTTTGGATTTCAAACTGGGAAAGAGATTGTGAGCTGCAATAAGGTCAAACAGGTGAAAATATAATTTGGTGAGGGGTTGATGGGGCCCTGTACCTTCACCAGCAAAAAAGGTTAAGACAGTGAAACAGAGGTGTTTTAAACTGCATCCCCACATTCTCTTAGTTGCACAAGCAGTCCACACCATGGCCCAGTGTTCAGGTGGGAATACTCCAACTTTCAGGAAATATTTGTAGTGCAAACTGGGGCACACTCCCTGTTTAAGGGCTTTAATACCAGAAGCCAAATGGGAGTGGGATGGGCTGATGCTTGGTGGGATGTGGCCTCCACACTTACCTCTTCTTTTCCTCACTTCCATGTCCCTCATTGGCATAGGGTTTCCTGTGTCTGGCTCAACATTTTCCACACTAAACATTTTCCTTTCACAGAAAATGATTCTCATGAAAATGCATTGTGTGAGTTTCCTTCTAAACACTGTCAAGTTTTAATAACAGCTTATGTGATAAATTTACAACCTTATTTCCATTACAGCCAACAACATGGAGACATTGTTCTCCCACTTCTATGGGAGGGATGCTTGATTCCCGTACTATGAGAAGCAGAAAGACGTGTCTGGCTTTCACTTGGAAAGGCTGTTTCCTTTCATTTGCATATCCTTTCTTATTTTAGAGAAGGTCTTTTATTGGACTGTTGTTGGATGGGCTACCTCTCACCACATATCTTTCTGATGCCATTGATTTCAGGAAGCAAAATTGACTTTGGTTAGGCTGGCTGTGCTCCAGATTTTGAACCATTGTCTTGTTGTGGGGGCTGAGATTGCTTACACTTTGCAGGAGGATTTTGGGTCCTTTTACAGGAATCTTTGAATGTTTCCTGGACTCCAGGACAAGTAAGCTCATTCTCTCAGGTGGGCCTTGATTTGTCTTTGCTTTCATGCTGGGTCCACATTCACCCTCAAAAACAACACTGGACCTTTCTAGGCTTGCAATCACCACAGATGACCTCTGAGAAAACTTATGATCATCATCTGTACCTGTGAGACCACAGTTTGATGTATGGCAACACTGCTCCACTTTGGACATGCCTTTGTCGTGGTTCCTGCCTTTCCCAGAGAGCCCCTCGGAGGCCCAAAATGAAGAGAGGCAATGAAGTCAAGGGCCCGGCTATCATTCACTGACACCCACTTTTGGGGATCTTAGGTATGATTCCATTACACAAAAACCCTTCAACAACTCACCAGACTATATTCCAATTCATATGGGACCCAACTCTGGCACACAGCCCCTTTAAGTAATGGAGTCAGAAGAGATGTGGTTAGCGAACACCTCACAGTATTGAAACACCTCCTCCTCCAGTCAGACCCAAAGACAGAAACATCCCGACGGGGCCCTAAGGTCAAGAATTTTAGCGTCCTGCAGTGGGTAATGGCAGGCAACATTTTTCACGATACCAGGCCGACTTAACCTTTATTGTTTTCCTCTTCTTAGGCAGGGTGACAGCTCTGAGAGCCAGGAGCCCGAGTCTGTCTCAAGAACTTGCACATGCCTGTCTCAGAGCACCAGGCCTGATTGTGAGCTCTGGCTAGCGTCACAGTGAATGTCATCATTGCCTAGCGACTGTTCCTCCGGCTTGGCAGAGAAGGAGACATTCATGAAGATGTGTCGGCAGTGGACTCTCAGTTGTCTTCTCTGTGGGATTCTCGGTATAGTCCCATGAACCTAGAAGAGGGCAGACTTCGACCAGCCTGAAAAAAACTTCTAGCACAGACCAAGGAATAAACAATGAAATCCCTAAGGATCCAGAAGAGTCTGCCGGATTCCTCAGGCCTGCCTAAACTTTGTAGGGGAGAGTCTTTTTGAAACTTGCCTCACTGAGATTTTGAGGTGTTGCCCACCTGTGTTTCCCATGGTGGCTCTCTCCCTTGTGGGACTTCCTGCAGAACAACACAGCCTCAGAAGCTACTGGGCTCTGTGTTTTGGGGGCAGTGTTGCAAGTGTTGGATGTCTGCTTCTGTGTGTGGCAGTGTGTCTTTGTGTGTGTGTGTGTGCCTGTAAGTGGAGTCTGCTTAACATTTTGTGGCTACCTCATTCCAGTGCTTCTTTTTTTTTTTTTTTTTAAAGTCTCCCAACCTTTTGGTGGCCAGTCTATGTTGCTGTGCTTGGGTTGCAGGACTCCATATTCTTTAATTTTCTGTGGATCATGAATTCAAACTGAATTGGGAGGTAGGCAGAGATGAGCCAGCGTCCAAATCACCTTTCCCTGCAAAAAAACTACTCTTCTTAAAATAAATAAATAAATAAATAAGGAGCACACTACTTCAAAAGAATAGACATCTATTAGCGTTTCATTGTTCTGAGGACAACAAATGGAGAGACATTAGCCATTCTGTCTGCCAGGCCCCATGTATTTACCTCAAATTTGGTTCCCAGCTGAGTTGGTGCTTCAGATCATGACTTGGCCCTCCTCCATTGTCTTGGGGTTTCACCCTGGGACATACAGTGTAAGCTACAGCAAGGTGAGGTAGGAGTGTAAATACAATCTGATGAGGGGTGGATGGTGTCCTGAAACTTCCCCTGCAAAGAAAAATAAAGACAGATGACACAGAAGGTGCATCCAGCTTCTTCCCTGAGTTACCTTAATTGAACAAGTATTCCACAGCATGGCCCAGTGTTTAAGTGGAAATACTCCAATGTGCAAGAAACATTTGGAGTGAAAATTGCGAACATCCTGGCAAAAACCCTATTTGAGGGCTTTTATACCTGGAGCCAATGGGAGGGAAATGGATTCATGCTTCTTGGGATGTGGCCTCCAAACTTGCCTCTTCTTTTCTGGACTTCCATGTTCCTCATCGTCCTAGGATTTCCTGGGTCTGGATCAATGTTTTCAACACTAAACATTTTCCAGTTCACAGAGAACGACCCTCATGAAAAGCAATTGTGTGAGTGTTTCCTTCTATCCACTGTAACATATTAATGACTGGACAGCTTTTATACTTTTAAAACCGTAAATTCCTGTTACAGCCAACAACAAGGAAGCTCTAGTTCTACTCTATCAGAGAAAGGGTGGCTGCGTGATATCTGTAGCATGAGAAGCAGGCAGCCGTGTCTGACTTTTTACTGGTAATCTAGCTTTTGTTTCATTTTGTCCACACTGCCTTTTCTTTGTAAAGGAGGTCTTTCATTAGACTGCTGCTGGGTGGCAGGGTCTCTCACCACACATTATTTAGCTGCCATGGGTTTCAGAGAGCAGTAGGGATTTCAGGTATGCTGGCTGCACTCCAGGTTGTGGCTTGTGGTCTCGTTGTGGGGGCTGAGGTTGATAGGATTTTGCAGGAGGCTTTTGGGTCCTGTGACAGCAATCATTGAACATTGTTTGACTCTAGCACAAGGCAGCTCATTCCTCAGGTGAGTCTTGATTTTTATTTTCTGTCATGGGGAATCCACAGAGCCCCTCAACAGCACTACTGGACACACTTTTCAGGCTTGCCATCACCACCAGTGGCACCTCAGACACTGTCTCATCCTCATCTGCACCCGTGAGAGGCCAGTCCAAGGTTTGAGAACACTGCTCAAACTTGGACTTGCCTTTGTCATGGTTACTGCCTTTCCCATAGAGCCCTGCGAGGTGCAGGATGAAGTGAGACAGGGAAGTCAAGAACATTGTGTGTTTGTATGTGTAAGTGTGTTTGTGTGTGTTTGAATGTAAAAGGCTTCTGCTTAAAGGAATGTGGCTAACACCCTTCAGCACTTCATTTTTCTTAGCCTTGCAACATTTTGGTGGCCTGTCAGTGTGGCTCTGCATGGCCTGCAGGGGGCCGTTTTCTTTATTTTTCTGTGGATCATGAATCCACAGTGAATTCAGAGGCATGCCAAAATGTGCCAGCACCCAAATCACCCTTGTGTGCCAAAAAAAAAAAAAAAAAAAAAAACTCAGTGTTTCATTGTTTTGCAGCCAATCTAGAGAAAGACATTAGCAGTCCTGTCAACAGGGCCCATTGAATTTACCTCACATTATGTTACCAGTTGATCAAGTGCTTCACATCATGAGGGGCACTCCTCCATCATCTTGGGATTTCATCCTGTGACATGCAGTGTGAACACAATAAGGTCAGATACAGGTGAGGATAGTATCTGCTGAGGGTTGAATGGGGTCCCACAACTTCACCTGCAAAAAAAATGAAGACAAATGACACAGAATGTTCTCCCAGTTAATTCCCCATGTTTCCTTAATTGCACAAGCAGTCCACACCACGGGCCAGTGTTTGTGTGGGAGTACTCCAACATGCAAGGAGCACTGGAAAAAGAAATTGGGGCCATCCTGGTGAACTCCCTATTTTTGGTGGTTTATACCCAGAGCCAGATGGGAGTGGAATAGATTGATCCCTGGTGGGATGTGACCTCTACACTTGACTCTTCCTTTCCTGATTTCCATGTTTCTCACTGGCCTAGGGTTTCCTTGGTCTGGCTCAATGACTTCTACACTAAACATTTCCCATTTCACAGAGAATGACACTCATTGGCAACCATTGAGCGACTGTTTTCTTCTAAACATTCTCACGTTTTAATGACCGGGAAGCTTTGAAACTTTCTAAACTGTAAATTCTCATTACAGTGACCAACAAGAGAACTCTTGTTCTCCCACTTTTATCAAAGGGCTGCATGATTCCTGTCCGATGAGAAGCAGGCATCCATGTCTGGCCTTTGCCTGGTAATCTACCCTCTGTTTCATTTCATCTGCATGTCCTCCTCATTTTGGAGTGGCTTTTTTATTGGGCTGTTGCTGGATGGGACTGCCTTTGGCCACAGCTTATTTAGCTAACTGCAATTGAATAGAGAAAAAGTGACTTTGGGTAGGATGGCTGTGCTTCAGGTTGTAGGTCATTGTCTCATTGTGGGGGCTGAGGATGTTTGCATTTTAAGGAGGCTTTTGTCTTCTCTGACAGAAATCATTGAACATTGTTTGGACTCCAGCAAAAGGCAGCTCATTCTCTCAGTGAGCCTAGATTTTTTATTTATCTATTTTACTTATTTATTTCTTTTGCTTTCATGGGGAACCCAGTGTCCCATAACAGCACTACTGGACACCATTTTCAGGCTTGCCATTGGCACAGACAGACTCCAATACACTGTCTCAACCTCATATGCACCTGAAAGAGGCCAATCCGAGGTGTGATAACACTGCTTCAACTTTGACTTGCCTTTGTCATGGTTTCTGCCTTTCCCAGAGATACCCTGCAAGGCCAAGGATGAAGGGAGGCAGTGAGGTCAGGAGTCAGGCCATCATTCGCTGACACCTGCCTCTGTTTTCAGTATAATTCTATCACCCAAAGAAGGCTGAACAACACAACAGACTGTGTTCCACTTTCCTTGAGATCTGATTCTTGCACACAGCTTCTTTTGGGAATGGAGTCAGAAGAGCAGTTTCTAGCGATGACCTCAAAGTCACTAAACTCCTTTTTCTCCAGCAGAACCCAAAAACGGAGATGGCTTGGAGGGTCCCTGAGGTTGGGAGATCTTGGGTTTCACAGTGGGTTTTACAAGCATCCTTTTTCCCATGTCATCGGGTCTCTGCCTATACCAATATTCTCTTCTTAGGCAGGCTGATAGTTCTGACAACCAGGCACACGAGTCTGCCTCATGAATGCACACCAGGCCTGATTTTGAGCTCTGGCTATTGTCACCACGAATGTCACCATTGCCTAGCAACAAGTTTCTGTGGCTTGGC
This sequence comes from Homo sapiens, assembly GCF_000001405.40. Lineage (NCBI taxonomy): Eukaryota > Metazoa > Chordata > Mammalia > Primates > Hominidae > Homo > Homo sapiens. The sequence goes on along the minus strand of NC_000024.10, from coordinate 8,679,195 downwards.
AGAGAAAAAGTCCTCTGTGGAAGTGTATTGGTGTTGGGCTCCCACCCATCTTCTCTGTGGGATCCATGGGATAATCCCATGATCCTAGGAGAGAACAGACATGAGCCAGCCTAAAGAAACATCAAGCGGAGCCCCAGGAATAAACCATGACATCCCTAAAAATCCAAAAGGATCTACAGGATTTCTGAGGCTGCCTAGAAGTTGTAGGGGTGAGTCTTTTTGAAGCTTGCTCCACTGTGATGTCTGGGAGCATTTTGTTTTCCATCTTTTTTGTTCCAGTGTTGCTGTCTTTCATGTGGGGTTTCCTGTACAGCCTCAGGAGCTGCCAGGCTGTGTGTTTCTGTGAGAGTGTTGTAAGTGTTTGATGGCTGCATGCTTATGTGGTATTGGGTGTTTGTCTGTCCCTGTAAGTAAAGTCTGCTTAAAGGAATATGGCTAGCGCCCTTCAGAACTTCTTTTTATTTGAATAACAAAACCATTTTATGGCACATCTGTGTGGCTCTGGTCAGTTCTGGGGCTCCATGTTCTTTATTTTTATGTAAATCTTAAATCCGCAGTGAATTTGAAGGTGGATCAAGACAGGCCAGCATCCAAATCACCTTTCCTTGGAAAACAAAAACAAAAACAAAAACAAAAAACTACTCTTCTATAAAGAAAGGGAACACACCACACCAAAAAACAGACATCTCCCAGTGTTTCCCTGTCCTGAGGGCAAACCAGGGAGAGACACTAGCAGTCTTGCCCACAGTACCCCTTGAATTTACCTCAAATTCAGTTTCGAGCCAAGCAGGTTCTCCACATCATGAAGGGACACTCCTCCATTGTCTTGGAATTTCATCCTGGAACATAGAGTGTGAGAGGCAATAAGGTTAGATAAGGATGAGAATACAATCTACTGAGGGGTGGATGGGGTCCTGCAACTTCACCTGCAAAAGAAATGAAGACAGATGACACAGGAGGTGTTTCCAACTCCATCCCCTTATTCCATTAATTGCACAAGCAGCTCACACCACCTCCCACTCTTCAGGTAGGAGTATCCAATGTGAAAGGACCATTTGTATTACAAATTGGGACCATCCTGGCAAACACCCAGTTTGAGCACTTTCATACCTGTAGCCAAATGGGAGTGGAATAGATTGATGCTGGTTGGGATGTGGCCTCTATACTTGATTCTTCTTTTGCTGACTTCCATGTTCCTTGTCGGCATAGGGTTTTCTGAGTCTGGCTCAAAGACTTCCACATTAAATGTTTCCCAGGTCATGAAGAAAGATCCTCATGAGAATTCATTGCCTGAGGGTTTTCTTCTAAACTCTTTCACAATTTAATGACTGGGCAGCTTTGATGCTTTTAAAACTGTGAATTCTTGTTACCGCTGCCAAAAAGGGAACTCTTGTTCTCCAACTTCTATTGGAGCGCTGCATGATTCCTGTAAGATGAGAAGCAGGCAGACATTTCTGGCTTTTTCCTTGTAATCTAACCTTGGTTTCATTTTATATGCACAGCATTCTCATTGTGGAGCTCTTTCATTGGGCTGTTGCTGGATGGGAGTGCCTCTTTCCACAGATTATTTAGCTGCCAGGGATTTCAGAGAGCCAAAAAGAGTTAAGATAGGCTGGCTGTGCTCCAGGTTGTGTGTCGTTGTCTCATTGTGGATGCTGAGGATGTTAGCACTCTGAAGGAAGCTTTTGTGTCATCTGACAGGAATCATTGAACACTGACTGGACTCCAGCACAATGCAGCTCGTTTTCACTGTCTGAATTTCGTCTGCACCCATGAAAAGCAAGTCAGAGGTGTGAGAAGACTGCTTCACCTTGGACTTGCCTTTGTTGTGTTTTGTGTTTTTTCTAGAGAGCCACTGCAAGGCCCAGGATGAAGAGAGACAGTGAGAAGATCCCAACCATTTATCACTGACACCGGCATCTGTGGTCTCAGGTATGATTCTATCACCCAAAGAGCCCTGAAAAACTCACCAGATTATATTCCATTCCTTATGGGATTCAATTCTTATGCACAACCACTTTCTGGAATGTAGTCAGAAAAGCAGTTTCCATTGGCCAACTCACAGTCTCGAAACACCCTTTTCATCAATGCTGTCCGACCACGAAGATGGCTGGAAGCGGCCCTGAGGTCAAGATTTGTAGGGTCTCGCAGTGGGTATTCTCAGGTAGCCTGCTTTCCAATACCAGGCTGACTCTGCCTGTATGATTCTTTTTCTGCTTAGGCAGGCTGACAGCACTGATAGCACAGTGCTGTCATGGTGAATGTCACCGTTGACTTGTGGCAATTCCCTGTGGCTTGGCAAAGAAGGAGACCTCCATGGATGAGCATTGGCCATGGACTGTCACCTCTCTTTTCTGTGGGATCCACTAGATATTCCCATGAATTTAAAAGTGAGCAGACATGAGCCAGCCTGAAGAAAAGTCAAGCAGAGCCCCAGGAATAAACCGCGAAATTCCCAAGGATTCAAAAAGATCTGAAGAATTCCACAGGCCTGTCAAGACATTGTAGGGCTGAGTCTTTTGAATCTTGCTCCACTGTGATTTCTAGGTACAACCCATCTGTATTCCCCAAGGTTCCTCTCCCAAGTGGAGCTTCCAGCAGAAACACACAGCCTATGGAGCTACTGAGCTGTGTATTTCAGTGGGAGTGTTGTGAGTGTTGTATTTCTGTGTGTATGTTTGGCACTGTATGTGTGTATGCATGTGGGAGTCTCTGTGTGTGTGTGTCTTTTAGTGGTGTCTGCTTAAAAGAATGTGGCTACGACACTTCAGTGCTTCTTTTTTTTTGTTTTCATCTCACAACCCTTTTGTGGCCTGTGTGGGTCTGCTTGAGATGTGGGGCTCTGTGTTCTTTATTTTTCTGTGGATCATGAATCCACAGTGAATTGGGAGGCAAGCCAAGACCTGCCAACATCCAAATCACCTCCCCTTCAAAAAAAGCACTCTTCTAAAAGAAGAGGAGCACACCACACCAAAAAACAGACATCTTCCAGTGCTTCATTATCCAACCCAAAGAGAGACACTATCAGACTTGTTCACAAGTTCCTTGATTTTTACCTCAAATTTGGTCCCAGCCAAGGAGGTGCTTCATGTCCTTAAGTGGCACCCCTCCATGGTCATGGGATTTTATCCTGGGACATCGAGTGTGAGGAGAAATAAAGTCAGTTAGGGCTGATCATCCTATCTGGTGAGGGGTGGATGGGGACCCACAATTAAGAGGCCCTCTGTGGCCATTGCCAGTGTATAAAGTCTGTACAGTAATGTGTTGAGGGGAATTGTAGACCCCACATGAAAGCAACAAAAACTCAAAAGTTTCCTGAGAGAATGAGCTGATTTGTGCTGGAATCATAGCAACATTCAAAGATTCTTTTCAGCAAACCCAAAAGCCACCTACAAAGTTCAAACAACCTCAGCTATCACATCAATACGATGATCCACAACCTGGAGTGCAGCCAGACTACCCATAATCTATTTTGCTCCCTGAAATACCTGGCAGCCAAAAGATCTGTGGAGGGGGCAGTCCCATTTAGCAACAGCCCAATGAAATACCACCTCCATAATGAGAAATGACATGCAGATGAAATGAAACAGGGCCTAGAGTACCAGGCAAAATCCTGACATGGCTTCCTGGTTGTTTTCTTACAGGAATCATGCAGCCTTCTGATAGATGTGGGAGAATAAGAGTTTCCTTGTTGGCAGCTTTAATGAGAATTTACAGTTTTAAAACATCACAGGTTCCCAGTCATTGAAAGAAATGCGACAGTGTTTAGGAGGAAACACTCAGGCAATGGACTCCCATGAGGGTAGTCCTTCATGAACTGGGAAACGTTTAGCATGGAAGACATGGAGCCAGACCCAGAGAAAGCTAGGTCAATGAGCAACATGAAAGACAGGAAAGGAAAAGGCAAGTGTGAAGGCCACATTTCACCCAGCATCAATCCATCCCACTCCCATTTAGCCCCGGGTTTGAAAGCCCTCATACAGAAGTTTGCCAGGTTAACCCCAGTTTGCACTCCAAGTATTCCCTGCACATTGTAATACTCCCACATAAACCCCGGGGCATGATTTGACTGCATGTGCAATTAAGGAAATGTGGGGATGGAGTTGGAAGCACGTTCTGTGTCATATATCTTCAGATTTTTGCAGGTGAAGGTGGGACAGCATCCACCCCTCATCAGATTGTATCCTTACTCCTATCTGAACTCATTGCTGCTTGCATTCTCTACCGTAGAATGAAATCCCAAAATGATGCAGGAGTGCCCCCTCGTGACTTGAAGCACCTGCTCAGCTGGAAACTGAATTTCAGGTAAACTCAAGAGTCCCTGTGGACAGGACTGCAAGTGCCTCTCCTTGGCTTGGCTGCAAGACAAAAACATTGACAAATATCTGTTTTTGTGTGTGTGTCATGTGCTCCTCTTCTTTCTATAAGAGTGGCTTCTTTATACAAGGGGTGCTGATTTGGAACCTGGTGGGTTTCAACCAGCCCCTCGATTCACTGAGATTCATGAAAACGGAAGAACACGGAACATGGGAGCCTAAGCAGAGCCACACAGATGGGCCAACAAAAGGTTGGATGACTAAAAAACAAAGAAGCTCTGTAGAGGGTTAGCCTCATTTCTTTAAGTAGACTGCACTTACAGGCACACACACACATACACACACACCAAACTACACACACAGACATTGAACACCCACCACACTCTCACAGAAACACAGCCCAGCAGCTTCTGAGGCTGAGTTGTTCTGCAGGAATTCCCACCTGGGAGAGGGCAAGCTCAGGGGACATAGGCTACTGTACCTAGGAATCACAGTGTGGCAAGATTCATAAAGACTCACCTCTACAACATCTAGGCAGGCCTGCAGATAATTTGGATCTTTAGGGGTTTCACAGTTTATACCTGGTGCACTGTTTAACGTTTCTTCCAGCTGGCTCACCTAGGCCATTTCCTAGGATTTTAGGTATATCATGTGAATCAAACCAAGAAGACAGGTGAGTGCCAACCGACAACGCAACTCCACAGAAGTGTCCTTTTCTGCCAAGTCGCAGGGACTTGTCTCTAGGCAACGGTGCTATTCATATTGTTGCTAGCCAGAGCTCACAGCTAAAAGTTAGTGCTTTAAGACTAGCGCATGCGCACTCGTGAGGCAGGCTCGGGCGCCGGGTTGTCAGGGCTGTCATCCTGCCTAAGCAAAGAAAAATGGTACAGGCATAGCCGGCCTGGCACCAGGAAAAATGTTGCTTGCAATAACTTATAGCAGGACTCTAAAATTCTCGACCTCACAGATCCTTCCAGCGGTCCCTGCAGTCGGGTCCAGTGGAGAAGGAGGCATTTCAGGACTGTGAAGTGATTGCTGGAAACCGCTCTTCTAACTCCATTCCAGAAAGAGTCTGTGTGCAAGAATCTGGCCCCATGGGGATTGGAATATAATCTGGTGAGTTGTTGAAGGGTCGTTGGGTGACGGAAACATACCTGAGACACCAGAGACAGGTGTCAGCAAAACTTGGCCGGGCACTTGACCTCACTGCCTCCACCTTGCTCCTTGCATGGGCTCTCTGGGAAAGGCAGAAACCATAACAAATGCAATTCCAATGTGGAGCAGTGATCTCACATCTCAAACAGGCCTCTCACGGGTGCAGATGAGGTTGAGACAGTGTCTTAGAGGGCATCTGTGGTGTTGTAAGCCTGAAAAGTGTGTCCAGTAGTAATGTTGAGGGGCACTGTGGACCCTCAATGAAAACACAGAAAAATCAATGATCACCTGAGAGAGCAAGCTGACTTGTCCTGCAGTCCAAGCAACGTTAAAATATTCTTGTCTGAGGACACAAAAGCATCCTGCAAAGTGCTAACATTCTCAGCCACCAAAATGACACTATGACAATCTGGAGTGCAGACAGCCCACATGAAGTCTTTTTTGCTCCCTGAAATCCCTGGCAGCCAGAAGATCTGTGGTGAGAAACAGTTCCATCCAGCAACAGCCCAATTGAAGAGGCCCTCCACAATGAGAAAGGACACTCAAATGTAATGAAACAGAGCCTAGATTATGAGGTAAAAGCCAGAAATGGCTGCCAGATTCTCACCCAACAGGAATCATGCAGCCCTCCAATAGAAGTGGAAGGAGAAGTGTTTCTTTGTTGGTGGATGCAACAGGAATTCATAGTTTTAAAATTATCGCAGCTGCCCAGTAATTAAAACAGGACACTGTTTAGAAAGAAAAACTCAAGCAATGGATTGCCATGAGGGTCGTCCTCTGTGAACTGAAAAATGTTTAGTTTGAAAGAGGTGGAGCCAGACAAAGGAAACCCTAGGCTGACAAGGAACATGGAAGTCAGGAAAAGAAGAGACAAGTGTAGAAGCCACATCCCACCCAGCATTGATTCATGCTATTCTCATCTGGCTCTGGGTGTAAAAGCCCTCAAATCAGCAGTTTGCCAAAATGGCCCCAGTTTGCACTCCAAACGTTTCTTGCACGTTGCAGTACTCCCTCCTAAACAACTGGCCATGGTGTGGACTGCTTGTGCAATTGAGGGAATGTGGGGTTGCATTTGGAAGCAGCTTCTGTGTCATCTGTCCTCACCTTTTTTGCAGGTGAAGATGTGGGACCCCATACACCCCTCACCAGATAATATCTTCACCCCATCTGACTTTATTGCTGCTCACACTCTCTGATGTAGAATGATATCTCAAGACAATGAAGGAGTGCCACCTCAGGATGTCAAGCACCTTCTCAGATTGGAAGCCGACTCCAGGAAAATTCAAGGGCCCTGCAAAAAGGACTGCTACTGTCTCTCTCTTGGTTGGCCATAGGACAATGAAAGAGTGGGAAATGTTTTGGGGTGTGGTTTGCTGCTCTTCTTTCTTGAAGAGTGGCTTTTATTTATTTATTTATTTATTTTGGAGGGGGCAGTTTCTCAGCCAGCCTCCCAATTAACTGTGGATTCATGATCCACAGAAAAATAAAGAACACGGAGCACCACAGCCCAAGAAGAGCCTCGCAGACAGGACACAAATATTGGGAGATTAAAAAAAAATAAAATAAAAGGAAGCCCTGAAGTTCATTAGCCACATTCCTTTAAGGAGACTCCACTTACAGGCACACACACACACACACACAAACACACACACTCTTAAACACACAAAGCCACACACAAACACAATCAACACTCACAACACTCCCACAGAAACACAGCGCAGCAGCTTCTGAGGCTTTGTGGTTCCACAGGAAGCCCCATTTGGGAAACAGCAACCATGGGGAACACAGGTGGGCTGTGCCTAGAAATCATAATGGGGCAAGTTTGTAAAGGACTCACCCCTACAACATCTAAGCAGGCCTGAGGCATCCTGTGGGTCTTTTGGATCCTTAGGGATTTGTGGTTCATTAATTGGGATTAGATTGACTTTTTTCAGGCTGGCTCACATCTGCCCTCTCCTAGACTCATGGGAATATCCAGTGGATCCCACAGAAAAGACAGGTGAGAGTCCACCATGGATGCACTTCAGTGGTGGTCTCTTTCCACCCCAAGTAGCAAGAACTTGTTGCTAGTAAACAGTGGCATTCATTCTGACACTAGCTCACAGCTCAGACCTGGTGCCCTAAGATAAGTCCATGCACATAACTAAGACAGTCTGGGGTGCCTGCCTGTCAGAGCTGTCAGCCTGTCTGAGGAGAAGAAAATGGTAGAGGCAGAGCTGGCCTGGTATCAGGAAAAGACTGCCTATGATAAAACAAAGAAGGTCCCTAAAAGTCTCAATATTAGGGTCAGTTTGAGCTGTCTGTATGGTCAGGTTCCACTGGAGGTGGAGGTGTTTCATGACTGTGTGGTAATAGCTGAAAACTGCTATTCTGACTCCATTCCCAAAAGAAGGTGCATGAAAGAATCATGTCCCATGGGGACTGGAATATAGTCTGGTGAACTGTTGAGGGGTCGTTGGATGATGGAACCAGACCTGAGACCCCAAAGGCAGGTGTCAGGAAAGATGGCTGGGCTCTTGATGTTGCTGCCTCCCTTCAACCTAGGCCTTGCAGGGGCTATATAGGAAAGGCAGGAACCACGACAAAGGCAATTCCAAGGTGAAGCAATGTTCTCTCCCCTCAAATTGGCCTCTGACATGTGCAGATGAGGTTGAGACATTGTCTCAAAGGCTGTCTGTTGTAATTGCAAGCCTGAAAATTGTATCCAGTAGTGCTGTTGATGGGCACTGTGGAACACCATTGAAAGCAAAGAAAAACCAAGAATTGCCTGAGAGAATGACCTGACTTGTGCTGGATTCCAAGCCACATTCAAAGATTCTTGTTAGAGTACTGAAAACCCTCCTGGCAAAAGCAAACAAACTAAGCACCCACAACAAGACAGTGACCCACAGCCTGAACACTACAAGAATCCCTGAAGTCCCTATTGCTCCCTGAAATCCCTGGCAACCAAAAGATCAGTGGTGACAGGCAATACTATCCTGCAACAGCCCAATGAAAGACTCCCTACACAATAAGAAAAAACATCCAGATGTAATGAAACAGACCGTAGATTGCCAGGCAGAAAGCCAAACATGGCTGCCTGCTTCTCATTCTACAGAAATTATGCAGCCCCCCGATAGAAGAGGGAGAACAAGAGTTTCCATTTTTTTGACTGTAACATGAATTAACTGTTTTAAAAGTATAACAGATGTCCAGTCGTTAAAACATGACAGTGTTTAGAAGGAAATACTCATGCAATGGATTTCCATGAGGGTCGTCCTCTGTGAACTGGGAGTGCTTTAATGTGGAAGATGTTGAGCCAGACCCAGAAAACCCTAGGCCAATGAGGAACATGGAAGTCAGGAAAAGAAGAGGCAAATGTGAAGGCCAAAACCTAAACAACATCTATCCATCTCACTCCCATTTGCCTCCAAGTATGAAAGCCCTTAAATCGGGCTTTTCAAGCATGGCACCAATTTGCACTCCAAATGTTCCCTGCACATTAGAGTACTCCATTCTGAACACTAGGCCATGGTGCGAACTGCTTGTGCAATTAAGGGAATTCGTGGATGCAGCTGGAAGCAACTTTTTTGTCATCTGTCTTCACCTCTTTTGCAGGTAAAGGTGCAAGACCTCATCTACCCATTACCAGCTTGTATTTTCTCCTCTATCTGACCTCATTGCTCTCACATACTGTATCCCAGAATCAAATCCCAAGATGATGGAAGAGTGCTATTTCAGGATGTCAATCACTAGCTCAACTGGGAACGAAATTTGAGGAAAATTTAAGGGGCCCTGCAGACAGGACTGCTAATGCTTTTTTCCCATGTTTCCATGGGACAATGAAACACTAGGAGGTGTCTCTTTTAAGTTTTGTGTGCCTCTCTTCTATCTAGGGGAGTGGCTTTTTTTCTAGGGGGAATTGATTTGGATTCCAGGAGGTATCAGCCAGCCTTCCAGTGCACTGCAGATTCATAACCCACAGAAATATAAATAACATGGATCCCTTCAGCCCAAAAAGAGCCACACAGACAGGCAAGCAAAAGGTTGGGACACAAACAAAAAAGAAGCACTGTAGTGCATCGGTCACATTTCTGTAAGCAGACTCCCTTTACAGGAACAAACACACAGACACACACACACACAAACACACAAAGCTACTCACACACAGACATCCAACATTCACAACACTCCCACAGAAACACACAACCCAGCAGCTTCTGAGACTGTGTGGTTGTGCAGAAAACCCCACCTGGGAGACAGCAACCATGAAGAACACAGGTGGGCTGTACCTAGAAATCACAGTGGGGCAAGTTTCTAAAGGACCCATGCCTACAAGGTCTAGGCCAGCCTGAGGCATCCTGCAGATCCTTTTGGATACTTAGGGATGTCACAGTTTATTTCTGGGACTCTGCTTAATGTTTCTTCAGGCTGGCTCATGTCTTCCCTTTCCTAGGATCGTGGAACAATTCCTTCGATCCCACAGAGAAGACAGGTGAGAGTCCACTGCCTACGCACCTACCTGGAGGTTTCCTTCTCCAAACAGCCGCTGAAACTTTTTTCTAGGCAACGGTGGCATTCATTGTGAAGCTAACCAGAGTTCAACCTCAGGCCTGGTCCCTTGAGACTACTGCAGGTTCATTCAGGAGACAGGCTGAGGCACCTGTCTCTCAGAGCTGGCAGCCTGCCTAAGCAGAGGAAAATGGTAAGGCAGAGCCGGCCTGGCGTCCCAAAAAAAGTCTGCCTGCGATAACCCCTTGTGGGATGCTAAAGCTCTCAACCTCGGGGGATTTTCATGCTGCCTCTGTCATCAGGTCATGCAAGAAGAGGTGTTTCGATACTGTGAGGTGGTCTCTGGAAACTGCTTTTCTGACTCCATTTCCAGAAGACTCTATGTGCAAAAATCTGCTTCCACGGGGATAGGAATGTCATCTGGTGAGTTGTTGAGAAGTGTTTGGATACTGGAATCATACCTGAGACCCCAGAGTCAGGTGTCAGCAAAGATGGCTGGGACCTTGATGTCACTGCCTCTTTTCATCCTGGGCCTCACAGGGGCTCTCTAGAAAAGGCAGAAACCATGACAAAGGCAAATCCTACAAGGAGCAGATTTCTCACAACTCGTACTCACTTCTCACAGATGCAGGTAGGGTTGAGATAGGGTCTCAGAGGCCATCTGTGGAGATGGGAAGCCTGAAAAGGGTGTTCAGTAGTGCCGTTGAGAGGCACTGTGGACCCCAGGTGATAGCAAGGAAAAATATGGCTAGCTTGAAAGAACAAGCTGACTAATGCTGGAGTCCAAGCAACATTTAAAAATTCCTGTCAGGGGATCCAAAAATCTCCTGCAAAAAGCAAAAATCCTCAGCCTCCACAAAGAGAGCATGAACCACAACCTTGAGTGAAGCAAGTCTTCCTGAAGACCTTTTGCTCACTGAAATCCCTGGCAGCCAAAAGCTCTGTAAAGAGAGGCAGTTGCATCCAGAAACAGCCCAATGAAAGACCTTCTCCATAATGAGAAATGTCGTGCAGATTAAACCAAACAAAGGCTAGATTACCAGGTGAAATTCAGACATGGCTTCCTGCTTCTTATCCTACATAAATCATGCAGCCCTTACATAGAAGCGGGAGACTGAGAGTTTTTTTCTTGGGGGCTGTAAAGGGAATTTATGGTTATAAAAGTATCAAAGATGCCCAGTCATTAAAACACGAGTGTTTAGAAGAAAACACTCACACAATGGATTCCCATGAGGGTCGTTTTTCCTGAACTTGGATACACTTATAGTGGAAGTCGTTGAGCCAGACTCAGAAAATCTTAGGCCAACGAGGAACATGGAAGTGAGGAAAAGAGGCAAGTATGAAGGCCACATTCCACACAGCATCAGTTCATTCCACACCCATTTGGCTCTGGGTATGAAAGCCCTCAAATTGGGAGTTTGCCAGGATGACCCCAATTTGCACTCTAAATACTTCTTCTAGGTTGGAGTACTCCCACCTGCACACTGGGCCATGGTGTGAACTTCTTGTGCAATTAAGGGAATGCATGGAAGATGTTGGAAGCACCTCCTGACTCATCTCTCTTCATTTTCGTTGCAGGTGAAGTTGAGGGACCCCATCTATTTCTCACCAGATTGTATCCTCACCTCTATCTGATCTTGTTGCTGTTCACATTTTATGTCCCAAGATAAAGTCCCAATATGATGGAAGAGGCCTTCCTCATGACTTGAAGCACCTACTCATCTGGGGAAAATTTAGGTGAATTCAAGTGGCCCTGTGGACAGGACTAGTAGTGTCTCTCCCTGGGTTGGTCATATGACAATAAAATCCTAAGAAAGGTTTTTGTTTGTTTGTTTGTTTGTTTGTTTGTTTTAGTGTGGTGTGCTTCTCTTCTTTCTAAAAGATTATCTTTTCTTTTTTTTTTTGTAAGCAGAGGTGATTCAGAACTTTGCAGTTCCTGGCACACCTCCCAATTTGCTGTGGATTCACGATACACAGAAAAATAAAGAAAACAGAGTCCCACAGCCCAAGCAGAGCCACACATGGACAGGCCACCAAATGTTGGGAGACTCAAAAAAAAAAAAAAAAAAACAAGAAACGCTAAACTGTATTAACCTCAATATTTTATGCAGAATCCACTTACAGGGACACACACACATACACACACACACACACGCACACATAAAAATAAACATAAAAATAACTAAAACAGAATGACAAACACTCAGACATCAAACAATCTCAACTTTCCCTTAGAAGTACACAGCTCAGCAGCTCCTGAAAATGTGTGGTTATGCAAGAAGCCCCACCTGGGAGGGAGCAACCTACCGGAACACAGGCAGGTTTTATCTAGAAATCCCAGTGGGGCAAGTATCAAAAAGACTCATCCCTACAACATATATAGAGTTTTAAGAAATCCTGGAGATCCTCTTAGATTTTTTGGAACATCACTGTTTATTCCTATGGCTTTGCTTGATGTTTCTTCAGGCTGAGTCAGGTCTGCCCTCTCCTGGGATCAGAAGACTATCTCATGAATCCAACATAGAAAACGCTGGATTCCATTGCCTACACACTTCCATGGAGGTCTCCTTTTCCACCAAGCCACAGGGACTTGTTGTTGCTAGGCAATGACAACATTCATGGTGACACTAGCCAGAGATCACAATAAGGCCTGGTACCCTGAGGCTACTGCATGCACATTCATGAGGCAGGCAAGGGCTCCTGAATCTCAGAGCTGTCAGCATGTCTAAGCACAGGAAATCAGTACAGGAACATCCCTCCTGGTGTTGGAATAAAGCCTTCCTGTGAAAACTTACTCCAAGACTCTAAAAATCTTGACCTTGGGGACCTTTTGGGCCATCTCTGTGGTCAGGTCCCACTGGAAGAGGAGGCATCTTGACATTGTGTGATGGTCTCTGGAAATTGCACTTCTGACTTTATTCTCAAAAGAAGGTGTGTGCAAACATCAGGTTCCATCACAGTGTGTTTTTCAGGATTCTTTGGGTGATAGAATCATACCTGAGATACCAGGCCACTGTCAGTGAAAGAAGGCAAAACTCTTGACTGCACTGCCTGGCTACATCCTGGATATCACATGGGTTCTTTGAGGAGGAAAGGAACCACGACAAAGGCAAGTCCAAGGTGGAGCACGATGAGGAACATGGAAGTCAGGAAAAGAACAGTCAAGTGTGGAGGCCAGATCCCACCCAGCATCAATTTATTGTACTATCGTTTGGCTCTGGGTATGAAAGCCCTCAAATCAAGAGCTTGCCAGGATGGCCCCAATTTGCTGTCCAAATTTTCCTTGCTCATTGGGGTACTCCAACCTGAACCCTGGGCCATGGTTTTGACTGCTCCTACAATTAACAGAGAGCGGGAATGGAGTAGGAAGCACCTTCTTTGTCATTTACCTTCATTTTTTTTTTTTTGCATGTGTAGTTGGGGGACCACATCCACCACTTACTAGATTGCATCCTCACCCTTATCTGACCTTATGGCTGCTCACATTCTATATCCAAGGATGAAATGCCAAGACGACAGAGGATCACCTCCTCACTACACGAAGCACCTGCTAGGCTGGGAACAGAATTCGAGGTAAATTCAATGGGCCCTGTGGACAGGAATTCCAGTGTCTCTCCTTGGCTTAGCCACAGGACAACAAAACACTGGGCGATGTCTGTTATTTGGTGGGCTGTCCTCCTCTTCTTTCTGCAACAGTGGCTTTTTTGGCACAGGGAGTTGATTTTGATGCAGGCGGGTCTCAGCCCACCTCCCGATTCATTGAGGATTCATGATCCACAGTAAAATGAAGAACACAGAGCCCCACAACCCAAGCAGAACCACACAAATGGGCCACCAAAAGATTTGAAGACTCAAAAAAAAAAAAAAGAGAGAAGCACTGAAGTGTGTTAGCCACATACCTGTAAGCAGATTTCACTTACAGACACACACACACCCACACACACACACACACACACACAAACTTAAAATACCTCCCCCCACACGCAAACCCAGAGATTCAGCACTCTCAAAACTCCCACAGAAACACAGAGCCTGCAGCTCCTGAGGCTGCGTGTTTCTGGAGGAAGCCCCACCTGTGAGACAGAAACCCCAGGGAATACAGGCAATCTGTACCTACAAATCATAGTGGGACAAGTTTCAAAAAGACTTACACCTACGTCTAAGCAGACCTGAGGAATCTTGCAGATTCTTTATGATCCTTATGGATTTCAAGGTTTATTTTTGGGGCTCTGCTTGATGTTTCTTCAGCCTGGCTCACATCTGCCCTTTCCTAGAATCATGGGACTGTCCTGTGGATCCGACAGAGAAGACAGGAGAGAGTCCACAGCCTATGAATTTCCATGGAAGACTCCTCTGAAAAGCCTTAGAGACTTGTCACTAGGCAGTGGTGACATTTATTGTGACAGTCACCGAAGCTCTCAATAAGGCCTGTTGCCCTGAGATTTGTGTATACATGTTTGTGAGGCAGGTTGTGGTGCCTGGTTGTCAGAGCTGTCAGACTGCCTAAGCAGAGAATACTGGTACAGTCAGAGCCATGCTAGTATCAGAAAAAAGTCTTCCTGCGAAAACCCACTGTGAGATCATAAATATCTTGACCTCATGACCCCTATAAGTCATCTCTCTGGTCAGGTCCCACTGAAGGAGAAGGTGTTTTGAGACTGTGGGCTGGTATCTGAAAACTTCTCTTCGGACTCCATTCCTGAAAGAGATTGTGTGCAAGAATCAGGTCCCATGGGGATTGGAATATAATCTGTTGTGTTTTCAAGGGTTCTTTGGGTGATAAAACCATATCTGAGAACCGGAGTTTGATGTCAGTGAAAGATGGCTGTGCCCTTCAACTCACTGCCTCCCTTCATCCTGGACCCCCAAGAGACTTCCTGGGAAAGACAGGAACCATGACAAAGGCAAGTCCAAGGTAGACCAATGTTCTCACACCTTGAACTGGCCTCTCAGAGGTGCAGATGAGATTGAGACAGTGTCTCAGAGGTAACCTGTGTCAATGGCAGGACTCAAAAGGGTGTCCAGTACTGTTGTTGAGGGGCAGTATCGATTCCCCATGAAAGCAAGGAAAAATCAAGGCTCATCTGAGGTAAAGAGCTGCCTTGTGCTGGAGTCAAAGCAATGTTCAATGATTCCTTTCAGAAGACCCGAAAGCCTCCTGCAAGGTGCAAACAACCTCAGCCTCCACTATGAGACAACAACCCACACCTTGCTGAACAGCCAGCGTACCCGAAGTCCCTTTTGCTCTCTGAAATACCTGGGAGCTAAATAATATGTGGCAAGAGGCAGTCCCATCCAGAAACAGCCCAATGAAAAGAGCCCATCCACAATGAGAATGCCGTGAAGTGAAGATGAAATAAAACAGGCTAGATTACCAGGCAAAATGCCAACGTGGCTATATCCTTCTAATCTTGTGGAAATCATGCAGCCCTCTGATAGAAGTGGGGGAACTAGAGGTTCCTTGTTTTTGGCTGTAACAGGAATTTACAGTTTAAAAATAATCAAATTTGCCCAGTCATTTAATTGCAACAGTGTTTAAAAGGAAACACTCATGAAATGGATACAGATGAGAGTCATTCTCCAAGAACTGGGAAATATTTAGTGTGGAAATCTTTGAGCAAGATCCAGGAAACTCTAGGCCAATGAGGAACATGGAAGTCAAGAAAAGAAGAGGAAAGTGTGGAGGCTACATGCCACCCAGCATTGATCCATTCCACTCCTATTTGGCTCCAGGTATGTAAGCCCTCAAATCTGGAATTTGTCAGTATGGACCCAGTTTGCATTCCAAATGTTTCTTTCACATTGGAGAACTGCCACTTGAACACTGGGCCACGGTGTGGACTGCTAGTACAATAAAGGGAAGGTGGGGATGGAGTTGGAAGCACCATCTGTGTAATCTCTCTTTATTGTTATTATCATTTTTGGAGGTGAAGTTACGGAACCCCATCCATGCCTTACCAGACTGTATCTTCACCCCTTTATGACCTTATTGCTGCTCACACTCTATGCCCTAGGATCAAATCCCAAGACAATAGAGGCACTCCTCCTCATGACATGAAGCACCTGCTCGGTGGGATACTGAATTCGAGGTAAATTCAACTTGCCCTACCAACACGCCTGTTAGTGTCTTTTTCTGGGTTGGCCACAGGACAATTACACACTATGAGATATCCATTTTCTTGCTATGGTTGTCTCCTCTTTTTTCTAGAAGAGTGATTTTTTTTTTTTTTCCAGAGGGAAATGATTTTGACACTGACGGTCTTGGGCTGCCTCCTAATTCACTCCAGATTCATTATCCATGAAAACGTAAAGAACATGGACCTCTGCAGCCCAAGCAGAGGCACACGACAGGCAAACAAAAGGCTGGGTGACAAAAAAAAATGAAGTGCTGATGTTCTTTAGCCACATTTTTGTAAGACTTTACTTACAGGTGCACACACACACAGACACACACACACACAAAGCCACACACACTCAGACATCCAACACTCACAACACTCCTACAGAAACACACAGCTCTGCAGCTCATGAGGCTGCGTGGTTCTGCAGGAAGCCCCACCTGAAAGAGAACACCCCAGGGAACACAGGTGGGCTGTACCTGGAAATCACAATGTGAGAAATTTCAAAAAGACACCCCTACAGTGTGTAGGCTGGCCTGAGGAATCCTGCGGATTATTTTTGGATGCTTAGGCATTTTGCGGTTCATTCCTGGGGGGGTGCTTGATGTTTCTTCAGCCTGACTCACATCTGTCATATCCTAAGATCATGGGACATTCCCATGGATACCACAGAGAAGACACGCGAGAGCCCACCACCAATGCACCTCCACGGATGTCTTCTCTGCCAAGCTGCAGGGACTTTTTACTAGGCAACTGTGTCATTCATTGTGTCGCTAGACAGAGCTCACAATCAGGCCTCGTGACCAGAGACTGGTGCATGCGCATTCATGACACAGGTTTGAGCATCCGGCTGTCAGAGCCGTCAGCCTGCCTAAGCAGAGGAAAATGGTATAGGCAGAGCTGTCCTTGTATCAGAAAAAAAGGTTCCATGTGAAAACCCATGGTCAGACCCTAAAAGTCTTGACGTCAAGGACACATCGGCCATCCTGTGGTTTGGTCCTGCTGGAAGAGAAGGCTTTTCGACATTGTGCGGGGGTTGCTGGAAACTGCTTTTCTGACTCCACTCATGAAGAAGGCTGTGTACCAGAATCTGGTCCATGGGGATTGGAATATAATCTGGTGTGTTTTCAAGGGTTCTTTGGGTGATATAATCATAGCTGAGACCTCAGAGATGGCTGTCAGTCAAAGATGGCCAAACTCTTGACCTCAGTTCTTCCATTCATCTGGGGCTTTATGGTAAAGGTAGGAACCACGACAAAGCCAAGTCCAACGTGGAGAGTGTTCTCACACCTCGGACTGGCCTCTCCAGTTTGCACATGAGGTTAAAACAGTTTCTTAAAGGGGGTGTGTGGTGCTGGCAAGCTGACAAAAATGTGTCCAGTTGTGCTGTTGATGGGTACTGTGGATTCCCCATGAAAGCAAAGAAAAATCAAGTCTCACCTGAAAGAACAAACTACCTTCTGCTGGAGTCCAAGCAATGTTCAATGATTCCTGGCAGAGGACCCAAAAGAATCCTACAAAGTGCAAACAACCTCAGCCCCCAGAGGGAGGAAATGACCCACAACCTAGAGTGTAGCCAGCTGACCCGAAGTCCGCTTTGCTCTCAGAAATCCCTGGTAGCTAAACAATCTGTGGCAAAAGGCAGTCCAATCCAGCAATGGCCCATTTAAAGAAACCCTCCACAATGAGAATGTCATGCAGATAAAATGACACAGAGGCTAGATTACCAGGCAAAAGTCAGACAATGCTACATGCTTCTCTCTCTGCAGGAATCATGCAGCCCTCCTATAGAAGCAGGAGAACAAGAGTTTCCTTGTTGGTGGCTGTAAAGGGAATTTAGAATTTTAAAATTATCAAAGTTGCCTAGTCATTAAAACATGACAGTGTTTAGAAGGAAACATTTACACGATGGATTCCCATGAGAGTCGTTCTCAGTCAGTGGGGAAACATTTACTATGGAAGTTGCTGAGCTAGACTCAGGAAAACCCAGGATGATGAGGAACATGAAAGTCAGAAAAGGAAGAGGCAAGTGTGGAGGTTACATCCTAATAAGCATCAATCTATTCCACTTCCTTTTGGCTTCAGGTATGAAAGGATGGCTCTAATTTGCACTCTAAATATTCCTTGCACTCTGGAGTAGTCCCAGTTGAACACCAGGCTATGTTATGGACTGCTTTTGCAATTAAAGGAATCTGAGGATGGTGTTGAAAGAAACTTCTGTGGTATTTGTCTTCTTCTTCTTTTTTTTTTTTTTTGCAGGTGAAATTGTGAGACAACATCCACCCCTCATCAGATTGCATCCTCACCTCTATGGGATATTGCTGCTTACATTCTATTTCCCAGGGTAAAATCCCAAAACAATGGAGGAGTGCCGTCTCGTAAAATAAAGCACCTGCTCAGCTGGGAACCGAATTACAGATAAATTTAAGGTGCTCTGCAGACAAGACTGTAGTGTCTCTTCCTGGCTTAGCCTCATGACAATGAAACACTGGGATTTTTTTTTCTCTGGTGTACCCCCCTTCTTTCTAGAAGAGTGGCTTTCTTGGCATGGGTTGATAATTTGAATGCCGCCAGGTCTCAGCACGTCTCCCAATTCACTGCAGATTTATGATCCACCTAAAAAATAAAGAACACGTTGTCCCACAGCCCAAGCAGAGCCATACACACAGGCAAACAAAAGGTTTTGAGACTCCAAAAGCAAGGGCTGAACTGTGTTAGCTACATTTCCTTAAGCAGACTCCACTTACAGTCAACACACACACTTTAACACACAATGCCATACACACAGGAAGACATCCAACACTCGCAGCACTCCCACAGAAACACACAGCCTGGCATATCCTGAGGCTGTGTGGTTCTGCAGAAAGCCCCACCTGGAAGAGAGGAACTTGGGGAAACACAGCTGGGCTGTAGCTAGAAATCACAGTGGGGCAACTTTCAAAAAGACTCACCCCTAGAACGTATAGGCATGCCTGATAAATCCTGCAGATCCTTTTGGATCTCTGGGAATTTTGCGGTTTATTCCTAGGGCTTTGCTTAACATTTCTTCTGGCTGGCTCACATCTGCCCTCTCCTCGAGTAATGGGACTATGCCATGGATCTCACAGAGAAGACAGGTAAGAGTCCGCCGCTGAAGCACCTCCACAAATATCTTTTCTGCCAAGCCCCAGGGACTTGTCGCTAGGCAACGGTGACATTCATTGTGATGTTAGCAAGAGCTCACATTCATGCCTGGTGCCCTGAGTCCAGATCATGCCTATTTGTGGGCAAACTCAAGAGCCTGGCTGTCAGAGTTGTCAGCTTACCTAAGCAGAGGAAAATGGTACAGGCAGAGCCACCCTGGTGTTGGGAGGTAGGCTGCCTGCAATTACCCACTGCAAAACCCTAAATGTTTTGACCTTAGGGCCACACAGGCCATCTTTGTGTTTGGGTCCTGCTGAAGGAGGAGGCATTTCAAGACTATGAGGTGGTCATGGATAACTGCTCTTCTGACTCCATTTCCCAAAGAGATTGTGTACAAGGATTGGGTCCCATGGTGATTGGAATGTAGTCTGGTTAGTTGAGGAGGGGTCTTTGGGTGATAGAATCATACCTGACACCCCAGAGGTGGGCATCAGTGAAAGATTGTCTTCTCACCCCTATCTGACCTCATTGCTTCTCATATTCTTTGTGCTAGAATGAAATCCCAAGACCATAAAAGAATGTCCCCTGATGATGTGAAGCACCTGCTTGGCTGGGAACCAAATTCAGGGTAAATGTGAGGGGATCTGAGGAAAACACTGCCAGTGTCTTTCCCTGGGTTGTCCACAGGCTAGTGAAACTCTGGGAGATGTCTGTTCTTGGGTGTGGTGTTCTCCTCTGCTTTCTAGAAAAGTGGCTTTTTTTGCAGGAAGAGGTGATTTGAACCACGGCATGTCTCAGCCAGCCTCCCAATTGACTGCAAATTTATGATCCACAGAAAAATAAAGAACATGGAGCCACGCAGCCAAAGTGGAGCCATGTGGACAGGCCACCAAAGGATTGAAAGACTCAAAAAAAAAAAGAGCTGCAGTGGGTTATCCACATTTCTTTAAGCAGACTCCACTTACAAGCACACACAAACACACACACACAGAAACACAAATCCACACCCACATGCAGAAATTCAACACTTGAAACATTCACAGAAACACGCAGCCCAGCAGTTTCTCAGGCTGTGTGGTTCTGCAGGAAGCACGATCTGGGAGAGAACAATCCTTGGGAGCACAGGCGGGCTGTACCTAGAAATCACAGAGGGGCAAGTTTCAGAAAGACTCATCTCTCCAATATCAAGCCAGCCCAAGAGTCATTCCGCAGATCCTTTTGGACCCTTAGGGCTTTCATGGTTTATTCCTGGGGCTATGCTTGAAATTTCTTGAGGATGGCTCAAGTCTGCCTGCTTCTAGGATCATGGGACTCTCCCATGGATCCCACAGAGAAGACAGGCAAGAGTATACCACCGATGCACCTCCACGAAGGTCTCCTCTGCCAAACAGGGACTTGTCATTAGGCAATGGTGGCATGCATTATGAGGCTAGCCAGAACTCACAGCTGAGGCTTGGTTCCCTGAGATTACTGTGTGTGCATTCAGGAGTCAGGTTTGTGTGCCCAGCTATAAGAGCTGTCTGCCTGACTAAGCTAAGGAAAGAGGAACAGGTAGAGGTGGCTAGGTATTTGGGAAGAGGCTGCCTGCAGTTACCCACTGTGGTACCCTATATTTCTAAACTTTAGGGACTTTTAAAACTGTCTCTGTGGTCAGATTCTGCTGCAGGAAGAGGACTTTTGAGACTGTGAGGTGGTCACTGGAAACTACTTTTCTGACTCCATTCCTGAAAGGGGCTGAGTGCAGGAATTGGGTCCAGTGGGGATTGGAATGCAGTCTAGTGAGTTGTTGAAAGGGTCTTTGAGTGATGTAATCATACCTGAGACCCTAGAGGTGAGTGTCAAAATATCATGGACATACCCTTGACCTCACTGCCTCCCTTCATCCTTGGCCTCACACGGGCTCTCTGGAAATGGCGGAAACCATGACAAATGCAAGTGCTAGGTGGAGCAGTGTTCCCATACCTCAAACTTGTCTCTGACGTGTGCAGAAGAGATGGACATAGTGTTGCAGAAGCCATCTGTGGTGATTGAAAGCCTGAAAAAGATGTCAGAAATGCTGTCATGGTGCAATTAGGAACCTACATGAAAACAAAGAAAAGTCAAGGCTCACCTATGAGAACAAACTGAATTGTCCTGGAGTCCCAGAAACATTCAAAGATTCATGCTACAGGACCCAGAAATCTTCTGCAAAGTGCAAACAACCTGAACCACCACAATAAGTTCACAACACACCACTGGGAGAACAGACAACCTACCCATGGTCCCTTTTGCTACCTGAAATCCCTGGCAGCCAAAAGAACTGTTGATGGGGGAACTCCTGTCCAACAAAAGCTTAATGAAAGAGCCCCTCCACAATGAGAAAGGACATGAAGATGAAGTGAAATAAGCCTTGATTTTCAGGCAAATCCAGACAGGGTTCGCTGCTTCTCATCCTGCAGGAATCAAGCAGTCTTTCAATAGAAGTGGGAGAACAGGGGCCAGGCACGGTGGCTCATGGTTGTAATTCCAGCACTTTGGGAGGCAGAAGTGAGTGGATCATGAGGTCAGGAGATCAAGAACATCCTGGATAACACCAGGATGAACCCTTGTCTCTACCAAAAAATACAAAAAAATTAGCCAAGCATGGTGCTGGGTGCTAGCAGTCCCAGCTACTCGGGGGGCTGAGGAAGAAGAATGGCCTAAACCCAGGAAGCAGAGCTTGCAGTGAGCTGAGATCATGCCACTGCACTCCAGTCTGGGCAACAGATTGAGACTTTGTCTCAAAAAAATAAAATAAAATAAAATAAAAATAAAATAAAATAAATAAAATAAAATAAAATAATATAAAAATAAAATAAATAAATAAGTTGGAGAACAAGAGTTTCCCTGTTGGTGGCTTTAATGGGAATTTTTGCTTTTAAAAAATCAAAGCTTCCCAGTCACTAAAACATGACAGTGTTTAAAAGGAAACACTCACACAATTGATTCCCCTGGGTGTCAACCTCCAGGAAGTGGGAAACATTTAGTGTGAAAGTTGTTGAGTGAAACCCAGGATACCGTAGGCTGACAAAGAACATGGAAGTCAAGAAAAGAAGAGGAAAGTGTGGATACCACATCCCACCGAGCATCAGTCCATCCCACTCCCATCTGGCTCCAGGAATGAAAGCCCTGAAATCGGGAGTTAGCTAGGATGGCCCCAGTTTGCACTCCAAACGTTCCCTGCATGTTGGAGTACTTCCTCATGAACACCGAGCCATGGTGTGGTTACTTGTGAAATCAAGGGAATGCAGGAATGCAGTTGGAAGAACCTTCTGAATCAGCTGTCTTCACCTTATTTACAGTTTAATGTGTGGGACTACACCTACCCTCACCAGATTGTATCCTTACCCCATCTGACCTTATTGCTGCTCACACTTTATGTCCCACAATGAAAACACAAGGCGATGGAGGAGATCCCCTTCATGATGTGAAGGACCTGCTTGCATGGGAACTGAATTTAGGTAAATTTAAGGGTCTTTGCAAACAGGACTGCTATTGTCTCTCCCTGGATTTGCCACAGAGCAATGAAACACAGAGAGATGTAAGTTCTTGGGTGTGACATGCTTATCTTCTTTCTAAAAGAGTGGCTTTTTTTCTCTCTCTTTTTTTACAGGGAGATGTGATTTGGACAGTGGTATGTCTCAGCCAGCCTCCCAATTAACTGCAGATTCATGACTCACAGAAAAATAAAGAACACAGAGTTCCACAGCTTAAGTAGAGAAACACAGGTCACCCAAAGGTTAGGAGACTCTGAAAAAAAGAAAAAAGAAAAGAAAAGAAATCAAGGCTAGCCTGAGAGAAGAAGCTGCCTTGTGCTGGAGTCCAAGCAATAGTCAATGATTCCTGTCAGAAGATTCAATAGCCTCATGTAAAGTGCAAACCGCCTTATCCCCCACAATGAAACAATGGCCCACAACCTGGAGTGCAGCCAGCCCAGATGAAGTCTGTTTTGTTCTCTGAAATACCTGGAAGCTAAATTATCTGTAGTGAGAGGCAGTTTCATACAGCAACAGACCAATGAAAAAGACCCTCCAAAATAAGAGAGCCATGCAGATGAAATAAAACAGAGACTATATTACCAGGCAAAAGCCAGACTTTGCTGCCTGCTTCTCATTCTACAGGAATCATGCAGCCCTCCGATAGAAGCAAAATAATAACTTTCCTTGTTGGTACTGTTAATGAGAATTTATGCTTTTAAAAGTATCATAATTTCCCAATCATTACAATTTGAGAGTTTTTACAAGAAAACAATCATGGAATGTATTCTGAAGAGGTTTGTAAGCCATGAACTGGGAAACGTTTAGTGTGGAAGTCATTGAGCCAGACCCAGGAAACACTAGACCAACAAGGAACATGGAAGTCAAGAAAAGAAGAGGCAAGTTTGGAGGCCACATCCCAACCAGCATCAATTGATTCCACTCCTATTTGGCTCCAGGTGTGAAAGCCCTCAAATCAGGAGTTTGCCTGGATGGCCCCAGTTTGCACTAGAAATGCTCCTTGCATGTTGGAGTCCTCCCACCTGAACACTAGGCCCATGGTGTAGACTAATTGTTTAATTAAGGGAATGTGAAAATGGAGTTGGAAGCACCTTCTGTATCATCTGTCTTTATTTTTTTTGTAGGTGAAGTTGTGGTACAGCATCCACCCCTCACCACATTGTGTCCTCACCTCTATCTGACCTATTGCTGCTCCTACTCTACATCTCATGATGAAATCCCAAGATGATGGGGGATTACCCTCTCATGACATGAAGCACCTGCTCAGTTGCAACAGAATTCAAGTTAAATTCAAAAGGCCCTGGGGACAGGACTGCTCATGTCTCTTCCTTGGTTGGCTGCAGGACAGTGAAACACTGGGAGATGTCTTATTTATTTATTTTTTATGTGTGTGTGTCTGTGTGTGTGTGTGTGTGTGTGTAGTGTGCTAGTCTTCTTTTCAGAAGACTGGCTTTTTTTTCTTTTTCTTTTTCTTTTTTCTTTTTTTTTCAGTGGAAGGTGTTTTGGCTGACTGCGGGTCTCAGCCAGCCTCTGTATTCACTGTGGATTCATGATCCACAGAAAAATAAGGAACACAGAGCCCCTTAACCAAAGCTGAGCCACACAGACAGGACACCAAAAGGTTGGGAGACTCAAAAAACAAAAGAAGTGCTGGTGTGTTAGCCACCTTCCTTTAAGCAGACTTCACTTACAGGCATGCGTACACACACACACTCACACATACAAGCAGACATCCAACATTCACAACACTTGCACAGAAACACACAGTTCAGCAGTTCCAGAGACTGCATAATTCTACAGGAAGCCCCACCTAGGAGAGAGCATCACCTGGTTACACTCGTGTGCTGTACCTAGTAATCACAGTTGGGCAAGTTGCAAAAAGGCTCACCACTACAAATTGTAGGCAGACCTGAGGAACCCTGCAGATCTTTTTGGATTCTTAGGTATTTCTTGATTTATTCCTGGGGCTATGCTTGACCTTTCCTTAGGCTGGCTTACATCTCCCCTTTCCTAAAATCATGGGACTATATTGTGGATCCCACAGAGAAGACAGATAAGAGTCCACCACTGATGCATCTCCACGGAGGTCTCATCCAGCGAGCCACAGGGACTTGTTGCTAGGCAACAGCTCACAATCAAGCCTGGTGCCCTGAGACTAGGGCAGGTGCATTCCTGATGCCGACTCTAGAGCCAGCTCTCTGACCTGTCAGCATGCCTAAGCAGAGAAAAATCATACAGGCAGTGCTTGTCTGGTATTGGGAGAAAGGCTCCCTATGAAAACTCAGAGTGGAGCCATAAAAGTCTCAACCTCATGACCCCTTCTGTTGTCTCCGTGGTCAGTTTCCGATGGAGGAGGAGGCATTTTGAGATTGTGAGGTGGCTGCTGGAAACTGCTCCTCTGACTTCATTCTGGAAAGATACTCTGTGCAAGAATTGAGTCCCACGGGAATTGGAATATAGTCTGGTGTGTTTTTGAGGGTTCTTTCACTGATAGAAACATAGGTAAGACCCCAAAGGTGGGTGTAAATGAAAGATGGCAGGACTGCTGTTGTTACTGCCTTCCTTCATCCAGGGCCTCAGAGGTGCTGTCTGGAAAAGGCAGGAATCACAACAAAGGGAAGTTCAATGTGGAGCAGTGTTTTCACACCTTGGACTGGCCTCTCACAGGTGCATATAAGATTGAGACAGCATCTCCAAGGCTGTCTGCACTGATGGCAAGCCAGTAAAGTATGCCAAGTAATGCTGTTGAAGGGCACTGTGGATTCCCCATGAAAGTAAGGAAAAATTAAGGCTCACCTGAGAGAATGAGCTGCCTTGGGCTGGAGTCCAACCAATGTTCAATGATTCCTGACAGAAGACCCTAAAGCCTCCTGCAAAGTGTAACTAAACTCAGTTCCTCCTGCAAAGTGCAACCAAACTCAGTTCCCACAACAAAACAATGACCAACAACTTCGACCACAGCCAGCTTAGCCAAAGTCTTTTTGCTCTCTGAAATACCTGGCAGCTAATTAATCTGTTCTGAGAGGCAGTCCAATCCAGTAGCAGCACAATGAAACCACACCTCCACAATTAGAAGGCTGTGCATATGAAATGAAACAGAAGCTAGATTACCAGGCAAATGCTAGACAAGGCTACCAGCTTCTTATGCTACAAGAATCATGCAACCCTCCAATAGAAGTGAAAGAAGAAAAGTATCTTTGTTGGAGTCTCTAATGACATTTTATGGTTTTATAAGTATCACAGCTGCCCTGTCATTAAAACGAGACAAAGCTTAGAAAGAAACACTCACAATGAGAGTCATTCTCATTGAATTGGGAAACGTTTACTGTGGAAGTCTTTGAGCCAGACCCAGGAAACCCTAGGCTGAGGAGGAAAATGGAAGGCAGGGAAAGAAGAGACAAGTGTGGAGGCCACATCCCACACAGCATCAATCCATTCCACTCCCATTTCACTCCAGGTATGAAAGCCCATAAATCAGGAGTTTTCCTGGTTAGCTGCTATTTGCACTAAAAATATTACTTGCACATTGGTGTACTTCTTCTACTGTAGCAGGATGAGCTGCAGACAAAACCCTTCAGACACCTAGTTAAATAAGGAAGTGTCTTTATTCTGCTGGGAGTTTGGGCAGATTGCATTTCAAAAACTGAGCTTCCTGAGAGAGAGTTTCTTGCCCCTTTAAAAGGCTTACACCTCTAAGTGAGCCCACTTGAAAGGGTCGTGATAGATTGGGCCAGCATGGACAATGTGGCTGGGCTCCATGCATTGGTAATCAGGACAGCACAGAAAGTTTCACATCCCTTTCTCATACAAGGTCTGAAATCTATAGATAATACAAATGTTTAGGTCAGGGGCTGATTTTTAACTAGCAGGCCTGGGCTGTGGCACTGGACTCTCTTACTATTGATCTCATTTCTGCCTTTCTTTAGCTTTTGCTTTCTCTTTCTTTTTCTGAGTTATGAGACAATAAGAAAGGTGGTCTCTTTCCTTATTACCCCCTTTGAGGATCTCACTTATTAGTGGGAGTACTTATCATCCTCAGTACCTGGGTCTTCCTGCAAGACAGATTGATATGGATTCATGTAACATACTTGTTCTGAAGCACTTTGGTGGACAAAGTCAGTAACAGACTTTCTCATTATTTGAAGGAGCATGGGCAGCAAGTAGGAGAACAACAAGCCAGTTCCTATTTCTATTGTTATTCTTATTACAATAGTTTTAAATCTTCCTAGTGCTGGGATACCATTTTCCAAATACTAATCCAGGATCAAACCCATGTAAAACCTGTATAAAAACATGTGCCAGCTTTGTCATATCTCTGATTATATTTTTGACATTTTTCCTTGATCTTCTATATGCGGACAGCCATTGACTAGGTTAAATTTTCCACAGACTGCTCCTTCAGCTGCTAGCAAGTAGTCTAGGGCTAATCTATTTTGATAAATAGCATTTGTCATCTAGATTTACTGCCTAGCTAAAGCAGTCAAAACTCTACTGATTTTATTAGTGATTATTTCTAAGACAGCTTGCAACTATATGATCCTGTTGATCATTTAATGGGGGTTTGGCATCCCCAGAGCTATATTGTGCCCAAGGGTCAGGTTGATATTACTGTATGATTATTTCAGGGGGCCACTCATCATCTTTTCAATCACCGGTAGCTATGCTTCTCTTTTCTAAGGAAGCATAGACCAGAAAACCCAGGAGTTCACCTGTTTTCCTGAGCAGTAGGAATAAAGATGGTTTAATGGTGCTGATAACACAACTACCTGACCATTGGTGAGATAACTTGGGGTAGGCTCTATGCCCACATATCCGTTATAGTCTAGTGGTGGCAGTCTAGTCCCAATGAGTCTCTGAATGGGTCCACATAGATTACAACTTTGGAAATTTATTAAATGGATTTTTCTCAGTGTGGTTTGAAACCCACCAAATGGCTGTTTTTACTTTGCCATTATACAGTTTTTGCCCAAGGCAGATGAGCCTTCCCAGAGGGAGGGTGAAGTTCTTTCCTTCTCTAACTATGCAGTACTGCCTAATAATTGGGTAGTTAAGAACCAGAAGTTGTCAGTGTGGGCATTCTGGACTGGAATCCTATCAGGAACTGGATTAGTGGGCACTAATTCTCCGGTTTCCCAACACCACTGTTCTTCCACAGTGGTTAACTCACATACATAACAGGAAGTACATTGAGGGAATGGGCTACATTTTCTGCTAACAGCAGGAACAGCTTCTTTGTCTTCCCTGGGAGCCCTGGTACTGGCACATTCAATTCATCATACAAGGTCTGAAACACTGGTTTGAGAGAGTGCCTTTTCAACACTCCTAGGACTAAAATATTTACTCGAGGACCAGTTCAGCTCCATTGATCCATAGAGTTACATGTTCTCCCTTTTGTCAATGGGGGACTAGGAGTTTGGTGATTATTACTTCTAAGGGGTTACAGTGGCCATTCATGCAAGAGGAATCACCCTTTCCTTTTTAAAGCCATACCAGATCTTTTTCATTCTTTTTCCAGGTAGCCCAAATGATGCCAGACCAGTAATTCCATACTTTTTCACATAAGCCTAACTCATGACAAATATACTAATTGTCTGCTGTATAACTTTTTTATCAATCTAGAGAGCCACATCCTAATCCTTACTGGTTGCTATTGATGGATTCACAAGCATCAAAATTTAAGATTATCTGTTTGGGGTTTCCTTTTTCTTCTATTTTAGCTATTGTTTTACTTGTATCAGTAAGAAATGGACCAGTTCTTCATCTTATTTCAAAGACTGTGATCATAGGAGGCTCAGATGGGTTGTAGTACAAATCAGGTCAGTCATTTCCTAGGCTGCACACTTTATACTGAGTCGAATTATATAGGCAAGTTCCTTTTGAAGTTCCTAGGCATTCATAATAAATATAAAACAAAAAGATTCTTTGAACTTGTTGTACTACCTCAGTAACCTGATGAATAAACTGGGAACAGTCCTCCATGCAGGAAAAATCAGTCTTTATTATAGAAGTACAAATTTTAAGGAGAATAAATCCCATGATGAGTATCCTCATTCTTTTGCCATGCATACAACAGTAAGCTTCTGGTTGTGACTGTAGCAGGGCTTGCCATCTTTCTCAATGTCACTTTGCAGGGGTCCACCAGGCTCAGTCTCACCTCTCAGGTCTCAGACAATGTAGATGATACATGACTGTGATTGATCCAGGCTGGGAATCCTTCTATTTTCATGCTGTGAGAGTCGTCAAAATGATGGTCTGGGGTCCTTCCCACCGTAGTTGTGGGTGGGCTACATTCCAGTCCTTGATCCACACATGATCACTTGGGGAGAAGAGGTGAACAAGGAAGAATAAGCTAATAGGGCAACTTTCATTTACCCAGGCTGAAATTGTTTGTGTAATTTTTCCTACAGCCTGTAGTTGTTGCTCTAACTCAATTTCACCTAAATCTTGAGGCGTCCCTGGGTGTCTCTATAATAAGGGAGGGGTTCTGTGATATGACATTTCATAAGGGGAATATCCTGTCCTTTTACAAGGGGTACATCTTGTCTTAAACAATACCATAGGGAGAGCCTGTAATCATTTTAATCTTGTTGCCTGGCACACATTCCCTAAGCTATTTTTCATAGTCCAATTCAATCGTAACACATTTCCAGAACTAAGAGGTAGGTAGGCTGCATGCAGTTTCCATGTGATCCCCAATATGTTTACTGTCTTCTGCACGAAATCAGCCACAAATGCCAGCCCATGACATGAGCTGATTCATAAGGGCAGTTCAAATCTAGGAATAAGATCTCGAAGAAGCACATGGGTTACTTCATGAGCTTTTCAGTTTGTGTTGGGTAAGCCTCTACCCACCAAGAGTAGGTAGACACAAGAACTAGAAAATACTTGTTACCTCCACACTTTGGCATTCCTGTGAAGTCCACCTGGAGGTCTTCAAAAGGGGCTGCTCCCTCAAGTTGTATGCTGGGCAGAACGGCTGGACCCTGCCTCACATTGTGCTGTTGGCAGGTAATACATCACTGCACCACCGTTCTGGCAAGGGCTGAAAAATATGAGACACAGAAGTACCTGCATAACAACTTGTCAAGTGATTCCTGACCTAGATGGGTAGTTTCATGCACAGCAACCTCAAATGAGACTCCTAGCAGTTGTGGCATGGTTGTTCTTCCCTCTGGTAACCAGATCCATCCCTCTTTTGCTGTATGCCCTCCTTCACCTGAAAAAAGGCTTTCTCTTCTTTAGAATAGGTAGGTACAAGGTCAGATGCCTGAGGAAGCAGGAGGGCTTAGACTGATGACTGGTAAGGGCCAGAGACTGATTTTCAAACCTCTGAGTCACCTCTGGAGTTCACTAAAGCAACCATGGTAGAAGCTCCCTGGTGTCTACTGCAATGCATGACTGCCACATTTTGGGGTTTCCATACTGTTTCTAATAATTGCACAATTTCTTGCTGATGTTTTATGTACTTTCCTTCAGAGTTTAACAGGACCTTTACTTTTATAATGCTCCATGCGCTTGGAGGGATAAGAAGTCACACCGAGAGTCAGTGTAAATGTTTACAGTCTTACCTTCACTGAGTTCCAAGACCTGAATTAAAGCAATGAGCTCAGCTTTCTGGGCTGAAGCATCCTGGGGCAAGAGTATGGCCTCCATGACAGTGTCCAGGGTCACCACTGCATATTCTGCATACCTTTCTCCTTGTGGGTTGACAAAATTCTTACCCTCCAAGTACAAATCCTAGTCCACATATGCCCAAGGCTTGTTCCACATGTCAGGTATTCTAGAGTAAACTGAGTCCAACACCTTCACACAGTTATCCTCAACTGGGCTTTCTGATACTGGAAGCAAGGTGGCAGGGTTCAGGTTGTTACAAACTTCAATGGTTATGCGGGGATTTTCACAGAGCAAGATTTGGTACCTAGTCTACCATTCTTTATCCAGTGATGTCCTTTTGTATTCATTAAAATCACCACAGCAAGGGGGGCCTTAATGTTCATGTTTTGTCCAAGAGTTAGTTTATCTGCTTCTTGTGCCAGCAGGGCAGTTACTGATAAGTCCCTCAAACATGATGCCCAGCTTTTAGAAACCCTGTCTATTTGTTTAGAGAAGTAGGCCATCAGCCTTTGACAGTTCATACTCGCAAACCCAGCCTGTTCCTGAAGTTTTTTTCTAATATCTTCTTTGCTTTGACTATCTAGAGTCATGTTAATCATGCACTAATTTTCAGGGCTTTCAGAATCAAAGAGAGTATACATATGATAGGCCTCACAGAGTACCTTTCATAAAATTATGCCAGACTCTCTTCTTTTCCTTGAATGACCTCAGAGACTTTGTTAACATTTGTGGCCTTCTGAGCTCCCTTCTTTAACCCTTCTAGGAGGGCTTTCCTATATCAGTTTAGCCTTTCTATACCTTCCCCTTATTTTGGGTTCCACATGCTCCTGGGGGTTTTTGTAATTGGCCAGAACACGTTTCTCCAGCCACTTGGTTGCCATCTAGAGCACTCTTCATCTTTCATCTGTGTTAAGGAGGTATATTAGCAACTGATGGCAATCAGTCCAAGTAGGATTGTGTGTCTGGATCACAGTTTGGAGCAAATCAATTAAAGCTTGAGGCTTTTCAGTATAAGATGGGGTACTGCTTTTTCAAATTAGGAGATCAGCAGAGGTAAAGTGTCGATACACAGAGGCATGCCTTTCCACCATATGCCCATGCTCATCTACCCCAGTATACCACTGTTCCTTCAGGGGCCTTTGTATTCCAGTCTTATGTTGTAAATGAGCTGCCAAAGGCGGGGTTCCTCCCGTGGCTTCACATCTTCTTTTGTCTACTCTGGGTGGCCTAGGGATGTGTGTGTCCTGCAGAGGCACACGTGCTGTGGGCAGTCTCTCTTCTTGGTGAAGAAGGCCATAACTGGTGCCATTTCCTGCCATGGGTCTTCTGATATTGGGTCAGACTGAAATTTAGGAGCCAACTTCCCTCATCAGGTGGAGCCCAATCCTTCCTTGGATATATGTCGCTTTGCCACTAACACTGCTTCTGCTGCCTGACCTCTTAACTACTGTGGAGGTTCTAAAACCAGCCTTAACCAGTGTCTATGTACAGAAACAGGTCTGGATGCCCTGGCTTACAGGTTATCTTGTGCTATAACTTTGAAACAAGGGACCTATCTAGGCTTCCTTCTGACAGCCAAACCACTTCTAATGCTGGCCAGTCTATCTCACACAAAGTTCTAAGTATCCTTGATATAGTAACTCCATAGTCTCCTTTAAATCCCTTCTTGAAATTTTTCAACATAGTTCCTAGTGGGGTGGGCTTACTTTTTGTCTGAACCATTTTTCTCCTGAGACAAGACAACATTTGCACTGCAAGGGGGAAAGGGCAAAGGTCACTTACACATCTAATTCATTACATCAAGTAAATGAAGCCAAGTCCAAATCAAAACCAAAACCAAAGTGCTGATAAAGTCATGCCATGGGTGATCAGGCCACGCTTTCACTCAAATGGAGTTGGTAAATTCTCAAGACCAGTCTTATCATGTTCCAGATGTCTGTACTCCAAGTGCCAGTTCCCTTAGGGCATGCAGCCACAGTGTCAATACTCTGTGGGGGCCTGCTGTGCACTGCTCTGGCAAGGTGTTCCACTACGGTAATTGCTTACACGGGAGCACTCTCAGGATCCCCGTTTCTCAAGCTGGCCAAAGCCCAGCACAAGCATGCTCTACAGGGCAGGCCTAAGCCACCTAAGAGGCTGCATCGACTGTCCACTAATCAGTTCACTTACACGTAGGGGAATCACAAAATGTAGCAGAACAAGCTGTGGACAAAACCCTTCAGATACCATGTTAAAGAAAGAAGTGGCTTCATTTGGCTGGGAGCATCGCAGACTTGCATCTCACAAACTGAGCTCCCCAATAGAGAGATTCCTGCCCCTTTTAAAGGCTTACAACTTTAAGGGCCCATATGAAAGGGCTGTGATTGGTTGAGCTGGCAGCGGGTATGTGACTGGGGTGGTATGCATCAATAATCAGGAAGGAACAGAAGAGAACAGTAGAGAAAGTTTCACAATGCTTCCTCATACAACGTCTGCAATCTATAGATAATACAAGCGCTTAGGTCAGGGACTCAATTTTAACTACCAGGCCTGGGGTGTGAGGCTGCGCTGTCTGACTATTGATCTCATTTTTGCCTTTCTTTAGCTTTTGCTTCTTCTTTCTTATTCTGAGTTATGAGATAATAAGAGAGGTGGTCTCCTTCCTTACCACCTAAACACTCAGCCATGGTGTGGACTACTTGTGCCATTAAGGAAAAGTGGGGATGGAGTTGGAAGCACTTTTTGTATCATCTGTCTTCATTTTTTTTGCAGGTGAAGTTGTGGGACCCCATCCACCAATCACCAGGTTGTTTCCTCACCCCATCTGACCTTATTGCTGCTTACACTCTGTCCCAGCATGAAATATCAAGATGATGGAGAAGTGCCCCCTCCCTACATGAAGCACCTGGTCAGCTGGAAACTGAATTTGATGTGACTCCAAGGAGTCCTGCTGACAGAACTGCCAGTGTCTCTTGCTGGGTTGGCCTAAGGACAATGAAACACTGGAAGATGTCCCTTTTTTGGTGTGATATGCTACTCTTCTTTCTACAAGAGTGGCTTTTTTTTCTTTTTTCATGGGGCAGAGTTTTGGAGGCCTGAGAGTCTTGGTCCCCTCCCAATACATTGCAGTCCATGATCCACAGAAAAATAAAGAACATGGAACCCCACAGCCCAAGAAGAGCCACACAGGAAGGCCACCAAAATGTTAGAATACTCAGAAAAAAAAATCCAAGAAGTGCGTTAGCCACATTTCTTTAAGCAGACTTCACTTACAGGCACACACACACACAAACACAATAGCACACACACACAGACATCCAACACTCATAACATTCCCACAGAAACACACAGCCTGGCAGTTTCTGAGACTCTGTGGTTTTGTAGGAAGACCCAACTATGAAAGAGCAACCACGGGAGACACAGATGGGCTGTACCTAAAAATCACAGTATGGAAAGTTTCAAAAATACTCACACCTACAAAGTCTAGGCAGGAATGAGAAATCCTGTGAATCCTTTTGGATCCTTAGGGATTTCACAGTTTATTTCAGGGGCTCTGACTGACATTTTTTCAGGCTGGCTCACTTCTGCCCTCTCCTCTATTCATGGGATTATGGCATAGGTTCCAAAGAGAAGACAAATATGGGTCCAATGCCAAAGAACCTCGACGGATATTTTCTTCTCCACCAAGTTACAGGGACTTGTCACTAAACAATGGTGACATTCATTGTGATGCTAGTCAGAGCCCACATTCAGGCCTGGTGCCCTGAGACTAGCTGATGAGCATTCATGAAGCAGGCTCCGGTGCCCAGCTGTTAGAATTGTCAGCCAGCCTAAGCAGAGAAAAATGGTACAGGCAGAACTGACTTGATACCAGTAATAAAGCAGCCTGGGATAACCCATTGCTGGACCCTAAAAGTCTCAACTTCAGTGCCCTTTCTGGCTGTCTCCATGGTCAGATCTACCTGAAAGGGGAGGTGTTTCAAGACAGTGAGGTGTTTCCCAGAAACTGTTCTTCTGACTCCATTACCAAAAGAGACTGTGTACCAGAATCGGGTCCCATGGAGATTGGAATAAAATCTGGTGCGTTGTTGAGCATTCCTTAGGAGATAGAACCATACCTGAGACCCCAGAGGTGGGTGTCAGTGAAAGATGGCTGGGCTCTTTATCTCACTGCCTCCCTTCATCCTGAGCCTTGTAGCAGCTCTCTGGGAAAGACAGGAATTATGACAAAGGCAAGTCCAAAGTGGTGCAGTGTTCTCCCCCTTGGACTGGCCTCTCACAGGTGCAGATGAGGTTGAAATCGGGTCTCAGATGTTGTCTGTGGTGATGGCAAGCCTGAAAAGTGTGTCTAGTAGTGCTGCTGAGAGGCACTGTGGGTTCTCCATGGTAGAAAAGAAAAATCAAGGCTCACCTAAGTGAAAGACCTGTCTTGTGCGGCAGTCCAATTAATGTTCAATGATTCATGTCAGAGAACCCAAAAGTCTCCTGCAAAGTGCAAACAACCGCAGTCCCCACAAGGAGATAATGACCCAAAACCTGGAGAGCAGCCATCCTACCTGAAGTCTCTTGTGCTCTTTGAAATCCCTGGCAGCCAAATAATCTGTGGCAAGAGGCTGTTCCATCCAGCAGCAGACAATGAAAAAGCCCCTCCTAATGAGAAGACTTGCAGATGAAATACAACAGAGGCTTGATCACCATGCAAAAGCCAAAATAGGCTGTCTGTTTCTCATCTTACAGGAATAATGCAGCCCTCTGAAAGAAGTGAAAGAACAGGAATTTCCTAGTTGGTGGCTGCAATGGGAACTTATAGTTTTAAAAATATCAAAGTTGCCCTGTCATTAAAACTTGACGGTGTTTAGAATTAAACACCGTCGCAATGGATTCCCATAAGGCTCATTCTTTGTGAACTCGGAAATGTTCAGTTTGAAAGTCATTGAGCCAGACATAGAAAACACTAGCCCAATGAGGGACATGGAATTCAGGGAAAGAAGAGGCAAGTGTGAAGGCCACATTTCACCCAACATCAAAATATTTTACTCCCATTTGGCTCCAGGTATGAAAGCCCTTAAATCAGGAGTTTGCCAGGAAAGCTCCAACTTGCACTTCAAACGTTCCTTAAACTTTGGAGTATTCCCAACTGAACGCCAGGCCATGGAGTGGACTGCTTGTGCAATTAGGGGAATGCAAGAGTGGTTTCAGAAGCACATTCAGTGTCATGGGTCTTCATTTTTTTTGCAGGTGAGGTTGCTTGATCCCATCCACCCCTCACCAGAATGAATCCTCACCCCTACCTGACCTTACTGCTGCTCATTTTCTATGTCCTAAGATGAAATCTCAACACAAACGGAGGAGTGACCCCTCACTACATGAAGCACCTGCTCTGCTGGGAACTGAATTCGAGGTAACCCTTTAAAGGGGCCCTGCAGAAAGAACTGCTAGTGTCTCTCCCTGGGTTGGCCACAGCACAATAAAACACAGAAATGTTTGTCTTTTGGTGTGATGTCCTTCTCCTATTCCTAGAAGACTGGCTTTTTTATTATTATTATTTTTTGGCATAGGGAGGTGATTGGGATGGTGGCAGGTTTCAGCATGTGTGCAAATTCACTGTGGATTAATGACCTACAGAAAAATAAAGAATACAGAGCCTGCAGCCCAAGCAGAGCAATACAGACAGGCCACCAAATGGTGAGAGACTAAAAAAAGGGTGCTGAAATGCATTTGCCACAATTCTTTAAGCAGACTTCACTTACAGACAGACAGACACACAAACACACAATGCCACACACACTCAGACATCCAACACTCTCAACAATCCTACAGAAACACAAAGCCCAGCAGTTCCTGAGGCTGTGTAGTTTCTCAGTAAGCCCCAACTGGGAGAGAGATACCTCAAAGAAGAGATATGGGCTATACCTAAAAATCACAGCGGTGGAAGTTTCAAACAGACTCTCCCCTACAAAGCCTAGGCAGGCTTGAGGAATTCTACAGATCCATTTAAATCCATAGGGATTTCTCAGTTTATTCCTGGGGCTCTGCTTGCCATTTCTTCAGGCTGTTTCACTTATGTTCTCTCCTAAGATGATGAGACAATCACTTAAATCCCACAAAAAAGACAGTCGAGAGCCAAAGGCCAACTCACATCTAAGGAATTCTCCTCTACCAAGCTGCAGGTACTTGTCACTAGGAAATGGTGACATTCATTATGAGGCAAGGCAAAGCTCACAATCAGGCCAGGTGCCCTGAGACTAGAATACACACATTCATAAGGGAGGTTAGGACACACAGCTTTTAGAGCCATCATTCTGCTGAAGCAGAGGAAAATGAAACAGCCAGAGCCCACTTGGTATGAGGAACAAGGCTGCCTGTGAAAACTCACAGTGGGACGCTAAAAGTCTGGACCTCAGGGCATCTTCATGATGTCTCCTTAGTCAGGTGCCACTGGAGGAGGAGGCATTTTGATACTGTGAGGTGGTCGCTGGAAACTGCTCTTCTGACTCCATTCTGGAAAGAGACTGTTTTCAATAATCTGGCCCCATGAGGATTGGAATATAGTCTGGTGTGTTGCTGAGGGTTCTTTGGGTGATGGAATAATATCTGTGACCCTAGAGGTGGATGTCAGCAAAAGATGGCTGGGTACATGTCCTCACTGCCTCCCTGTATCCTGGGCCTCAAAGGGGCTCTCTGAGAAAGGCAGGAACCATGACAAAGGCAAGTCCAAAGTGGAGCAGTGTTCCCACTCCTTGAACTGGCCTCCCACAGGTGAAGATGAGGTTAAGACAGTGTCTCAGACACGGTCTGTGGAAATGGCCAGCCTGAAAATGGTGTCCCATGGTGTTGTTGAGGGGCACCGAGGACTCCACATGAAAGCAAAGAAGAATCAAAATCACCTGAGGCAATGAGCTGCCCTGTGCTGGAGTCCAAGCAATATTTAATAATTTTTGTCAGAACATTAAAAAACCT
Source organism: Homo sapiens (assembly GCF_000001405.40). Classification (NCBI taxonomy): domain Eukaryota; kingdom Metazoa; phylum Chordata; class Mammalia; order Primates; family Hominidae; genus Homo; species Homo sapiens. Next base: position 8,641,923 of record NC_000024.10, on the reverse strand, counting down.
CCTGCAAAGTGCAAAGCCCCTCAGCCCCCATAAGGAGACAACAAACCACAACCTGGAGTGCAGCCAGCCTGCCTGTATTCCCTTTTTGCTCTCTGAAAACCCTGGAGACTAAATAATCTGTAAGGACAGGCAATTCCATCCAGCAACTGTCCAATAAAAGAGATTTTCCATAATGAGATGTCCGTGAAGATGAAATGAAACAAAGGCCACATTACCAGACAAAGGCCAGACACACCTCCCTGCTTCTCATCCAACAGGAATCATGCAGCTCTCCAACAGAAATGGGAGAACAAGAGATTTCTTGTTGGTGGCTCTAATGGGAATTAACAGTTTTAAAAATATCAAAGCTGCCCAGGTATTAAAAAGTGAGAGTGTTTAGAAGGAAACACTCTGGTAATATATTCCCATGAGGGTGTTCTCCATGAACTAGGAAATGTTTAGTGTGGAACTCATTGAGCCAGACCCAGGAAACCCTACGCCAATGAGAAACATAGAACTCAGGAAAATAAGAGGGAAGTGTACCAGCCACATCCCACAAAGAATCAATGAATTCCATTCCCATTTGTTTTCAGGTATGAAAGCCCTCAAATCGGGAGTTTGCCAAAGTGGCCCTGACTTGCACTCCTATTGTTCCTTGTACGTTGGAGTACTCCCAACTAAAAACTGAGCCACAGTGTGGACTGCTTGTGCAATTAAGGGAATGCAGGCATGGAGTTGGGAGTACCTTCTGTGTCCTCTGTCTTCATTTTTTTTTTGGAAGGTGAAGTTGTGGGACCCCACCCACTCCTCACCAGATTGTATCTTCACCCCATCTGAGCATGCTGCTCCTCATACTCTATGTCCCAGAATGAAATCACAAGATGTTGCAGAAGTGCTACCTCATGACATGAAGAACCTGCTCAGCTGGAAATTGAATTCTATGTAAATTCAAGGGTCCCTGCGGACAAGATTGCTAGTGTCTCTCTCCCTTGGTTGGTCACAGGACAATAAAACACTGGGAGATGTCTATTTTTTTTGGTGTTGTGTGTTTCTCATCTTTTTAGAAGATTGGCTTTTTTTGCAGGTGTAGATGATTTGGACACCAGTGGCTCTCGGCAACCCTCCCAATTCACAGTGGATTTATGATCCACAGAAAAATAAAAAACAGGGAACACTGCAGCACAAGCAAAACCACACAAACAGGCCAGCAAATGGCTGGGAGACACACAAAAAGAAACGCTGAAGTGTATTAGCCACATTTCTGTAATCCATCTCCACTTACAGGCCAACACACACACACACACAAAGACACCCTCACAAAAACACAATGCCACACTCATATGCAGATATCCAACACTTGAAACACTCTCTGAGACTAGCATATGTGCATTAGTGATGCATGCTCAGGCGCCTGGCAGTCAGAGCTGTCAGCTTGCCTAAGCGGAATATGGTACAGGAAGAGCCAGTCTGGTATCAGGAAAAAGGCTGCCTGTGATAATCCACTCCCAAATTATAAAATGTCAATCTTAAGGGTCCTTCAGGATGTCTCCATGTTCGGGTCCCTTTAGGGAAGGAGGCGTTTTGGGATGGTGAGGTGGTTGCTGGAAACTGCTCTTCTGACTGTGTTTCCTAAAGAGGCTGTGTGCCAGTATCGGGTCCCACGTGGTTTGCAATATAGACTTGGGAGTTGTTGAGGGGTAATTGGGTGATAGAATTATACCTGAAATCCCAGAGGCAGGTGTCACCAAAAGATGCCTAAGCCTTGACCTCACTGTCTCCCTTCATCTTTGCCCTAGCACAAGAGATCTTGGAAAGACAGGAACCATCATAAAGGCAAATCCAAGGTGGAGCAGTGTTCTCACATCTTGAACTAGCCTTTTACATATGCAGATGAGGTTGAGACAGTGTCTCAAGAGGTCATTAGTGGTGATTGAAAGCCTGAAAACTTCGTCCAGTAGAACTGTTGAGGTGCACTGTGGCTTTTTCATGAGAGCAAATAAAAATCAAGGCTCACCAGAGAGAACAAGCTGTCTTGTGCTCGAGTCCAAGCAACATTCCAAGATTCCTGGAAGGGGATCCAAAAGCCTCCTGCAAAGTGCACACACCCACAGCCCCCACACAGACAACAACCACAACCTGGAACACAGCCAGCCTACCTGAAATCCCATTTGCTCCCTGAATTCCATGGCAGCCAAAGATGTTTAATGAGAGGCAGTCCCATTAGGCAAGAGCCCAATGGAAGACCCTCTCCACAATTAGAAGTGACAGGCAGATGAAATGAGTCAGAGCTTTGATCCCAAGCCAGGCAATGCTGTCTGCTTGTCATTTTACAGGAATCATGCAGTCCTCTGACAGAAGTGGAAGAATAAGTCTCCTTGTTGGCGGCTGTAATGGGAATTTATGTTTTTAAAGATATCATAGCTGCCCAGTCATTAAAACATGACAGTGTCTACAAGGAAACACACACACGCAGAGTGGAATCCCATGAGGATCGTTCTCCATGAACTGTGTAAACTTTAGAGTGGAAGACGTTGAGACTGACCCAGGAATCCATCGGCCGATGAGGAAGATGGAATTCAGAAAAAGAAGAGGCAAGTGTGGAGGGCACATTCCCCCCAGCATCAATACATCTCACACCCATTTTGCTTGAGGTATGAAAGTCCTCAAATCGGGAATTTGCCAGGAGGGCCACAGATTGCACTTCAAATAGCCCCTCCATGCTATAGTACTCCCATGTGAACACCAGGCCATGCTGTGGACTGCTTGTGCAATTAAGAGAAAGCTGGGTTGCAGTTAGAAGCACCATCTGTGTAATCTGTCTTCATGATTTTTGCAAATGAAGGTGTGGGACTCTATTTATCCCTCACCAGATTGTATCCTAACCCCTGTCTGACCTTGTTGATACTCATACTCTCTTTCACAGAATGAAATCCCAAGATGATGGAGGAGTGCCCCATGATGATGTGAAGCACCTGCCCTGCTGTAAACTGAATTCAAGGTAAATTCAAGGGGCCCTTCAGACAGGACTGCTAGTGTCTCACTCTGGGTGGCACTCACTCTGGGTGGCATGACAATGAAATACAGGGAGACATCTATTATTGGATGTGCATGCTCCTCTTCTTTCTAGAAGAATAGTTTTTTTGTTTTTTTTGTTTGTTTTTTTTTCAGTGGGAGGTAATTTCAACCAGGCTTGTCTCAGCCACCCTCCCAATTTACTGCGGATTCATGATCCAACAGAAAATAAAGAACACAGAGCACCACAGCGCAAGCAGAGCCACACAGACAGTCCACCAAAAGGTTGGGAGATTTAAAAAAATGTGCTGCAGTGCATTAATCACATTTATTTAAGCAAACTCCACTTACAGCCACACGCACACACAAAAACACGCAAAAGCAAAAAGCCACAGACACACACAGACATCCAACACTCACAAAACCCACAAAGAAAAACACAGCTTGGCAGCTTCTGAGGCTGCCTGTTTCTGTAGGAAGCCCCATCTGGGAGAGAGCAACCCCTGAGTATACAGGTAGGCTGTACCTGGAAATCACAGTGGTGCAGGTTTCTTTAGGCTGGCTCATGTCTGCCCTCTACTAAGATCATGGAACTATGCCGTGATCCCACAGAGAAGACAGGCGAGAGTCCACCGCTGACGCATCACCAGGGAAGTCTCCTTCTCTGCCAGACCACAGAGACTTGTCGCTAGGCAATGGTGACATTCATTGTGATGCTAGTGAGAGCTCACAGCTCAGGCCTGGTGTTCTGAGACTGGTACATACACATTCAGGAGCAGGCTCCAGCACCTATCCATCAGAGCTGTCAGCCTGCCTAAGTAGAGAAAAATGGTACAGGCAGAGCTGGCCTGGTATCAGGAGAATGGCTGACTGTGATAGCCCACTGCTGGAACCTTAAAGTCTTGACCCTAGGGCCACTTCAGGCAGTCTCCGTGGTCAGTTCCCACTAGAGGAGGTTGTGTTTCAAGATTGTGAAATGGTAGCTGGAAACTGCTTTTCTGACTGTATTCCCTATAGAGGCCCTGTGCAAGAATCGGGTCCCATGGGGAACAGAATGTAGTCTGGTGAATTGCGCAGGGGTCTTTGGGTTATAGTGTCATCCTGAGACCCCAGAAGCAAGTGCCAGTGAAAGATGGCCAGGCCCTTAACCTCACTGCCTCCCTTCATCCTAGGCCTTGCATGAGCTTTCTGGGAAAGGGAGGAATCATGACAAAGACACGTCCAAATTGCAGCATTATTCTCACACCTCGAACTGGCCTCCAATGGGCACAGATGAGGTTGAGACAGTGACTCAGAAGCCATCTGTGGTGATGGCACACCTGAAAAGCCTGTCCAGTATTGCTATTGAGGGACATTGTGGATGCCCCACGGAAGCAAAAAAAAAAAAAATCAAGGCTCACATAAGAGAAACAGAAGACTTGTGTTGGAGTCGAAGCAACGTTCAAAGTTTCCTGTCAGAGGACCCTAAAGACTCCTGGAAACTGCAAACAACCTCAGAACCACAATGAGAATATGACCCACAAACTGGAGTGCAGCCAGCCTGCCCAAAGTCCCTTTTGCTTCCTGAAATCCCTGGTAGCCTACAGAACTATGGCAAGAGGCAGCCTCATCCAGCAACAGCTTAATGAAAGATACCCTCCACAATGAGAAAGAATACGCAGATGCAATGAAATAGAACCTAGATTACTAGGCAAATGACAGACACAGCTGCCTGATTCTCATCCTACAGGAAACATGCAGGACTGCCATGAAAGCTGGAGAAGAAGAGTTGGCTTGTTGGCAACTGTAATGGAATTTACAGTTTTGAAATTATCACAGCTGCCCAGTCATTAAAATGATAAAGTATTTAGAAGGAATCACACAGGCAGTGGATTTTCTTGAGGGTCACCTTCTTGAACTCATAAATATTTAGCATGGAAAAGGTTGAGTCAGAAACAGTAAACCTGAGGCCGAAAAAAATAAATAAATAAGTTGGAAGTTAGGAAAAAAAAGAGGTAAGTGTGCAGACCACATTTCATAATGTATCAATCAATCTCACTCTCATTTGTCTCTGAGTATGAAACCCCTCAAATTGTAAGTTAGCCAGGATGTCTCCAGTTTGCACTTCATGTGTTCCCTGCACTTTGGAGTATTTCTACCTGAACAGCAGGCAATGATGTGGACAGCTTGTGCAATAAAGGAAATGTGGGGATGCTGTTGGAATCACCTTCAGAGTCATCTTCTTCACATTTTTTGCAGGTGAATATTCTGGACACCATCCACCCCTCACCAGATTTTATCCTCATTGCTACTTGACCTTATTTCTGCTCACACTCTCTATCCCAAAATGAAATCCAAAGACAATGGAAAAGTGTCCACTCACGAAGTGAAGCACCTCCTCGGTGGGCAAAAAAAAATCGAGATAAATTCAAGGGGCCTTGCAGACAGGACTGGTAGTGTCTCTCTTTGGGTTGGTGGCAGGAGTATAAAATACTGAGAGATGGCTGTTCCTGGGTGTGATATGTTTCCCTTCTTCCAGAAGAGTGGGTTTTTTTTTGGCAAAAGTAGGTGATTTGGACCTTAGTATGTCTGAGCCTGCCTCCCAATTGACTAAATGTTCATGATTCACAGAAAAATAATGAACACGGATCCCCACAGCCCAAGCAGAGCCACACCGGCCACCAGAAAGTTGTGAGACCAAAAAAAGAAACTCTGCAATGCGTTAGTTACATATTTTTAAGCAGACTCCACTTGCAGTCACACACACACACACACACACACACACACACACACACAAAGCCACACACAGACATCCAAAACTTGCAACACTCTCAAAGAAACACACAGCCTGGCAGCTCTTGAGGCTGCATGGCTCTGCAGGAAGAACCTGAAAGAGTGCAACACCAGGGAAAACAGATGGGGAAAACAGGCGGGCTCTACCTAGAAATCAAAGTGGGGCAAGTTTCAAAAAGTCTCACCCATACAACATCTAGACAAGTCTGAGGAATCCTGCAGAAAGTGTTGAATCCTTATGGATTTTGCAGTTTATTCCTGGGACTATGCTTGAACTTTCTTCAGGCTGGCTCATGTCTGCCCTCTCTGAGGATCATGGGATGATCCCTTGGATCTCACAGAGAAGACAGTGAGATTGCACCACCTACACACCTCCACGGAGACTTCCTTCTATGCCAAGCCATAAGAACTTGTCGCTAGGCAGCAGTGACATTTATAGTGACTCTAGGCAAAGCTTATAATCAGGCCTGATGACCTGAGACTAGAACATGCACATCCTTGAGGCAGGCACAGGAGCCAGTCTGTCACAGCTGTTGGCTTTCCTAAGCAGAGGAAAAGAGTACAGGCAGAGCCAGCCTGGTATCTGGAAAAAGGCTGCCTGAGAAATCCCACAGCAGGACTCTAAAAGTCTGGACCACAGGGCCCCTTCAGGCCTTCTTTGTGGTCAGGTTTCTCTGTAGGAAAAGCATTTTGAGAATGTGAGGTGGTCTCTGGAAACTGCTCTTCTGACTCCATTCCCTGAAGATATTGTGTGCAAGTATCTGGTCCCATGGGGATTGGCATACAGTCTGGTGTGTTGTTGAGGGTTCTTTGGGTGATAGAATTATACCTGAGGCCCAAGAGGCAGGTTCCAGCCAAAGATAGCTGGACTTTTGACTTCACTACCTCGCTTCATGTTGGGCCTTGCAGGGGTTCTTGGGGAAAGAGAGAAACAACGGCAAGGCAAGTCAAGGGGGAGCACTGTTCTCACACCTAGGACTGGCTTCTCACATGAGCAAATGAGGTTGAGAGTGTCTCAGAGGCTGTCTGTGCAGATGGCAAGCCTGAAAAAGTTTTCCAGTAATGCTGTTGAAGGGCACTGTTGATTCCCCGTAAAAGCAAGCAAAAATAAAGGCTCACCTGAGAGAAGGATCTGCCTTGTGCTGGAGTCCAAGCAGTGTTCAATGATTCCTGTCAGAGGACCCAATAGTCTCCTGTAAAGTGCAAACAATCTCACCCCTAACAATGAGACGATGACCCACAACATGAAGCCCAGCTAGCCTACCCAAAGTCCCTTTTGCTTTCTGAAATCCCTGGCAGCTAAATAATCTATGACGAGAGGCAGTACCATCAAGCAACAGCTCAATGAGAGAGCCCCTGCAATATGAGAAGGCCATACAGATGAAATGAAACAGAGGCTAGATTACCAGAAAAAAGATAGACATGTCTGACTGCTTCTTATCTTACAGGAATCATGCAGCCCTTTAATAGAAGTGGAAGAACAAAAGTTTCTTTGTTGTGGCTGTAATGGGAATTTATGGTATTAAATGTATCAAAGCTGCCCAGTCATTAAAACGTGACAGTGTTTATAGAGAAACACTCACATCATGAATGCCTTTGAGGGGACTTCTTTGTTAACTGGAAAACTTTCAGCGTGGGTGTCACGTAGCCACTTAGGAAACCCTAGGCCAATGAGGAACACGAAAGTCATGAAAAGGAGAGGCAAGTGTGTAGGCCACATCCCACCGATCATCAATGCATTCCACTTCATTTAGTTACAGGTATGGAAGTGCTCAAATCGGGAGTTTGATAGGATGCCACAAGTTTGCACTCCAAATGATAATTGGACATTGGAGTATTCCTGCCTGAACACTGAGCCATGATGTGGGATGGCTTGTTCAATTAAGTAAATGTGGGAATGGATTTGGAAGCACCTTCTATGTCATCTATCTTCATGTATTTTACAGGTGAAGTGGACCCTATCCATGCCTCATCAGATTGTACCCCCGTCCATATCTCACCTTATTTCTTCTCACACTCTCTATCCCAGGATGAAATCCCAAGATGACGGAGGAGTGCCCCCTCACACAATGAAGCACCTGTTCAGCTGGGAACAGAATTTGAGGAAATTCAAGGGGCCCTGAGGACAAGACTGCTAGTGTCTCTCTTTGGGTTGTCTGCAAGACAATAAAACACTAGGGAATGCCTCTTTATTGATGTGGTGTTCTCCTTTCTAAAACAGTGGCTGTTTTTGCGAGGGAAAGTGATTTAGACACTGACAGGCCTCAGCTGGCATTCCAATTCACTGTAGATTTATGATCCATAGAAAAAACAAACAAACAAACAAACCAAAAAAAATGGAGTCCCACATCCCAAGCAGAGCCACACAGACAGGCCACCAAAAGGTTTTCAGACTCAAAAGAAGAAGAAGAAGAAAGAGAAGGAGAAGGAGAAGGAGAAGAAGAAGAAGAAAAGAGGAAGAAGAAGAAGAAGAAGAAGAAGAAGAAGAAGAAGAAGAAGAAGAAGAAGAAGAGCAGAAGCAGAAGCAGAAGAAGCAGAAGAAGAAAGAAGAAAGAAGAAGAAGAAGAGGAGGAGGAAGAAGAATAGAAAGAGGAAGAAGAAGAGGAAGAAGAAGAAGAGGAGGAGGAGGAAGAAGAGGAAGAGGAAGAAGAAGAGGAAGAAGAAGAAGAGGAAGAAGAGAAAGAAGAAGCTCTGAATCGAGTTAGCCATATTCCTTTAAGCAGACTCCACTTACAAGCACACACACACAAACACACAATGCCACACACACGCAGACATTCAACACTCACAACATCGCCACAGAAACACACAGCCCAGCAGCTCCTGAGGCTGCCTAGTTCTGCAGGAATCCCCAACTTGGAGAGAGCAACCATGGAGAACACACTCGGGTTGTACCTGAAAATAACAGAGGTGCAAGTTTCATAAACACTCACCGCTACGATGTGTAGGCAGGCCTGAGAAATCCTGCAGATCTTTTTGGATCATTAGGGATATTGCGGTTTATTCCTGAGGCTATGGCTGCCGTTTCTTCAGGCTGGCTCACGTCTGCGCTCACCTAGGATGATGGGACTATCCCCTGCATCCAACAGGTGAGAGTCCACCACTGACGCACCTCCACAGAGGTCTCTTTCTCTGCCAAGCCGCAGGAAATTGTCGCTAGGCAAAAGAGACAATCTTTACGAGTCTAGGCAGTGCTGATAATCAAGACTGGTTCCCTGAGACTAGTGCATGCGCATTCGTGAGGCAGGCTCGTGCTCCAGTCTGTCAGAGCTGTCAGCCTGCCTAAGCAAAGGAAGGCGGTATACTCAGAGCCGGTTTGGTATCGGGTAAAAGCCTGCCTGCGAGAACCAACTGCGGGACCCTAAAAGTCTCGACCTCAGGGCCCCTTGGAGCTGTATTTGTAGTTGGGTCCCACTGGAGAAGGACGTGTTTCGAGACTGTCCTTTTGGTCGCTGGCAACTGCTTTTCCGACTCCATTTCCAAAAGAAGCTGTGTGTAAGAATCGCATGTTTCTTACGGATTGCAGATTGGAATATTATCTGGTGATTCTTACTTATTGCTGATTGGAATAGTGTGTGGTGTGTTTTCGAGGGTTCTTTGGGTGATAGCATCATACCTGAGACCCCAGACGAGGGTGTCAATGAAAGATTGCCAGGCTCTTGACCTCACTGCCTCCCTTCTTCCTGGGCCTCACAGGGGCTCTCTGCAAAAGACAGGGACCACGACAAAGGCAAGTCCACGGTGGAGCAGTGTTCTCACACCTCTGATTGGCCTCTCACAGGTGCAGATGAGGTTGAGACGGTGTCTCAGGACTGTCTTTGGCTATGGCAAGCCTGAAAACTGTGACCAGTAGTGTTGTTGAGGGGCACTGTGGATTTCCCATGAGAGCAAAGAAAAATCAAAGCTTGCCTGAGAGAACGAGCTGTCTTGTGCTGGTGTCCAAGCAATCTTCAGTGATTCCTATCAGGAAACCCAAAACTTCCTGCAGATTGAAAACAACCTCAGCCCCCAGAATGTGACAATCACCCACAACCTGGTGTGCAGCCAGCCTACCTGAAGTCCCTTTTGCTCTCTGAGATCCCTGGTAGTGAAAAGTTTTTGTGGCAAGAGGCAGTTTCAACCAGCAACAGCCCAATTAAAGACCCCCTTCAACAATGATAAGGAATGTGCAGATGAAATGAAACAGACCCTAGTACCAAGCAAAAGACAGCCACTGCTCCCTGCTTCCATCCTGGAGAAATTATGCAGCTCTTCAATAGAAGTGGGAGAAAATGAGTTTCATTGTTGGCAGGTGTAACAGGAATTCATGGTTTTAAAGGTATCACTGTTACCCAGTCATTAAAACGTGACAGTGTTTAGAAGGAAACACTCACAGCATGTATATCCTTGAGGGTCATCATGCGTGAACCACACTTCCCAAAACATTTAGTGTGGAAAAGATTGAGCAAGACCCAGGAAACCCTAGGCCGATGAGGAACATAGAAGTCAGTAAAAGATTCAGCAAGTGTAGAGGCCACATCCCATCCAGCATCAATCCACCTCACTCCCATTAGGCTCCAGGTATGAAAGCCCTCAAATCTGGAGTTTTCCATGACAGCACCCGTTTGCACCCCAAATATTCCCTGCACGTTGAAACACTCCCTCCTGAACAATGGGCCATGGTGTGGACTACTTGTGCAATGAAGGGAATTTGGTGATGCAGTTTCCCTTCTATGTCATTTGTCTTCACCTTTTCTTCAGGTGAAGGTGCAGAACCCAATTTACCCCTCACCAGATTGCATTCTCACCCCTATCTGGCCTTATTGCTGCTCACACCCTCTGTCCCACAATCAAATCACAAGACGATGGAGGAGTGGCACCTCACAACTTGAAGCACCTGTTTGGCTGGGCACAGAATTTGAGGTAAATTCAAGGAGCCTTGGGGACAGGACTGCTAGTGTCTTGCTGTGCTTTTGCTGCCAGACAAGGAAACACTGGGAGATCTCTGTTCTTGGGTGTGATATGCTCCTCTTCTTTCTAGAAGAGTGGATTTTTTTTTCTATGGGAGGTGATTTGGACCTTGGCAGTCTCAGCCAGCCTACCAGTTTGCTGAAGATTCATGATCCACAGAAAAATAAATAACACTAGCCCCACAGCCCAAGCACAGCCACACATACAGGCCACAGAATCGTTGGGACACTCAAAAAAAAAAGAAAAAAAAAAAGAAGAAGAGGCTCTGCAGTGCATTAGCCACATTCTTTAAGCAGGCTCCACTTACAGGCACACAGACAAACACACACAGAAAAAAACCCGCAAAGCCACACACACACACAAACATCCCACACTTGCAAATCACCAACAGAAACACAGTGCCCAGAAACATCTGAGGCGGCGTGGTTCTGCACAAACTCCCATTTGGGGAGAGCAACCCTGGAGGACATAGGCAGGCTGTACCTAGTAATCACAGTGTGTTTAGTTTCCAAAAAAAAAATCAACCTGACAGTGTCTAGGCAGGCCGGAGTCATCCTGCAGATCCTTTGGTTTCAAACAACTTCTCTGACATCTGTCAACTTTTTTGCAGGTGAGAGTGCGGGAACCGATACACCCCTCATCAGATTGTATCCTGACTCCTATCTGACCTCAATGTTGCTCACCCTCTCTTTCCCAGAATAAAACCCGAAGATGATGGAGGTGTGCCCCCTCATGATATGAAGCTCCTGCCCAACTGGAAACCTAATTTGAGGTAAATTCAAGGGGCCCTGTGGACAAGACTGCTAGTGTCTCTCCCTGGTTGGCCACAGGACAATGAAACATTGGGAGATGTCTGTTCTTGAGTTTGGTGTGCTCTTTTTCTTCTAGAAGAGTGGCTTTTTTTTTTTTTTTTGCAAGAGGAGGTGATTTGGACCCTGGCATGTTCAGTCAGCCTTCCAATTCACTGCAGATTCATAATCCGCAGAAAAAATGATGAACAAGGATCCCCACATCCCAAGAAGAGCCACACAGACAGACAACCAAAAGGGTGTGAAACTCGAAAAAAAAAAAGCTACAGTGCAATAACGGCATATTTTTAAGCAGGGTCCACTTACAGGCACACACACACACACACACACACAAACACACAAAGCCACATACACACGCAGACATCCAACACTCAAAATACTCCCACAGAAACACACAGTCTAGCAGGTTCTGAGGCTGTGTGGTTCTGCAGGATGCCTCATTTTGGAGAGAGCAACCCCAGGGAACACATGTGGGCTGTATCTTAAAATCACAGTGGGGCAAGTTTCAAAAGAAGTCACCGCTATGACATCTAGGAAGGCCTGTGGCATCTGGCAGATCCTTCTGGGTCCTTAGAGATTTTGTGGTTTATTTCTGGGGCTGTGTTTGAGGTTTCTCCAGGCTGGCTCATGACTGCCCTCTCTGGGATCATCAGACTATCCCGTGAATCCCACAAGGAAGACAGGAAAGAGTTCCCCACTGTTGCCCCTTCAAGAAGGCTGCCATCTGTGCCAAGCAGCAGAGACTTGTCACTAGGCAAGTTGGCATTTATGGTGAAGATAGCCAGAACTCACTTCTCAGGCCAGGTGTCCTCAAACTAGTACATGTGCATTTGTTAGCAGGCTCAGGGGCCCAGCTGTCAGAACTGTCATCCTGCCTAAGAAGAGGAATATGTTACAGGCAGAGCTGGCCTGATATCAGGAAAAAGGCTGCTTGCGACACCTCACTGCAAGACTCAACTTTTGGGCCCCTTCACGATGTCTCCAAGCTCAGTCCTGCTGAAGTGGGAGGTGTTTCAAGATTTTAAGGTCTTCACTGGAAACTGCTCTTCTGACTTGATTCCCAAGAGAGGTTTTATGCAAGAATCAGACCCATGAAGATTGGAATATAGTTTGCTGAGTTGATGATGGGTCTTTGGTTGAGGCAATTATACCTGAGACCCCAGAGGTGGGTGTCAGTGAAAGAAGGCCAGGCCCTTGGCCTCAGTGCCTCCCTTCAAACTGGGTCTCACAGGGACTCTCTGTGAAAGCCAGGAACCATGACAAAGGCAGTCTGATGTGGAGCAGTGTTCTCAAACCTCAAACTGGGTTTTTGTGGGTGCACATAAGGTTGAGACTGTCTCAGAGGCTGTCTGTGCTGATTGCAAGCCTGAAAATTGTGTCCAGTAGTGCTGTTGAGGGGCACTGTGGACTGCCATGAAAGGAAAGGAAAATCAAGGCTCACCTGAGAGAATGAGCTGACTTGTGCTGGAATCCAAGCAACATTTAAAGATTTCTATCAGAGGACCCAAAAGCCTCCAGCAAAGTGCAGGTAACCTCAGCCCCCACAAGGAGATAACCACCCAGAACATGGAGTGCTCCCAGCCTACTTGACATCGTTTTGCTCTCTGAAATCCCTGGTACCAAAAGATGTGTGATGAGAGGCAGTCCCATCCAGCAACAGCCCAATGAAAGATCCCCACCACAAAGACAGAGGACATGCAGATGGAATGCAACAGAGCCATGATTATCAGGGAAAAGCCAAACTTGGTGGCCTGCTTCTCATCCTTCAGGAATCATGCAGCCCTCTGATAGAAGCAGGAGAACAAGAGTTTCCTTGTTGGCAGCTGTAATGGGAATTTGTAATTTTAAAAATATCACATCTGCCCAGTCATTAAAACATGACAATGTTTACAACAAAACACTCGCACAGTGGATTTCCATGAAGGCCATCCTCCGTGAACTGGGAAACGTTTAGTATGGAAGACATTGAGCCTGAACCAGGTAACCCTAGGCCCGTGAGGAACATGGAAGCCAGAAAAAGAAGAAGCAAGTGTGGAGGCCACATCCCACCCTGCATCAACCCATCCCATCCCATTCCCATTTGCTTCAGGGTATGAAATCCCTCAAACCAAGAGTTTGCCATGATCACCCAAGTTTGCACTACAAATGTTTCCTGCATGTTGGAGTACTTTCACCTGAACACCGGGCCATTGTATGCACTGTTTGTGCAATTAAGGGAATGTGGGTATGCAATTGGAAGCACCTTTTGTGTTATCAGTCTTTCCCTTTTTGCATGTGAAGTCGCAGGACCGAATCCACCACAGAGAGTAATCTCACCTCTCACTGTTCCTTATTGCTGATCACACTCTCTGCCCCAGGATGAAAACTCAAGACGATGGAGGAGTGCCCCCTCAAGACTTGAAGAATCTGCTCATCTGGTAATCAAATTTGAGGTAATTTCAAGGGTCCTTGCAGAAAGGACTTCTGGTGTCTTTCCCTGTGTTGGCCACAAAATAAAACACTGGGAGATGTCTGTTCTAGCATGTGGTGTGCTCCTCCTATTTCTAGAAGAGTGGATTTGTTTGCAGGGAGAAGTTGACTTGGCCCTTCGTGGGTTTCAGCCAGCCTCCTAATTCACTGTGGATTCATAAGTCACAGAGAAATAAAGAAGAGGGAGGCTTGCATTCTCAGGAGAGCCACACAGGCAGGCCAACAAAGTTGGGAGACTCAAAAGAAAAAAAGTGCTGCAGTGCATTAGCCACATTCCTTTAAGTAGACTCCACCTACAGGCAAACACACATGCACACACACACAAGTACACAATGCCACACACACACAGAAATCCAATACTTACAACACTCCTACAGAAACACACAGCCCAGAAGTTTCTAAAGTTGTGTGGTTCTGCAGAAAACCCCACCAGAGAGAGAGGGACCCCTGGGAACACAGACAGGCTGTACCTAGAAATCACGTGTGGCAAGTTTCAAAAAGATTCAAACTGCTACAACATCTAGGAGGGCTGAGGCATCCCGAAGATTATTTTGAATCATTAGGGATTTCATTATTTATTCCTGGGGCTCTGCTAGATGTTTCTTCAGGCTGGATCATGTCTGCCATCTCCCAGGATAATAGGAATGTCCCCTGTATTCCATAGAGAAGACAGGTGAAGGTCTACCATTGATGCAAAGCCAGAGAGGTCTCCTTCTCTGCCAAGCCACAGGGACATGCCATTAGGCAACAGGGCCATTATTGTGATGCTAGCCAGAGCTCACAGGTCAGGCCTTGTGCCCTAAGACTAGCTCATGCACAATCGGGAGGCAGGCTCCGGGGCCCAGATGTTAGAGTTGTCAGCTTGCCTAAGGAAAGGAAAATGGTGCAAGCAGAGCAAGAATGGTATCAGGAGAAAGGCTGGCTGTGATAATCCTCTGTGGAACCCTAAAAGTCTCCATCTTAGGGCCCATTCAGGCCCTCTCTGTATTCAGGTCACACTGGAGCATGAGGTATTTTGAGACTCTGAGGTTGTCAGTGGAAACTGCTCTTCTGACCCCATTTCGGAAAGAGGCTGTGTGGAGGAATCAGTTCCCATGGGGATTGGTATATAGTCTAGTGAGTTGTTGAGGGGCCTTTTGGTAATGGAATCATACCTGAGACCCCAGAGGCAGGTTCACCAAAGTTTGGCAGGGACCTTGTCCTCATTGCCTCCCTTTATCCTGGGCCTCACTGGAGCTCTCTGGGAAAGGCAGGAACCATGGCAAAGGCAAGTGCAAGGTAAAGCAGTGTTCTCACACCTCTAATTGGCCTCTCAAGAGTGCAGATGATATTAAGACAGTGTCCCAGAGACCATCTGTGTTTATTGCAAGCAGAAAAAGAGTGACCAGTAGTGTTGTCGAGGGGGACTCTGAACCTCCCATGAAAGAAAAAAAAAAAGAAAGTAAAGTTCACCTGAGATAATGAGCTGAATTGTGCTAGAGTCCAGGCAATGTTCAAAGATTCCTGGCTGAGGCACCAAAAGCCTCCTACAAAGTGCAAACAACAGATCCCACAACTAGATGAAGACCAACAACAAGGAGTGCAGCTAGATTACCCAAAGTCTCATTTGCTCTTAAATCCCTGGCAGCCAAAGATGTGTGGTGAGAGGCAGCCCCATCCAGCAAGAGCCCCATGAAAGATTCTCTCCACAATGAGAAAGGATGCGCAGATGAAATGAAACAGAGCCTAGATTACCAGGCAAAAGTCAGACACTGCTGCTTGGTTCTCACTCTAAGGGAATCATGCAGCCCTCTGTTAAAAGTGGGAGAACCAGAGTTACTTTGTTGGTGGCTGTAAAAAGAATTCATGCTTTTAAAAGTATCAAAGCTGCTCAGTCATTAAAACATGACTGTGTTTAGAAGGAAACACTCATGCAATGGATTCCCATGAGGGTCATCTTCCATGAACTATAAATTGCTTAGTGTAGAAGACGTGGAGCCAGACGCAGCAAACCCTAGGCTGATAAGGAACATGGAAATCAGGAAAAGAAGAGGCAATTATGTAGGGAACATCACACCCATCATCAATACATCGCACTCCTATTTGGATCGGGGTTTGAAAGCTCTCAAATCTGGTGTTTGCCAGGATGGCCACAGTTTGAACTCCAAATGTTCCCTGCACTTTGTAGAACTTCCACCCGAACATCAGGCCATGATGTGGACAGTGTGCAATTAAAGGAATGCAGGGATCCACTTGGAAGCAACTTCTGTGTCATCTCTCTTCACCTTTAATGCAGGAGAACGTGCAGGAGTCAATTTACCCCCATCAGATTGTATCTTCACCCCATCTGACCTTATTGCTGCTCACACTATGTGTCCCAGAATGAAATCACTAGATGATGGAGGCATGCCTCATGATGACGTGAAGCACCTGCTTGACTGGGAAACGAATTTCAGATAAATTCAAGGGGCTCTGTGGAATTGAGTGTTAATATCTCTCCCTGGTTTGGGGTGTCATGTGCTCCTCTTCTTTCTAGAAGAGTGGCTTTTATTTTGTTTTTATGGGAGGGGGGTGTGATTTGAACACCAGCGTGTCTCAGCCAGTGTCCCAATTTACTATGAATTTATAATCCACAGAAAAACAAAGAACATCAACCCTGCAGCCAAAGCAGAGCAAACACTGACTGGCCACAAAAAGGTTGGAAGATTCAAAAATAGGAAGTTCCGTAGTGCATTAGCCACATTGCTTTAAGCAGACTCCACTTACAGCCACACACACACACACACATACAAACACACAAGCCATACACTCACACAGACATCCAGCACCTGCAACACTCCATCAGAATCACATAGCAAGGCAGCTTCTGAGATTCTGTAGTTCTACAGGAAGCTTCACCTGAAAGATGGCAAACCTGGGTAACACAGGTGGGCTGTACCTGGAAATCACAATGTGGTAGGTTTCAAAAGACCCAACCCTACAAAATCAAGGCATGACTAAGGCATCCTGCAGATGCTTTTGGATGTTTGGAAATTTTGCACTTTGTTCCTGAAGCTCTGCTTGATATTTTTTCAGGCTGGTTCAAGTCTGATGTCTCCTAGGACCACGGGACCATCTCGAGGATCCCAGAGAGAAGACAGGCAGGAGTCTGCACCATATGCACCTTCATGGAGGTCCCCTTTTCCCCAAACATGCAGGGACTTGTCGTTAGGCAAAAGTGGCATTGATTGTGATGCTAGCCAGTGCTCAAATCTCAGGCCTCATGCCCTGAGACTTGGAAATGTGTATTCACGAGGTAGCCTCCTGTGCCTGACTGTCAGAGCTGCCAGCCTGCCTGCAGAGGAAAATGGTAGAGATTCAGACAGCTTGCTGTTGGGAAAAATGCTGTCTGAGATAACACACTGCAGGACCCTAAATGTCTCAAACTTAGGGTCCCTTCGGGTTGTCTCTGGGGTCAGATCCCACTGGAATCTGAAGTGTTTTGAGATGGTGAAGTGATCACTGGAAACTGTTCTTCTGACTCCATTCCTGAAAGACGCTGTGTGCAAGAATCTTGTTCCATAGGTATTGGCTTATTGTCTGGTGTGTTGTTGAGGTTACTTGTTGGCTGCTGTAACAAGAATTTATGGTTTTAAAAGTATCAAAGCTGCCCATTAATTAAAACATAATGGTATTCAGAAGGAAAAACTCATGCAATGGATTCTCATCAGGGTCATCCTCAGTGCACTGGGAAAGGTTTAGTGTGTAATTGGTTAAGCCAAACCAAGGAAACCCTAGGCAAACAAAAAACATGGAAATCAGAAAAAGAAGAGGCAAGTGTGGAGGCCATATCACACCCAGAATCAATCCTTTCCACTCCCATTTGGTGTCAGCTATGAAAATCCTCAAATCAAAAGTTTGCCAGGAAGGCCCCAATTTACATTCCAACTGTTCCTTGAATGTTGGAATACTCCAAATTGAACGCCGGACTATTGTGCAGACTGCTCGTGCAATTAAGGGAATGTGGGATTCAGTTGGAAGCACATTCTGTGTCATCTGTCTTAATTTCATTTGCAGGTGAAGTTGCAGGACTCCATCCACCCCTCATCAGATTGTATCCTCACCCCTATATGACCTTACTTCTGCTCACACTGTATGACCCAGGATAAAATTCCAAGATGATGGAGGAGTTCTCCCTTATAACATAAAGCACCTGCTCAGCTGGGAACGTAATTCGAGGTAAATTCAAAGGGCCCTGTGGACAGGACTGCTAGTGTCTCTCCCTGGGTTAGGGGCAGAGCAATGAAACACAGGGAGATCTGTTTTTTGGTGTGGTGTGCTCTTCTTCTTTCTAGAAGAGTGGCTCCTTTGGACAGGAAGGTGATTCATGATAGGCCACCAAAAGTTTGAAAGAGTTTTAAAAAAATGAAGCACTGATATGCGTTAGCCACATTTCTTTAAGAGGAATCCAGATGCAGGCATACACACACAGAGAAAAACACACAGACATACAAGGACGCATACACACAGACATCCAAGATTTACTGCAATCCCACAGAAACACATATCTTGGCAATTTCTGAGGCTGTGTGGTGCTGCAGGAAGCTCCTGAGATAGGGCAACCCTGGGAAACACAGGTGGACTATACCTAGAAATCACAGCAGCACAAGTTTCAAAAAAACTCATCCCTGCATAATCAAGACAAGCCTGAGGCATTGTGCGGATCTTTTGGGATGCATAGTTATTTTGTGGTTAATTTCTGGGGCTCTGCATGACGTTTTTTAAGGCTGTTTCATGTCTGCTTCCTCCTAGGATCATGGGACTGTCTTGTGGATTTCAGAGAGAAGAAGGGGGGGGGTGTCCACTTCCGATGCCCCTCCACGGAGGTCTCTTTCTCTGCCAAGCTGCAGGCATTTGTCTCTAGGCAACAGTGCCATTCATTGCGACTCTATGCAGAGCTCACAGAACAGTTCTTGTTCCCTGAGACAAGGGCATGCACATTCATGAACCGGTCTGGTATCAGGAAAATGTTACTTGTGATAACCCACTGCGGGACCCTAAAAGTCTTGACCTTAGGGCCACATTCAGGATATCTCTGTGGTCAGGTCCCACTGGAGGAAGAGGCATTTCCAGCCTCTGAGGTGTTCACTGGAAACTACTCTTCTGACTCCATTACTTAAAGAAAGTGTGCACAATAATTGGGTCCCTTGGGGATTGGAATATAGTCTGGTGAGTTTTTGAGGGGTCTTTTGGTGATGGAATTACACCTTAGACCCCAGAGGCAAGTGCTAGTGAAAGTTGGCCATGACCTTAGCCTCACTGCCTCCCTTCATTCTGGGCCTCACAGCAGCTCTCTGGGAAAGACAGGAACACTGACAAAGGCAGTTCCATGGTGGATCAGTATTTTTGCACTTCAAAAAGTCCTCTCAAGTGTGCAGATGAAGTTTAGACAATGTCTCAAATGCCCTCTGTGGTTATTTCCATCCAGAAGAGGGTTTCCAGTGGTGCTCTTGAGGGATACAGTGGATGAAATGAAAGATCAAGGCTTACCTAAGAGAATAAGCTGATTTGTGCTGGAGTCCTGGCAGCATTCCAAAATTCCTGTCAGAGTACTCAAAAGCCTCCTTCAAAGTGAAAACAACCTCAGCTTCCACACTGAGACCTCTAACCACAAACTGGAGTGCAGCAAGCCTATTCAAAGTCCATTTTGCACCCTGAAATTTCTGGCAATGAAACGATCTGTGGCAAGAAGAAGTCCCATCCTGCAACAGCCTAATGAAAGACACTCTGAACATTGACAAAGGATAAAATGAAACAGAGCCTAGATTACAAGGCACAGCTGCCTGCTTCTCATTCTACAGGAATTATGCTGCCCTTCAATAGAAGTGGGTGAATAAACATTTCCTTTTTGGTGGCTGTAATGGGAATTTACTCTGTTAAAATTATGACAGCTGACCAGTCATTAAAATGTGACAGTGTTTATGATGCAATTGATCCCCATGAGGGTTGTCCTCCATGAAGTGGGAAACATTTAGTGTGAAAGACATGGAACCAGCTTCAGGAAACCCTAGACCAATGAGGAACATAGAAGTCAGGAAAAGAAGAGGTAAGTGTGAAGGCCACATCCCATCCAGCATCAATCCATTCTTCTCCTATTTGGCTGAGGGTTTGAAAGCCCTCATATCAAGAGTTTGCAAGGATGGTCACAGTTTGCAATTCCAAAGGTGCCATGCATTTTGAAGTACTCCCACATGAACACCAGGCCATGGTGTTCACTGCTTCTGCAATTAAGGGAATGAGGGAATGCAGTTGAGAGCACCTTGTGTGTAATGGATCTTCACTTTTTGCAGGTGAATACGCTAGTTGGCATCCACACACCAGACTGTATCCTCACCCCTGTCTGAACTTATTTCTGCTCACACTCTAATCCAGAGTGAAATTTCAAGATGTTTCAGGAGTAACCCTCATGACATGAAGCACCTGCTCAACTGGGAACTGAATTTGAAGTAAATTCAAGAGTCCCTGCTAACAGGACTGCTAGTGTCTCTTCCTGGGTTCACTGCAGGACAATGAAACATTGGGAGATATCTGTTCTTGGATGTGGTGTGTTCCTCTTATCTCTAGAAGAGTGGTTTTTGTTGCAGGGGAGGTTATTTTGAACCTTTTGGGTCTCAACTCGTGTCCCAATTAACTGTGAATGCTTGAGCCACAGAAAAGTAAAGAACACAGAACCACACAGCCTAAGAAGAGCCACGCAGACCACCAAAATGTAGGGTGACAAAAAAAAAGTGCTGCAGTATGTTAGCCACATCTCTTTAAGCAGACTTCCTTACAGGCATGCACACACACAAACACACACACATAAAGCCACAAACACACACAGACATCCAACACTCCCAGAAAAACACGGAGCCTGGCACCTGCTGAGGCTGCATGGTTCTGCAGGAAACCCCAGGTGGGAGATAGCAAACCCAGGGAACAGAGGTGGGCTGTACATAGAAATTACAGTGGGGCAATTTTCAAAAAGACACCCCTACTAAATCAAGGCAGGCCTGAGGTATCCTGCAGATCATTTTGGAACCTTAGGGATTTCACCATTTATTTCTGGGGCTCTGTTTGACATTTCTTCAGGCTGGCTGATCTCTTCCCTTTCCTAGGATCATGAGACTATCCTGAGGAGTCCACAAAGAACAAAAGCGAGAATTCATCATCAATGCACCGCTATAGAAGTCTTCTTTATCAAGCCACAGGGAATTGTCTGTGGGTAACAGTGGCATTCATTGTGATGCTTGCCAGAGCTCACAGCTGAGTTCTGGTGCCCTGAGACTAGCACATGCACATTCACAACGCAGGTTCAGGCACCTGGATGTCAGCTTTCATCCTGCCTATGCAGAGGAGAATAGTACAGGCAGAGCAGGCCTGGTATTGTAAAACAGTCTGACTACAATAAGCCATTGTGGTACCCTAAATATCTTGACCTTGGGGCCCCTTCGTGTCGGGTCCCACTGTAGGAGAAGGCATTTCAAGATTGTAAGGTGGTCGCTGAAAACTGCTTTTCTGACTCCATTCCTGAAAGAGGCTATGTGCCAGAATCTGGTCCCATGGGGATTGGAGTATAGTCTGGTGTGTTGTAGGTGGGTCTTTGGGTGATGGAATTATATCTGAGACCCCAGAGGCAAGTCTCAGTGAAAGATGGCCTGATCCTTGATCTCAATGCTTCCCTTCATTCTGGGCCTCACTGGAACTCTCAGGGAAAGGCAGGAAAAACAGCAAAAGAAAATCCAAGATGGAGCAATGTTCTCGCACCTCGGGCTGGCCTCTCATGGGTGCTGATGATGTTGAGACTGTGTCTCAGAGGACTTCTGTGGCAATTGCAAGCCAGAAAAGGGTGTCCAGTAGTGCTGTTGAGGGACAATGTGGACCCTTGATGAAAGCAAATGAAAATCAAGGCTCCACTGAGAGAATGAGCTGACTTTTGCTGGAGTCCCAGCAATGTTAATATATTCCTGTCAGAGGACCAGAAACCCTCTTGCAAAGGGCAAACACACCCTGAGACCACAATGAGACCACGACCCACAATCTGCAGCAAAGCCGCTCTTCCCAAAGTCCTTTCTGTTCTCTGAAATTTGTAGCAGCCAAAAGATCTATGGTGAGATGAAGTCTCACCATGCAAGAGCCCAGTGAAAGATTTATTCCACAATGAGAAAAGATGTTCAAGCAAGTGAAAAGACCCAAGATTATCGGGCAAATTCAGACAGAGCTGCCTGCTTCTCCTCCTACAGGAATCACGCAGCTGTCTGATAGAAGTGTGAGAAAAGGTGTTTCCTTGTTGATGGCTGTAACCAGAATTTATGCTTTTATAAATATGACAGCTGACCAGTCATTAAAACATGACAGTATTTAGAAGAAAATACTCATGCAATGGAATCCCATGAGGGTCTTTCTCCATGAACTTGGAAACTTTTAGTATGGAAGACATGGAGTCACCCTCAGGAAACCCTAGGACAACGAATTGCATTAAAGTCTGGAAAAGAAGAGGCAAGTGTGGAGGCCACATCACACCTAGCATCAATACATCCAGCTCCCATTTGGCTCCAGGTATGAAAGCCCTGAAATTGGAAGTTGATCTGTATGGCCCCAGTTTGCACAGCAATGTTCCCTGTAGGTGGAGTACTACAACCTGAACTCTGGGCCACGGTGTGGAGTCCTTGTGCAATTACTGCAATATGGTGATGCAGTTGGAGGCACTGTCTGTGTCATCTGACTTTAATTTGTTTTCAGGTGAAGTTGCGGGACCCTATACACCCCTCACAAGACTGTATCCACACCCTCTCTGACTTTATTGCTGCTCATACTCTCTGTTCTGCAAGGAAATCCCAAGATGATGGAGGAGTGCACCATTAAAACGTGAAGCACCTGCTCAGCTGGGAACCGAATTCAAGGTAAATTCAAGGGGCCCTGCAGACAGGACTGCTAGTGTCTCTCACTCTGTTGGCTACAGGACACTGAAACAATGGGAGATGTCTGTTATTGGGAGGGGTGTGGTTCTTTTCTTTCTAGAAGGGTGGCTTTTTTTTTTTTGGCAGGGGGAGATGATTTAGACCACAGAATTTCTCAGGCAGCCTCACAACTCACTTCAAATTCACTATCCAGAGAAAAATAAAGGACACGGAGCCCTGAAGCCAAAGCAGAGCCACAGAGATAGGCCACAAAAAGGTTGGGAGACCAGAAAAACAAAACAAAAAAAGAAGTGTTACAGTGGGTTAACTACATTCCTTTCAGCAGACTCCATTTAAAGGTACACACAGACACATACACAAACATACAAAGGCACACCCACATGCAGACATCCAACACTCACAAAACACTGCCACAGAAACACACAGCCGGTGGCTTCTGGGACTGTGTGGTTATGCAGGAAGACCCACCTGGGAGAAAGCAACCCCGGGGAACACAGGTGAGTTGTATCTAGAAATACCAGTAAGGCAAGTTTCAATATGAGTCACCCCTACAGCATCTAGGCAGGCCTGAAGCATCTGCACATCTTTTTAGATCCTTAGGGATCTTGTGGTTTATTCCTGTGTCTCCGATTGATGTTCCTCCAGGCTGTCTCAGGTCTACCCTTTCCTGGAACTATGAGACTATCCAGAGAATCCTGCAGAGAAGACAGGCGACAGTCCACTGCCAACGCATCTCCACGAAAGTTGCCTTCTCCGCCAAGACACAGGGACCTGTTGCTAGGCAATGGTGGCATTTGCTGTGATGGTGGTCAGAGATTACAGGTCAGGTCTGGTGCCCTGAGATTAGTGAATGCGCATTTTGCTGACAGGCTTGGGTGACCACAGGTCAGAGCTGTCTGCCTGCCTAAGCAGGGGAGACTGCCACAGGCAGAGCCGGCATGGCATAAGGAAAATCGGTGCCTGCGATAACCCACTGCAGGATCCTAGATGTCTCAAACCTATGGCCTCTTTGGGCTATATCCATGATCAGGTCTTGCTGGAGGAGGATGGGTTTTGAGACTGTGAGGTGGTCACTGGCAACTGCTCTTCTGACTCCACTTCTGAAAGGCTCTGTGTGCAAGAATCGGGTCGCATAGGGATTGAAATGTAGCCTGATGAGTTGTTGAGGGGTCTTTGGGTGATGGAATTATACTTGAGAACTCAGAGGTGAAATCAGAAAAAGAAGGTCATACCCTTGGCTGCACGGCCTCCCTTCATCATGGACCTCACAGGATCTCTCTGAAAATGGTAGAAACCATGATAAAAGCAAATCCAAGGTGGAGCAGTGTTCTCACACCTCAAATGGGCCTCTCATGGGTGCAAAAGAGGTTGAGACAGTGTTGCAGAGACTGTCTGTGGCAATTTCAAGCCTGAAAATGTCCAGTAATGATGTGGTGGGACAATGTGAACCCCTCATTAAAGAAAAACAAAAATTAAGGCTAACCTGTAAGAAAGAGTTAACTTGTGCTGGAGTGCCAGAAATGTTCAAAGATCCTGTCAGATCAGACAAAAACATCCTTCAATGTGCAAACAACCTCAGTCCCCACAATGAGGCCATCATTCACAATCTGGATGACAACCAGCCTCTTGAAGTCATTTTTGGTCTCTGAAATCCCTGACAGCAAAAAGACCTGTGGCAAGAGGAAATCCCAACAAGCATCAGCTCAATGAAAGACCCCAGCACCATGAGAATGTATGTGCAGATGCAATGAAACAGAGCCTAGGTTACCAGGCAAAATCCAGACACAGTGGCCTGCTTCTTATGCTACAGGAATCATGCAGTTCTGCCATAGAAGTAGGAGAACAAGAGTTTCCTTGGTGGAGGCTCTAATGGGAATTTACGGTTTTAAAAGTATCAAAGCTGCTCAGTCATTGAAACTTAACAGTGTTTAGAAGGAAACATTCCCACAATGGATTCCCATAAAGATTGTTCTCTGTAAACTGAGAAATGTTTAGTGTGGAAGTCATTGAGCCAGACCCAGGAAACCCTAGGCTGATGAAGAATATGGAAGTAAGAAAAAGAAGTGGAAAGTGTGGAGATGAAATCCCACCCGGCATCAATCCATTCTGCTCCCTTTTGGTTCTGGGTATGAAAGCCCTCAAATCAAGAGTTTGCCAGGATGGCCCCAATTTGCACTGCAAATGTTAATTGGACGTTGGAGTACTCCCACCTGAACACTAGACCATGTTGTGGACTGCTTGTGCAATTAAGGAAATGCAGGGATGGAATTAGAAGCAACTTCTGTGTCATCTGTTTCCATTTTTTTTGCAGGTGAACTTGTGGGACCCCATCCACCCCTCACCAGATTGTATTCTCACCTCTATCTGACCTTACTGCTTCTCACACTGTATGTCCCAGGATGAAATCCCAAGATGATGCAGGAGTGCCCCCTCAAAACATGAAGCATGTGCTCAGCAGGGAACTGAATTCAAGAGAAATAGAAGGGGCTGTGGGGTCATGACTGCTAGTGTCCCTCCCTGGTTTGGCCACATGACAGTGAATCCCTGTGAGATGTCTGCTATTTGGTGTGGTGTGCTCCTCTTCTCTATAGAACAGTGGATTTTTGCACAGGATGATGATTTGAATGTCAACATGTCTGAGACCGCTTCTGAATTCACTGTGGATTCAGGATCCACAGAAAAATAAAGAACGTGTAGTCCCGGAACCCAAGCAGAGCCACATAGATGCCACAAGGTTGGGAGACCCAAAACAAAGTGCTGAAGTGTGTTATTCACCTTTCTTTACATGCACTCACCTTACAGGCACTCACCTTACAGGCACAAATATGCACACCATGCCAAACACACACAGACATACAACACTCGCAACACTCCCACTAAAACACACAGCCTGGCAGCTCCTGAGGCTGCTTGGTTCAGCAGGAAACTTCACCTAAGAGAGAGCAACTCAGGGTAACAGAAGCGAGATGTACTTAGAAATCACACTAAGGCAAGTTTCAAAAAGACTCACATGTACAATGTCTAGGCTGGCCTGAGGTATCCTTTAAATCCATTTGGATCTTTAGGGTTTTGCTGTTTATTCCTTAGTCCCTGCTTACTGTTTCTTCAGGCTGTTTCACTTCTGTTCTGTCCTAGGATTATGGGACTATCCCATGAATTCCACAGAGAGGACAGGTGACAGTCCACTGCTGACTCACCTCCACGGAGGTCTTCTCAAACAAGCTACAGGGACTTGTCGCTAGGCAATAGTGGCATGCAAGGTGATGCTGGCTATAGCTCACAGCTCAGGCCTGGTGTGCTGAGACTGGCACATGCACATTTATGAGACAGGTTTGGGCACCCAGGTCTCAGTTCTTTCTGCCTGCCTAAGCAGAGGAAAGTGGTAGAAGCAGAACCGTCTGGGTATCTGGAAAAAGGCTGCCTGTGATAACCCACTGTGGGACCTTAAAATTTTAGACATCAGGGCCCCTTCAGGCCATCCCTGTAGTCGTGTCCTGCTGCAGGAAGAGGCATTTTGAGACTGAGTTGGTCGCTGGAAACTGCTTTTCTGACTCCATTCCTGAAAGAGGTTGGGTGCAGGAATTGGGTCCATTAGGGAATGGAATGTATTCTGGTAAGTTGTTGAGGGGTCTCTGGGTGATGGAATCATACTTGAGAACCCAGATGTGGGTGTCAGTGAAAGATATCCAGGCTCTTGACCTCATTGTGTCTTTTCATCCTGGGCCTCACAGGGGCTCTCTGGAAAGGGCAAGTATCATGGCAAAGGTAAATCCAAGGTGGAGCAGTGTTCCCACACCTTGGACTGGCCTCTCACAGTTGCATATGACGTTAAAACAGTGTCTCAGAGGCCGTCTGAGGCAAGGGAAAGCCTTAAAAGGGTGTCCAGTAGTGCTGTTGGGGGACAATGTGGATTCCCCCATAAAAGCAAAGAAAAATCAAGGCTCACCTGAGAGAAAAAACTGCCTTGTGCTAGATTCAAAGCAATGTTCAATGATTCCTGTCAGAAAACCCAAAAGCCTTCTGCAAAGTACAGACAACCTCAGAACCCACAACAAGAAAATGACCCACAACCTGGACCACAGCCAGCCTACTCGAAGTCCCTTTTGCTCTCTGAAATCTCTGGAAGCTAAATAATCTGTGGAGAGAGGCAGTCCCATCTAACAATAGCACAATGAAAGAGCCTTTCCACAATGAGAAGGCCATGCAAATGAAACATAACAGGGGATATATTACCAGGAAAAGCCAGAAACAACTGCCTGCTTCTCATTTTACCAGAATCATGCAGACCTCTGAAAGAAGTGGGAGAACAAGAGTTTTCTTGTTGGCAGAGGTGATGGGAATTTATGATTTTAAAAGTATCAAAGCTACTCTTAAAGTAGCTTTAAAGTCATTAAAATATGCCAGTATTTAGAAAGAAACACTCACACAATGAATTCTCATGAGGGTTGTTCTCCATGAACCGGGAAATATTTAGTTTGGAAATTGTTGAGCCAGACCTCAGAAACCCTAGGCTGATGAAGAATATGGAAGTCAGGAAAAGAAGAGGCAAGTGTGGAGGTCATGTTCCACCAAGCATCAATCCATCCCACACCCATTTTGTTAAGGGTAAAAAAGCTCTCAAATCGGGAGTTTGCCAGGTTAGCCCTAATTTTCAGTCATAATGTTTCCCCCACATTGGAGTACTCCCATTTGAAAACCGGGCCATAGTATGGATTCCTTGTGTAATTAAGGGAATGTGGGGATGGTGTTAGAAGCAACTTCTGTGTCATCTGTCTTCATTTTTTTTGCAGGTGAAACTGCAGGACCCCCTTCACCTTTCACCAGTTTATATTCTCACCCCATCTGTCCCTATTGTTACTCACACTCTATGACCCAGAATGAAAACCCAAGGGGATGGGCTAGTGCCCCCTCATGATATGAAGCATCTGCTCAACTGGGAACGGAATTAGAGGTAAATTCAAGGAGCCCTGTGGACAGCAGTGCTAGTGTCTCTCTCTGGGTTGGCAGGACAATGAAACACTGGGAGATGTCTGTTCTTGAATTTGGTGTCTCCACTTCTTTCTATGACAGTGGTTTTTTTTTTTTTTTAACAGAGGAAGGTGATTTGGACACTGGAGTGTCTTGAACCACCTCTAAATTTACTGCAGATCCATGATTCACCAAAAAATAAAGAACATAGAACCACACAGCATAAACAGAGTAATACAGACAGGTCCCAAAAAGGTTGGGAGACTCCAAAAAAAAAAAGAAGCACTGAAGTGCATAGCCACATTCCTTTAAGCAGACTCCATTTACAGGTGCATGCACACAAAACACACAATCAGACAAATCCACACACACATGCAGAAATTCAGCACTCACAAAAATCCCACAGAAACACACAGCCTGACAATTTTTGAGGCTGTGTGGTTCTGCAGAAAGTCCCACCTGGGACAGATCAACCCGAAAGAAAAAAATGCAGGCTGTATCTAGAAATAACAGTGGGGCATGTTTTTAAAAGACTAACACTTACAACCTGTAGGCTACCCTGAAGAATCCTGCAGAATGCTTTGAAATAATATATATATAAAAATATATAATATATATATAATATATATTTATATATTATAATATATATTAATATATATAATTAATATATTATATTATATATTATATATATTATAATATATATAATATATATTATATATATTATAATATATATTATAATATATATTATAATATATATTATTATATATTATATATTATAATATATATTATATATTATATATTATAATATATATTATATATTATATATTATAATATATATTATATATTATATATTATAATATATATTATATATTATATATTATAATATATATAATATATATTATATATAATATATAATATATATATTATATATTATATATAATATATAATATATAATATATATTATACATTATATTATATATATAATATATATAATATATATATTTTATATTATATATAATATATATATATTATATATATATATATATATATATACACACACATAGTTTATTACTGGGTTTCTTCATGATGTTCCTTAGGTCTGGATTATGCCTGTCCTCCCGAAGGATCATGAGATAATCCCACAGATCCCACAGAGAAGACAGATGGGAGTCCACTGCCAACACATTTCCACGGTTATCTCCTTCACCGCCAAGCCACAGGGACTTGTCATTATGCCATGGTGACATTCATTGTTACACTAGCCAGAGCTCACAATCAGGCCTGATGCTTTGAGACTAGTGCATGAGCATTTGTGAGGCATGCTCCAGCGCCCAATTGTCAGAGCTGTTAGCCGGCCTAAGCAGAGAAAAATGGTATTGACAGAGCCGGCCTGGTATTGGGAAAAAGGCTGACAGCAAAAACCCACAGTAGGACGTTAAAAGTCTCAAAATTAGAGTCACTTTTCGCAGTCTTTGTGGTCTGCTCCCACTGGATGAGGACGTGTTTTGAGACTGTGAGGTGGTCGCTAGAAACTACCCTTCTGACTCCATTCCCAAAAGAGGCTATGTACAAGTATAGGGTCCTTTGTGGATTGGAATGTAGTCTGGTGTGTTTTTCAGGGTTCTGTGATTGATAGAATAATACCTGAAAACCCAGAGGTGGGAGTCATTGAAAGGTAGCCAGGCTCTTGTTCTCACTGCCTCCCTTCATCCTGGGCCTCGCAGTGGCCTCTGGGACAGGCAAGAACCACAACAATGGCAAGACCAAGGTGAAGCAGTGTTCTCACACCTCGTACTGGCCTCCCACTACTGCAGATGATGTGGAGACAATGTGTCAGAGGCTGTCTGTGGCGATGGCAAGCCTGAAAATATGTCCCGCAGTGCTGTGGAGGAGCACTGCGGATTTCCCATGAAGGAAAAGGAAGATCAACACTAACCTGAGGGAATGAGCTGTGTTGTGCTGGAGTCTAAGCAATGTTCAATGATTCCTGTCAGAGGAGCCAAAAGTGTCCTGCAAAGTGCAAATCACCTCAACCCCTCACAACATGTCAACAAACCAGAACTTGGAGTGCAGCCACCATAGCTGAAGTCTTTTTGCTCTCTGAAATTGATGGCAGCTAAATTGTGGCAAGAGGCCACAAATTATTATTATATAAAAAACAACTTATGTTGTCCCATTGAGCAGCAGCACAATGAAAGAGACTATCAAAAATGAAAAGTCCATAGAGATGAAATGAAACAGAGGCTAGATTACCAGATAGAAGCAAGACATGGCTGCCTGCTTGTCATCCTACAGAAAGCATGCAGCGCTCCAAAAGAAGTGAGAGAATAATTTAGTTTCCTTGTTGGCAGCTGTAACGGGAATTTATCATTTTAAAAAGATAAAAGCGGCTGGGCGCGGTGGCTCATGCCTGTAATCCCAGCACTTTGGGAGGCAGAGGTGGGCAGATCATGAGGTCAGGAGATCGAGACCATCCTGTGTAACACAGTGAAACCCCGCCTCTACTAAAAATACAAAAAATTAGCCGGGCGTGGTGGCGGGCGCCTGTAGTCCCAGCTACACGGAGGCTGAGGCAGGAGAATGGCGTGAACCCGGGAGACGGAGCTTGCAGTGCGCCGAGATCACGCCACTGCACTCCAGCCTGGGCGACAGAGCGAGACTCCGTCTCAGAAAAAAAAAAAAAAAAAAGATAAAAGCTACCCAGCCATCAAAACATGAAAGTATTTGGAAGAAAACACTCAGACTATGGATTCCCATGAGGATTAGTTCTCAGCAAACTGGGAAACGATTAGTGTGGAAGTTGTTGAGCCAGACCCAGGAAACCCTAGGCTGACAAAGGAGATGGAAGTCAAGAAATGAAGAGATAAGAGTGGAGGCCACATCCCACCTAGCATAAATCTATTCCACTTTCATTTGGCTCCAGGTATGAAAGCCCTCCAATTGGGAGCTTGCCAGGCTGGCCCCAATTTGCACTCCAAATATTCCTTGCACTTTGGAGTACTCCCACCAAAACATCAGGCCATGGTGTGTACTGTTTTACAATTAAGGGAAGGCAGTGATGCAGTTGAAAACACATTCTGTGTCATCAGTCTTCATATCATTTAAAGATGAACTTTCATGAACCCATCCACCACCCCCAGATCATATTCTCACCCCTATCTTACCTTATTGCTGCTCACACTCACACTGGGTGGGCCTGGTCCGTTTATGTATTCACCACAAATTAATGATTCACAGAAAAATAGAGAACACAAAGCCATGTAGCCCAAGCTGAACCACACAGACAGGCCAAAACATGGTTGAGAGATTAAAAAAAATAATAAGAAAGAAAACCCTGAAGTGCATTAGCCACATTCCTTTAAGCAGACTTCACATAGAGGCACATAAATATATTCACACACACACACAAAATGCCACAACTCACAGGAATCCATCACTCACAATACTCTCACAGAAAAACACAGCTGGCATCTCCTGAGGATGCATGTTTCTGCAGCAAGCCCCACATGGGAGAGATCAACCCTGGAGAACACAGGCAAAATGTACCTAGAAATCACAATGGGGCAAGTTTCAAAAAGACTCACGGCTACAACATCTAGGCAGGCCTGAGGAATCCTGCAGATGCTTTTGGATGTGTAGGGATTTTGTGGTTTATCCCTGGGGCTGTGATTTATGTTTCTTCAGGCTGGCTCACATCTGCACTCTCCTAGCATCATGGGACTATCCCGTGGATCCCACAGAAAATACAGGTGAGAATCCACCACCAACACATCTCCATGGAAGATTTCCTTCTCTGTCAAGCTTCTGGGAGTTGTCACTAGGCAACGGTGACTTTTACTGTGAAGCTAACCAGAGTTCACACTCAAGTGTGTTTCCCTGAGACTAGGGCATGCCCCTTAATGGGTAGACTCAAGCGCTGGCTGTCAGAACTGTCAGCCTGCCTAAGCAGAGGAAAATGGTACATGCAGAATCAGCCTGGTATCAGGAAAAAGGCTGCTTGGGAAAACCCACTGCACGGCCCTAAAAGTCTCAACCTCAGGGTCCCTTCGGGCCACCTCTGTGGTTGGGTCAGGCTGGAGAAGGAGGCATTTTGAGACTGAGGTGGTCACTGGAAGCTGCTCTTCTGACTCCATTCCTAAAAGAGGCTGTGTGCAAGATTCGGGCCACATGGGGATTGGAATATTGTCTGGTGTGCTGTTGAGTGTTCTTTGCATGAGAGAATCATAGCTGAGACCCCAGAGTCAGGTGCAAGAAAAAGATGGCTGGGCTCTAGACCTTACTGTTTTCCTTATCTTGGGCCCCACAGAGACTCTCTGGAATAGAAAAGGAACCATAATAAAGGAAAGTCCAAGGTGGAGCTGTGTTTTCACCCTTAGGACTGGCCTGTCATGTGTGCAGATGATGTTGAGACAGTTTTTCAGAGGCTGTCTGTGGCAAACAGAAGTCTGAAAAAGGTGTCCAGTAGAGTTGAAGAGTCACGCTGTGGATTCCACATAAAAGAAAAAAAAAATCAAGGCTTGCCTTGGAGAAGGACCTGCCTTACCCTGGAGTCCAAGCAATATTTCATGATTCCTGTCAGAGGATGAAAAGCCTCCTGCACAGTGCAAACAACCTCAGCCCCCACAAGGACACAATGACCCAAAACCTGGAGCACAGCCAGGCTACCTGAAGTCCCTTTTGCTCTTTTAAATCCTTGGCAGCAAAATAATCTATGGTGAGAAGCAGTCCCATCCAGCAACAGACCAATGAAAGAACACCTCCAGAATGAGAAAGCAGTAGAGATGAAATGAAACAGAGGCCAGATTACAGGAAAAATTCAGACACAGCTGCCTTCTTCTCATCCTACAGGTATCATGAAGACCTCTGCTAGAAGTGGGACAACAAGAGTTTCCTTGTCAGAAGCTGTATTGGGAATTTACATTTTTAAGAGTATCACAGTTGCCCAGTCGTTAAAACATGACAGTGTTTTGAAGAAAACACTCAAGTAATAAATTTCTATGAGGGTCATCCTTCATAAAGTGGGAGATGTTTAGTGTGGAAGACATTAAGCAAGACCCAGGAAACCCTAGGCCAATGAGGAACATGGAAGTAAGGAAAAGAAGAGTCAAGTGTGGAGGCCACATCCCACCCAGCATCTATCAATAGCACTCCCATTTGGATCTGGGTATGACAGCTCTCAAATTGGGAGTTTGCCATTATGGCCTCAGTTTGCACTCCAAGATTTCCCTGCACATTAGAATACTCCCACCTGAACACCAGGCCTTTGTGAGGACTGCTAGTCATAATAAGGTAATACAGGGATGCATTTGAAAGAACCTTCTCTGTAATCTATCTTCCCCTTTTTTTCTGGTGAAGGTGCTGGGACCCATCCACACCTCACCAGATTGTACCCTCACCCCTATCTGCCCTAATCACTGCTCACACTCTCTGAGCCAGAGTGAAATCCCAAGATGGTGGAGAAGTGTCTCCTCATAAGGTAAAGCATGCTGTGAACCAAATTCAAGGTAAATTCAAGGGTATCTGCAGACAGGACTGCTAGTGTCTCTCCCTGGGTTGGCCACAGGACAATGAAACACTGGGAGATGTCTGTTCTTGGGTGTTATGTACTTCTCTTTTTTTCTAGAACAGTGGCTGTTTTTGCAGTGTGAGGTGATTTGGACTTTGGGGGGTCTCAGCCAACCTCCAAATTAACTGCAAATCCATGATCCAGAGAAAAATAATAAACACAGAGCTCCACAGCCCTAGCAGAGCTACACTGATAGGTCACCAAAAAGTTGAGAGACTGAAAAGGAAAAAATAGAAAGAAGAAGAAGAAGAAAAAAAGCAGCACTGCAGTGTGTTAGCTGCATTTCTTTAAGCAGACTCCACTTACAGACACACACACACACAAACACCCAAAGCCACACACTCACACAGACATCAAACACACGGAACACTCTCAGAGAAACACCCAACCTGACAACTTTTGGGTTGCATGCTTCTGCAGGAAGCCCCACCTGGGAGAAAGCAACCACAAGGAAAACAGGCAGGTTTTGCCGATAAATCACAGTGGGGTAAGATTCAAAAAGACTAACCTCTAAAATGTCTAGGCAGGCCTGAAACATCCTGCAGATTTTTTGGAACCTCAGGGATTTTGCAGTTTATTCTGGGACTCTGATGACATTTCTTCAGGCTGGCTCACGTCTGCCCTCTCCTAGGATCATGGGACTATCCCCTGGATCCCACAGAGGAGAGAGGCACAGTCAATCTCTGACACACCTTCACGATGACTTATTTTCAGCCAAGCTGCAGGGACTTGTCACTAGGCAGTGGCAGCAGTGATTATGATGCTAGCTATATTTCACAGCTCAGCTCATACCTGGTGACCTGATATTAGTGCCTGCCCATTAGTGATGCAGGCAGGTATATCTAGCAGTCAGAAATGTTATCCTGCCTTAAAAAAAAAAACAAAAAAAAAACTACAGGCAGATCTGGCCTGGGAAAAACACTTCCTGTGATAACCCACTGTGGGATTCTAAAATCACGACCTTACGGCCCATTTGGGCCGTCTTCGTAGTCGGGCTTCTCTGGAGGAGGAGGCATTTCCAGACTTTGAGGTGGTCTCTGGAAACTCCTGTTCTGCCTCCATACCTGAAAGAGGCTGTGTGCAGGAATGGAGTTCCATGGGTATCGGAATATAGTCTGGTGGTTGTTGTTGGGTCTTTGGGTGATGGAATCTTACCTGAGACCCCAGAGGTGGGTGTCTGCAAAAGACGACCAGGCCCTTGACTTCACTGCCTCCCTTTATCCTGGATATCTCTGGTGCTCTCTGGGAAAGGCATGAACCATGACAACGTCAAGTGCAGTTTGAAGCAGTGTTCTTACATGTCAAACTGGCCTCTTACAGGTACAGATGAGGTTGAGAGAGTGTCTCAGAGGCCGTATGTGGTGACTGCAAGCCCGAAAATTTTGTCCATTTGCATGGTTGAGGGGTACTGTGGACCCGCCATGAAACCAAAGAAAAGTCAAGACTCACCAGAGTGAATGAGCTGGCTTGTGCAGGAGTCCAAGCAACGTTCAAATGTTCCTGCCAGAGAAACCAACGTCTCCTGCAAAGTGCAAACAATTTCAGCCCCCACAAAGAGGCCAAGAACCATAACCTGGAACACAGCTAGCCTACCCCCAGTCCCTTTTTTCTCCCTGAAATCCCTGGCAGCCAATAGATCTGTGGAGAGAGGCCATTCCATCCAACAACAGTCCAATGAAAGACACCCTCCACAATGAGAAAGGCCATACAGATCCAGTGAAACCAATCTTAGATTAAAAGGCAAAAGTCAGACATGGCTACCTGCTTCTCTTCCTACAAGAATCATGCCTCCCACTCATAGCAGTGGGAAATCGAGAGTTTCCTTGTTGGCTGGTGCATTGGGAATTTAAGGTTTTAAAAGTACCACAGCTGCTGAGTCATTAAACTGTGACAGTCTTGGGAAGGAAACACTCACACAATGGATTAACAGGAGGATCATCTTCCATGAACCTGGAAACGTTTAGTGTGCAAGACATTGAGCCAGACTCAGGAAATGCTAGGCCTTCGAAGAGCATGGAAATCAGGAAAAGAAGACACAAGTGATGAGGCTACATCTTACCCAGAATCAATCGATCCCATTTCCATTTGGCTCATGGTATGAAAGCCATCAAAAATAGATTTTACCAGGTTGGCCACAGTTTGCATTCTTAATGTTCCCTGCACGTTGGAGTACTCCTACCTGAATACCAGGCCGTGGTGTGGACTGGTTGTGCAATTAAGAGAATGCTGGAATGCAGTTGGAAGCAACTTCTGTGTCATCTGTCTTCACATTTTTTACAGGTGAAGGTGCAGAACCCCATCCACCTCTCACCAGATTGTATCCTCACCACTAGGTAACCTTCTGGCTGCTCACACTCTCTGTCTCAGAATGACATCTGAAGATGATGGAGGAGTGTTCCCTCATGACATGAAGCAACTGCTCAGCTGGGAACCCAATTAGAGGTAAATTCAAGGGGCCCTGTGGGCAAAACTGCTAGTATTTCTTCCACGGTTTACACTGGGAGATGTCTGTTCTTTGGTGTGGTGTGCACTTCTTCTTTCTAAAAGATTGGCTTTTGTTGCAGGGGGAGGCTATTTGGACCCCAGAGTTTCTCAGTTAGCCTCCTAATTTACTGCAGATTGATGATCCACAACATATAAAGAAGAAGGAGCCAAAAGCCCAAGCAAAGCCACAAAGACAAGCCGCTGAAAGGTTGGGAGACTGAGAAAAAAAAAAAAGAAGAAGAGAAGAAGGACGAAGAAGCCCGGAAATGCATTAGCCACATTCCTTTAAGCACACTCCAGTTACAGGCACATGCACAAACACACAAACACAATGCCACACACATAGGCAGACATCAAACACATGCAACACTCCCACAGAAATACACAGCCCATCAGTCTCTGAGGCTCCATAGTTGTTCAGGAAACCCCACCTGGGAGAGAGCAACCCCAGATAACAAAGGTTGGCTGTACATAGAAATCACAATGGGGAAAGATTCCAAAAGACACACTCCTACAACGTCTAGGCAGGCCTGAGACTTCCTTTACATTGTTTTGGATCCTTTTGTGGTTTATTTCTGGGGCTCTGCTTGACATTTCTTCAGGATGGCTTATGTCTTCTCTCTCCTAGGATCAGAGGACTATCCCTTGGATACCACAGAGAAGACACGTGAGAGTCTACCGCCAATGCCCCTCCAAGAATGTTTCCTTTTTTTGCCAAGCCACAGGGACCTGTCACTGTGCAATGGTGGCATTGATTGTGATGCTAGCCATAATTCACAACTTAGGCCTGGTCCCCTGACACTAGCTCGTGCCCATTTGTGAGACAGCCTGGTGCAACTTGCTCTCAGAGATGTCAGCCTGCATAAACAGAGAAAAATTTTACAGGTAAAGCCGTCCTAGTATATAGAAAAAAGCTCCCTGTGATAATCCACTGTGGGACCCTAAAATCTCTGCCTCACCACTAGTTTGTGCTGTCTCCGTTGTAGGGTCCCTCTGGAGGAGGAGGCCTTTCGAGACAGTGAGGTGATCACTGGAAACTGCTCTTCTGACTCCATTGATGAAAGAGGCTGTGTACAGAAATCAAGTCCCATGGGTATTGGAATATAGTCTGATGAGTTGTTGAGGAGTCTTTGGGTGATGAAATCATATCTGAGATCCAGGAGGCAGGTGTCAGTGAAAGGTGGTGGGCTCTTGACCTCACTGCCTCCTTCATCCTGGGCCTTGCAGGTGCTCTCTTGGAAAGGCAGGAATCACGGCAAAGGCAATTCCAATATGTAACAGTGTTCTCAAGCCTTGAACTGACCTCTCACTTGTGCAGATGAGGGAAGATGAGGTTGGGACAGTGTCTCAGAGGATGTCTGTGGCAATTGTAAGCCTAAAAAATGTGTTCATTAATGCTGTTGAGGGGCACCGTTGACCCCACAAGAAACTAAAGAAAAATTAAGGCTCTTCTGAGCAAATGAGTTTACTTGTCCAAGCAGCTTTCAAAGATTTCTGTCAAAGAACCCAAAGCCTCCTTCAAAGTGGAAACACCCTCAGCCCTCACAATGAGACAATGACCACAGTCTGGGGGCAGTCAGCCTACCTTAAGTTGCTTTTGTTCCCTGACATCTCTGGCAGCCAAAATATCTGTGGTGTGAGTCAGTTCATCCAGCAACAGCCCAATGAAAGACTCCCTCCACAATGGGAAAAGACTTGCAAATGCAGTGAAACAGAGCCTAGATTACCAGGTAAGAGCCAGACACAGCTGTCTCCTTCTCATGCTACAGGAATCATGCAGCTCCCTGATAGAAGTGGGAGAACAAGAGTATCCTTTTTGGTCCCTGGAATGGGAATTTACATTTTTAAAGACATCACAGCTGCCCAGTAATTAAACTGTGACAGTGCTTAGAAGGAAACCATCATGCAATGGATTCCTATGAGGGTCATCCTCTGTTAAGTGGAAATGTTTATTGTGGAAGACGTTGAGAAAGACCCAGGAAACCCTAGGCCAATAAGTAATATGGAAGTCTGAAAAAGAAGATGCAAGTGTGGAAGCCACATCCCACCCAGCATTATCCTTTTTACTCCTATTTTTCTCTGGGTATGAAAGCCCTCAATTAAGGAGTTTGCCAGGTTGGCCCTAGGTTGTACTTCAAATGTACCCTGCATGTTAGAGTCTTCCATCTGAACACTGGGCCATGGTATGGGCTGCTTGTGCAATGAAGATAATGTGGGGATGGTTTTGGAAGCACTTCTGTGTCATTTGTCTTCACATTTATTGCAGGTGAAAGTGCAGGACCCCATCCACCCCTTAGCAGACTGTATCCTCACCCATATCTGACCTTATTGTTACTCATATTCTATGTCACAGGATGAAATCCTACAATGGTGAAAAATTGCCCCCTCTTGACATGAAGCACCTGCTCAGCTGGTAACCAAATTCATGATAAATTCAAGGGGCCCCATGGACAAGACTGACAGTATCTCTCACTGGGTCAGCCACAGGGCAATGAAACATTGGAAGATGTATATTATTTGGGGTTGTGTGTTCCTCTTCTTTCTAGAAGAGTGATTTTTTTGTTGTTGTTGCAAGGAGAGGTGATTTGGATGCCAGAAGCTCTCCCCCCTCCTCCCAATTCACTATGGTTTCATGATCCACAGAAATTAGAGAGCATGGAATCCCACAGTCCAAGCAGAACCACACAAACAGGACACCAAAAGGTTGGGAGAAAAAAAAAGAATTGCTGAAGTGTGTTAGCCACATTCCTTTAAGCAGACTTCACTTACAGGCACACAAACACACACAGAAACACAAACACAGTCACACACACGCAGACATGAAACACCCAAAACACTCCCATAGAAACCCACAGCATGGCACCTCCTGAGGTTGCATGGTTCTGCAAGAAGCCTCACCTGAGAGATGGCAACCCCAAGGAACACAGGAGGGCAAGTGTGGAGGCCACATCCCACTCAGCATCAATCCATTCCACTCAGATTTTGCTCCAGGTATGAGAGCTCTCAAATTGGAATTTTGCCAGGATAGCCCCAATTTGCACTCTAAATGTTCCTTTCACGTGGGAGTAATCATACTTGAACACAGGGGCCATGGTGTGGACCATTTCTACAATTAAGGGAATGCAGGGATGGAGTTAGAAGCAACTTCTGTGTTATCTATCTTTAATTTTTTTTGCAGGTGAAGCTGCTAGACCCCTTCCACCCCTCTCCAGATTGTATCCTCTCCCTATATGACCTTACTGCTGCTCACACTTGATGTCCCAGAATGAAATTCCAACACAATTTCAGAGTGTCACCTTATGATGTGAAATGCCTACTTGGGTGGGAATCGAATTCAAGGTAAATTCAAAGCCCCTGCAGTCAGGACTGCTAGTTTCTCTCCCTGTATTGGCTGCAAGAAAATGAAACACTGGAAGATTTACATTTTTTGTGATGTTGGTGTGCTCCTCTTCTTGCTAGGTGAGTGTTTTTTTTTTTTTTTTTTTTTTGGAAAGGGAGGTGATTTGAACTCCAGCTGTTCTTGGACCAACTCACAAACCTTTGCAGATTCATGATCAACAGAAAATAAAGAACACGGAGCCCTGCAGCCTAAGCAAAGGCAAAAAGACAGGCCACCAAAGGTTGGGGGACTCAAAAAAAAAACAAAGAAGTGTTGTAGTGCATCAGCCACATTCCTTTAAGCAGACTCTAATTACAGGAACACATACACACACACACACAATGCTACACACACGCAGACATCCAACTCTCACCACACTCCCACAGAAACACAAAGACCTGCAGCTCCTGAAACTATGTGGTTCTGCAGGAAACACTAACTGGGAGACAGCAACCCTGGGAAACAGGTAGGCTGTACCTAAAAAACAGTGCAGCAAACTTAAAAAAATTCACATCTACAACGTCTTGGCAGGCCTGAGTAGTCCTTCAGATATTGTGGATACTTAGGAATTTTGTGGTCTATTTCTGGGGCTGTGCTTGGCTTTTCTTCAGACTGGCTCATGTCTGCCTTCTTCTAGGATCATGGGATTATCCTGTGGATCCCACAAAAAAGACAGGTGAGTGTCCATGCCCGACGCACCTCCACAGAGTTCTCCTTCTTTGCCAAGCCACAGGGACTTGCCACTAGGCAATGGTGACATTCATTGTGACGTTAACCAAAACTCAAAATCAGCCCAATGCCCTGACTTTAGCACATGCATATTCAAGAGGCAGGCTCAGGTGCCCAGCTGTCAGAGGTGTCAGCCTGCCTAAGCAGAGGAAAATGGTATCGGCAGAGCTGGGCTGCTATTGGGAAAAAGGCTGCCTATTAAAGCCTACTGCATGAACCTAAAATTCTCAACCTCGGGACCCTTTCTAGCAGTCTCTGTGGTTAGGCCCAGCTGGATGAGGAGGCATTTCAAGACTCTAATGTGGTCAGTGGAAACTGCCCTTCTGAATCCATGCCCGACAGAGGCTGTGTGCAAGAATCAGGTCCCATGGGGATTCGAATTTTGTCTGTAGTGTTGTTGAGGGTTCTTTAAGTGTTAGAATTATACTTTAGAAACCAGAGGTAAATATCAGTGAAAGATGGCTGGGGTCTTGACCTCGCTGCCTCCCTTCATCCTGGACCTCTCAGGGCTGTCTTGGAAAGGCAGGAACCAAGAAAAATGCAAGTCCACATTGGAGCAGTGTTCTCACACCTCGGACTGTCCACTCACAGGTGGAGATGAGTTTGAGATAATGCCCCAGAGGCCGTCTGTAGTGATGGTAAGCCCAAAAAGAGTGTCCAGTAGTTCTGTTGAGGGTCACTCTG
The DNA here is from genome assembly GCF_000001405.40 of Homo sapiens. Taxonomy (NCBI): domain Eukaryota; kingdom Metazoa; phylum Chordata; class Mammalia; order Primates; family Hominidae; genus Homo; species Homo sapiens. The sequence continues at coordinate 8,601,204 of NC_000024.10, read as the reverse complement.
GATTCCTCATAAAAGCAAAGAAAAACCAAGGTTCACCTTAGAGACAGATCTGCCTTTTTCTGGATTCCAAGCAATTCTCAGTGATTCCTATCAGAGGACCCAAAAGCCTCCTACAAAGTGCAACCCACCTCAACCCCGACAATGAGATTATGACCCACAACCTGGAGCCAGCCTACCTGAAGTCCCTTCAGCTCTCTGAAGTCACTGTCACCTTGATAATATTTGGTCAAAGTCAGTCCCATCCAGGAACAAGCCAATAAAAGATCCCCTCCACAAAGAGAAGGCTGTGCAGATGAAATGAAACAGAGGCTAGATTATCAGGCAAAAGCCAGACACAGCTAAGTGCTTCTCATTCTAACAGATTCATGCAGCCCTCTGATAGAAGTGAGAGAACAAGAGTTTTCTTATTGGTGGCTGTAATGGGAATTCTTGGTTTTAAAATTATCAAAGCTGCCCAGTCATTAAAACATGACAGTGTTTAGAAGGAAACACTCACTCAATGGATTCCCACTGGGGTCGTTCTCCATGACCTTGGAAACATTTAGTGTAGAGGTCGATGAGCCAATCCCAGGAAACACTAGGCCGATGAGAAACAAGAAAGTCAGTAAAAGTAGAGGCAAGTGTATAGGCCACATCCCACTCAGCATCAATAGATTTCAGTTTCATTTGGCTCTGGGTATGAAAGTCCTCAAATTGGGAGTTGTCCAGGGTGGCCCCAATTTGCACTCCAAATATTCCTTGCAGGTTGGAGTACTCCTGCCTTAACACCGAACCATGGTGTTGACTGCTTGTGCAATTAAGAGAATGCAGGGATAAGGTTGAAAGCACTTTCTGTGTCACCTGTCTTCATTTTTATTGCAGGTGAAGTTGCGGGACCCCACCCATCCCTCACCAGATTTTATACTCACCCCTATATGATCATATTGCTGCTCACACTCTATGTTTCAGAATGAAATCTCAAGGCTTTGCAGAAGTGCCACTTCATGACATGAACCACCTGCTCATGTGGCAACCGAATTCAAAATAAATTCAAAATAAATTCAAAAGTCCTGCAGACAGGACTGCTAGTTTTTCTCCCTGGGTTGGCTGCAGAACAATGAAACAATTGGAGATGTCTGTTCTTGGATGTTTTATGCTCCTATTCTTTCTAGAAGAATTTTTTTTTTTTTTTTTTTTTTTTGCATGGGGAGGTGAAGTGGACACCAGCAGGTCACAGCCAGTGTCCAAATTCACTTCTATTCATGATCCACAGAAAAATTAAAGAACATGGAGCCCTTCAGCCTAAGAAGAGCCACACAAACAGACCACCTAAAGGTTGGGAGATGCAAATAAAAAAGAATTGCTGCAGGGCATTAGCCACATTCTTTTAAGCAGGCTTGACTTACAGGCACTTACACGAGTGCACACACACACACACACACACAAAGGCAGAAAGTCACACCTACAAGCAGACATCTAAGAACTGCTTCTGAGGTTGCATGGTTCTGCAGGAAGCCTCACCTGGGTGAGAGCAATTCTGGGCAACACAGACAGGGTGCTTCTAGAAATCACAGTGGAGCAAGTTTCAAAAAACTCAACTCTACAATGTGTAGGCAGGCCTGCTGCATTCTACAAATCCTTCTGAAATCTTAGAGATTTTGTGGTTTATTCTTGGGGTTCTACTTGACTTTTTATCATGCTGGCTCAGGTCTGCCCTGTCCTGGGATCATGGGACTACATCATGGATCCCACAGAGAAGACAGGTGAGAGTCCACAGCCCATATGCCTTCACGGAGTTCTCCTCCCCTAAGCCGCAGAGACTTATTGTTAGGCAACAGTGACATTCACTGTGATGCTAGCCAGAGCTCACAATCAAGCCTGGTGCCCTGAGACTAGCGCCTGTGTAAGCACAAAGTAGGTTCTGGTGCCAGGCTATCAGAGCTGTCAGCCTGCCTAAGCAGAGGAAAATAGTACAGATGAAAGCGGCCTGATATCTGAAAAAAAGCCTGCCTGCAAGTATCCACTGAGGGACCCTAAAAATTTTGACCTCAGGGCCCCTTCTGGCAGTCTCTGTGGTTGGGTCCTGCTACAGGAGGAAGCGTTTTGAAACTGTGAGGTCTTCACTCACAACTCTTCTTCTGATTTCATTTCTCAGAGAGGTTGCGTGAAATAATTGGGTCCCATGGGGACTGGAATTTGATCTGGTGTGCTGTCGAGGTATTTTGGATGATTGAATCATACCTGAGACTCCAGAGGTGGAGTCTCTGTCAGTGAAAGATGGCCAGGATATTCACCTCACTGCCTCCCTTCATCCTGAGCTTCACAGTGGCCATCTGGGAAAGGCAGGAAACCTCTGGTAATGGCAGAAACCATGACAAAGGCAAGTCCAAGGTGGAGAAGTGTTCTCACACCTTGGACTGGCTTCTCAAGGGTGAAGATGAGGTTGAGACAGTTTCTCAGAGGCCGTCTCTGGCAATGGAAATCCCGAAATAAGTGTCCAGTAGTGCTGTTGTGGGGCACTGTGGATTCCCCATGAAAGCAAAGGAAAATCAAGGCTTGCCTGAGAGAATGAGCTGCCTTGTGTCCCAAATTTGCACTCCAAATGTTTCTTACACATTGGAATATTCCCACTTCAACACCAGACCATTGTGTGGACTGCTTGTGCAATTAAGAAAATGTGGGGATGGAGTTGGAAACACCTTCTGTGTCATCAGTCTTCATTTTTTTGCAGATGAAGTTGCAGGACCCCCATCCACTTCTCACCAGATTGTATCCTCACCCCATCTGACTTTATTGCTGCCCACACTCTATGTAACAGGATAAAATTCCAAGATGATGGAAGAGTTCTCCCTCATGATGTGAAGCACCTGATTGGTTGGGAACTGAATTACAGATACATTCAAGGGCCCTGCGGACAGGACAGCCAGTGTCTCTTCCTGGGTTGACCACACGAAAATGAAATGATGGAGATGTCTGTTTTTTGGAGAAGAGTGCTCCCTTTCTTTGTAGACGAAAGGCTTTTTATTTTATTTATTTATTTATTTATTTATTTATTTATTTATTTATTTATTTTTTGCAGTGGGAGAGGATTTGAATGCCAGTGGGTCTCAGCACACAATTAACTATAGATTCATGAACCACAGGAAAATAAAGAACAAAGAGCTGGGCAGCCCAAGCAAAGCCACAAAGACAGACAACCAAAAGGTTGTGAGACTGAAAAAAAAAAGAAAGAGAGAAGAAGAAGGGCTGAAGTGTGTTAGCCACATTCCATTAAGCAGACTCCACTTACAGCCACACACACACACACACACACACACACACACACACACACAAATACACACCACACACAGACGCATAAATCTAACACTTGCAATACTCCCACAGAAACACATGGCCTGGCAGCTCCTGAGGCAGTGTGGTTCTGCAGAAAGCCCCATCTAGGAGAGAGCAACCCTGGGGAACACAGATGATCTGTACCTAGAAATCACAGTGGGGCAAGATTCAAAAAGACTCACCCGTACAACGTCTAGGCAGGCCTGAGGAAATGGCCCTTTTGACACCATTCACGAAAGAGGCTGTGTGCAGTAATCAAGTCCCGTGGGTATTGGAATATATTCTGGCAGTTGGGCCCTTAACCTCATTGCCTCCCTTCATCCTGGGCCTCACAAAGGCTTTCTGGGAAAGTCAAGAACCATGAAAAATGAAAGTCCAATATGTAGCAGGGTTCTCAAACCTTGAATTGGCCTCTCATGGGTGCAGATGATGTTGAGACCCTGTCTAAGAGGATGTCTGTGGTGATTGCAAGCATGAAAATGATGTTCATTAGTGCTGTTGAGGGACACTGTGGACCCCACATGAAACCAAGGAAAAGTTAAGGCTCTTCTGAACAAATGAGCTTACTTGTGCTAGAGTCCAGGCAACATTCAAACATTCCCATCAGAGAACCCAAAGCCTCCTGCAAAGTGCAAACAAACTCAGCCCCCACAAAGAGAAAACAACCCACTATCTGGATCACAACCAGCATACCTGAAGTCTCTTATGCTCGCTGAAGTTCCTGGCAGCTAAGTGATCTGTGGTGCCAGGCAGTCCCATCCAGGAACAGCCCAAAGGAAGAGACTCTCTAAAATGAGAAGTCCATGCAGGTGTAATGAAACAGAGGCTAGATGACCAGCCAAAGCCAGACATGATAGCCTGTTTCTTATCTTACAGGAATCAAGCAGCCCTCCAATAGAAATGGGAAAACAAGACATTCCTTATTGGTGGCTGTAATGGGATTTTATGGTTTTAAAAGTATCAAAGCTGCCCAGTCATTAAAACGTGACAGTGTTTAAAAGGAAACACTCACACAATGGATTCCCATGAGGATCGTTCTAAGTGAAGTTTTAAACGTTTTGTGTTGAAGTCGTTAAGCCAGAATGAGGAAACCCTAGGCAGATGAGGAACAGGAAGTCAAGAAAAGAAGAGAGTGCTGCTCACACTCTGTGTCCCAGGATGACATCCCAAGACAATAGACAATAGAGGAGTGCCCCCTTACAATATGAAGCATCTGCTTGGCTGGGAACTGAGTTCAAGGTACATTCAAGGGGCCCTGCAGACAGGACTGCTACTATCCCTTCTTGGATTGGCCATATGCCTATGATACACTGGCAGATGTGTTTTTTGGTGTGGTATGCTCCTCTTCTTTCTAGTAGAGTGGCTATTTTGGCACAGGTGATTTGGACACCGGTGGGTCTCAGCACCCCTCCCACTTCACTGTGGATTCACGATCCGCAGAAAATTAGAGAATTTGGAGCCCCACAGCCCAGGTAGAGACACAATGAAAGGCCATCAAACGTTTGTGAGACATAAAAAAAAAAATAAGAGAAGTTCTGAAGTGTGTTAGCCACATTTCTTCAAGAGAACTCCACATACAGGCACACACATACACACATACACACACACACAAACACATGAGGCCACAGACTCATGCAGATGTCCAAGATTCACCACAATCCTAAAGAAACAGACAGCTTGACAGCTTCTGAGTCTTTGTGGTTCTGCAGGAAACCCCACCTGGGAGATAACAGCCCTGGGGAACACAGGCAGGCTGTACCTCAAAATCGCAGCGTGGCAATTTTCAAAAAGACTCACCCCACAACCTTTAGGCAAGCCTGAGGCATCGTGCAGATCATTTTGGATGCATAGGTATTTCACTGTTTATTTATGGGGCTCTGCTTGATGTTTCTTCACACTGGCAAATATCTGCCCTCTCCTAGGATCATGGGATTATTCCACGGATCCCAAAGAGAACACAGGGGAGATTCAATTGCTGATGCACCTCCAAGGAGTTTTCCTTCTCTGGCAAGCTGCAGGGACTTGTCGCTAGGCAAAGGTGGCATACATTGTGACTCTAGCCAGAGCTCACAGCTCAGGCCTGGTGCCCTGAGACAAACACATGAGCATTCATAAAGCCAGCTCTGGTGCCCGGCTGTCAGAGCTGTCAGTGCCTAAGCAGTGGAAAATGGTACAGACAGAATTGGCCTGGTATTAGGAAAAATTATACATGCGACAAACCACTGTGGGACCCTAAAAGTCTCCTCCTAGGGCCCCTTCAGAACATCTCTGTGGTCATTTCCCATTGGAAGTGGAGGGGTTTTGAGACGCTGAGGTGGTCCCTGGAAACTGCTTTTCTGACTTCATTTCTGAAAGAGGCTGTGTGCAAGAATGAGGTCCCATTCAGTTTGGAATATAGTCTGGTGAGTGTTTGAGACGTTTTTAGGTGATGGAATCATACCTGAGGTCCCAGAGTTGGATGTCAGTGAAAGATGATTGTGTCCTTAATCTCACTGCCTCCCTTCATCCTGGGCCTTGCAGTGGCTCTCTGGGAAAGCCAGGAACACTGACAATGGCAATTCCAAAGTGGAGTAGTGTTCTCCCACCTGGGAAAGGCCTCCCACTGGTGCAGATGAAGTTGAGACAATGTCTCAGATGCCCTCTGTGGCAATTGCCAGCCTGAGAATGGTGTCCAGTAGCGCTGTTGAGAAACACAATGGATCCTACATGAAAAAACAAAAAATTAAACCTTGCCTGAGAGAATGAGCTGATTTGTGCTGGAGTCCTAGCAATGTTCCAAGATTCCTTTCAGATGACCAAAAAGCCTCCTGCAAATTTCAAACAACCCCAGTCCCCACATTGAGAACACAATCCAAAACCTGGAACACAGAAAGTCTATTCGAAGTCCCTTTTGCTCCCTGAAACTTCTGACAGCCAAAAGATCTGTGGCAAGAGGCTGTATTATCCAGTAACAGCCCAATGAAAGGCAAGCTCCACAACGAGAATGGATGTGCAGATGAAATAAAACAGAACCTAGCCAAAAGCCAGACATGCCTTCTGCTTCTCATCCAACAGGAATAATGTAGACCCATGATAGAAGTGGGAGAATAAGAGTTTCCTTGTTGGCGGCTAGAACAGGAATTTATGGTGTTAAATGTATCACAGCTGCTCAGTCATTAAAACATGATAGTGTTTGGAAGGAAACACTCATGCAATGGATTTCCATGAGGGTCATCTTCCATGACAAGGCAAATGTTTAATGTGAAAGATGTGGAGCCAGATCTAGGAAACTCTAGGGTGGAGAAGAACATGGAAGTCAAAAAAAGAAGAGGCAAGTGTAGAGGCCACATAGAACCCAGCGTCAATCCATCCCACTCCCATTTGGCTCTGGGTTTGAAATTTCTCATATTGAGAGTTTGCCAGGATGGCCCCAGTTTGCAGTCTAAATGTTCCCTGCACGTTGGAGTGTTCCCACATGAACACTAGGCCATGGTGTAGACTGCTTGTGCAATTAAAAGAATGCAGGGATGCAGTTTAAAGCAGCTTCTGTGTCATGTGTCTTCACTTTTATGCAGGTGAAGTTGCAGGATGACATACACCACTCACCAGATTGTTTCTTCACCCCTCTCTGACCTTATTACTGCTCACAAACTCTAACCCAAAATGAAATCCTAAGATGATACAGGAGTGCCCCCTCACAACATGGAGCACCTGCTCATCTGGGAACTGAATTTGAGGTAAATGCAAGGGCCTCTGTGGATAAGACTGCTAGTGTCTCTCCCTGGGTTGGCTGCAGGACAATGAAACATTGGGAGATGTCTGCTCTTGGGTGTGGTGTGCTCCTCTTCTTTCTAAAAGAGTGTCTTTTTTTTTTTTTTTTTTTTTTTTTTGCAGGGGGAGGTGATTTGGAACCTGGTGCATCTCCATCAGCCTCCCAATTCACTGCAAATTAATGATCCACAGAAAAGTAAAGAACATGGAACCACAGCCTAAGCACACAGACAGGCCATGGAAAAGTTAGGAGACTAGAAAAAAAGAGAAGAAATAGCACTACAGTGCGTTTTTCTTTTAAGCAGTGTATTCTTTTAAGCAGACTCCACTTACAGGCACACATACACACACACACCAAGCCACAAACACATGTAGACATCAAACACCCGCAAAACCCTCCAACAGAAACACAGCCTGGCAGCTTCTCAGGCTGCTAGGTTATGCAGGAAGCCCCACCTGGGAGAGAGGGTCCATGGGGAACACAGGCAGGCTGTACCTAGAAATCACAATGGGACAAGTTTCAAAAAGTCTCACCCCATAAAATCTAGGCAACCCTGAGACATGATGCAGATCATTTTTGATACATAGGGATTTTACAGCTTATTTCTGGGGCTTTTCTTGATGTTTCTTCAGCCTGGCTTACCTCTGCCCTGTCCTAGATTCAAGGGACTATTCTTTGGATCCCACAGAGAAGACAGGGTAGTGTCCAACACCGACACACCTCCAAAGAGTTATCCTTTTTGGCCAATCGGCAGGAACTTGTTGCTAGTCAAAAGTGGCATTCACTGTGACTCTAGCCAGAGCTCATAGCTCAGGCCTGGTGACCTGAGACAAGTGTGTGCACATTCACAAAGCGGGCTCTGGCAACTGGCTGTCAGAGCTGTCAGACTGCCTAAGGAGTGGAAAATGGTACAGGTAGAGCCGGCCTGGTATCAGGAAAAGTCGGCATGTGATAATACACTGTAGAACCCTAAAATTCTCCACCTTATGGCCGCTTCAAGACATCTATGTGGTCAGGTCCCACTTGAGAAGGAGGTGTTTTGAGACTCTGAGCTGGTCACTGCAAACTACTCTTCTGACTCCACTCCCAAAAGATGTTGTGTGCAAGAGTCGGGTCTTATGGGGATGGGAATATAGTGTGGTGAGTTGCTGAGTGGTCTTTAGGTGACAGAATAATACCTGAGACCCCAGAGGTAGGTGTCAGTGAAAGATGGCCTGGCCCTTAGCCTCACTGCCTCCCTTCATCCTGGGCCTCGCTGCCACCCTCTAGGAAAGCTAGTATTACCAATAAATGCAAGTCCAAGGTCCAGCAGTATTCTCACACCTTGAAAGGGCCCCTCACAGGTGCAGATGAGGTTAAGAGAGTGTCTCAGATGTCCTTTGTGGCTACTGCCAGCCTGAAAAGGGTGCTCAGTAGTGCTGTTCAGGGTCACAGTGGACCACACATAAAAGGAACAAAAAATACAGGCTCACCTGAGAAAATGATCTGATTTGTGCTGCAGCACTTGTAACTTTCCAAGATTCCTATCAGAGAACCCCAAACCCTCCTGAAAAGTGCAAACAACCTAAGCCCCCGCATCAAGAATATGACGTACAATCTAGAGCTCAGCAAGCCTATTTGAAGTCCCTACTGCTTCATGAAATCCCTGGCAGCCAAATGATTTGTGGAGAGTGGCAGTCCCATCCAGCAACAGCCCTATGCAATGAGAAGGGACATTCACATGAAATGAAACAGCCTAGATTATCAGCCAGAAGCCAGACATGGATCCTTGCTTCTCACCCTGCAGGAATCATGCAGCCCTCCAATAGAAGTGAGAGAATAAGAATTTCCTTGTTGGCATCTGTAATGGGAATTTACAGTTTTAAAAGAATCACAGCTGCCCAGTCATTAAAACTTAACAGAGTTTAGAAGAAAACACTAACACAATGGATTCCCATGAGGGTCGTTCTCCATGAAATTGGAAACATTTAGTGTGAAAGACTTGGAGCCATTCCCAGGAAAACTTAGGCCAATGAGGAACACGGAAGTTGGAATTAAAAGACACAAGTTTGGAGACCACATCACACCCACCATCAATCCATCCCTCTCCCATTTGGCTCTAGGTTTGAAAGCCCTCATATGGAGAGTTTGCCAGCATGGCCCAGCTTGCACTCCAAATGTTTCTTGCATATTGCAGTACTCCCACATTAACACTAGGCTATGGTGTGGACTGTTTGTGCAATTAAGGGACTGCAGGCATGCAATTGGGAGCACCTTCTGTGTCATGGGTCTTCATTTTTTTGCAGCTGACGATGTGGGACAGCATCCACTCCTCACCATACTGTATCCTCACTCCTATCTGATGTTATTGCTGCTCACACCATCTAAACCAGAATGGAACCTCAATATGATGCAAGAGTACCCCCACCCCCCACATCATGAAGCATATGCTCAGCTGGGAACCAAATACGAGGTAAATTGAAGAGTCCCTGCAGACCGGGCTGCTGGTGTCTCTCCCTGGGTTGGTTGCAGGACAATGAAACATTGAGAGATGTTGGTCTTGGATGTGGTGTGATCCTCCTCTCTCTAGAAGAGTGGCTTACAAAAACACATAAAAAAAAAAACAAAAAAACAGGAGGAGGTGATTTGGAACCTGGTGGTACTCAGCCAGGCTTCCTGTTCGCTGCAGATTCATGATCCACAAAAAAATAAAGAACACTGAACCACGCAGCCTAAGCAGAGTCATACAGACAGGGGACCAAAAAGTTGGGAGAAATAAATAAATAGATAAATAAATAAATAAATAAATAATGCTGCAGTGCTTTAACTCCATTTCATTAAGCAGATTCCACTTACAGGCACAGACACACATACACACAGAAACACAAACGAACCAATCCACAAACACATGCAGACATCAATCACCCACAAAAGACTTCTGCAGAAACAGAGCCCAGCAGCTTCTGAGGCTGCCTCATTCTGCAGGAAACCCCACCTGGAAGACAGCAAAACTGGGGAACACGGGCAGGCTATACCTAGAAATCACAGTAGGGCAAGGTTTAAAAAGACTCACCCTACAACTAAGCAAGTCTGGGGCATCATGAAGATCCTTTTGGAAACGGATCAAGTTTATTTCTGGGGCTCTGCTTGATGTTTCTTCAGGCTGGCTTATGTCTGCCCTCTCCAAGGATCATGGGACTATTCCATGGATCCCACAGTGAAGACAGTCTGGAGTCTATGGCAGATGGACCTCTACCAAGGTCTCCTCTGCCAATCCACAAGGGCTGGTTGCTAGGCAAAGGTGGCATTCACTGTGACTCTAGCCAGAGCTCATAGCTCAGACCCGGTGCCCTGAGACAAGTGCATGCCCATTTGTGAAGTTGGCTCTGGCACCCAGCTGTCAGAGCTGTCACACTGCCTAAGCAGATAAATATGGTACAGGCAGAGCCATCCTGGTATAAGGAAAAATGTTGCCTGTGATAATACACTGCAGGACCCTAAAAGTCTCGAACTTAGGGCCCCTTCAGGACATCTCTGTGGTGGGGTCACACTAAAGAAAGAGGCATTTGAGATTCTGAGGTGGTCACTGGAAACTCCTCTTCTGACTTCATTCCCAAAAGAGGCTGTGTGCAAGAATCGAGTCCCATGGGGATTAGAATATAGTCTAGTGAGATTTTGAGGAGTCTTTAGGTGATAGAATCATCTAAAGGTTGGTGTCAGTGAAAGATGGCCTGACCCTTAACTTCACTGTCTGCCTTCATCCTGGGCCTCAAAGCGGCTCTCTGGGAAAGCCAGGAACACCGACAAAGCCAAGTCAAAAGTGGAGTAAGTGTTGTCACAATGGGGAAAGGCCTCCCATGGGTGCAGATAAGGTTGAGACAATGTCTCAGATGCTCACTGTGGCCATTGGAAATCTGAAAAAGGTGCCCAGTAGTGCTGCTGAGGGGCAATGTGGACACCACATGAAAGCATAGAATAATCAAGACTCTCCAGAGAAAATGGGCTGAATTGTGCTGGAGTGCAAGCAACGTTCAAAAATTTCTGTAACAATACTTAAATCCTCCTGCAGAGTGCAAACCACCTCAGCCCCCAAAATGAGAAAATGGCCAATGACGTTGAGCACAGCCGGCATACCTGAAGTCCATTTTGTGCCCTGAAATACCTGGCAGCCAAAAGATCTGGGGCAAGAGTCAGTCCTATCAGTCACAGCCCAGTGAAAGAGACCCCCTCCACAATGAGAAAGGATGTGTAGACGAAATGGAAGAGCCCAGAATGTCAGGAAAAAGCCAGACGTGGCTGTCTTCTCATCCTCCCAGAATCCTGCAGCCCTCCGATAGAAGTGGGAAAACAAGAGTTTCCATGATGGCAGCAGTAACTGGAATTTACCATTTTAAAAGTATCAGAGCTGCCAAGTCATTAAAAAGTGACAGTGTTACGATGAAGAACTCATGCAATGGATTTTTATGAGGGTCTCCTCCATGAAGTGGGTATGTTTAGTGTGGAAGATGTTGAGCCCTATCCAGGGAACCTAGGCCATTGAGGAACATGAAAATCAGGGAAAAAAGAGGCAAGTGTGGAGGCCACATCCCAACCGGCATCAATTCATCCTACTTTCATTTGGATCTGTGTATGAAAGCTCTCAAATTGGGAGTTTGCTGGATGGCCCCAGTTTGCACTCCAAATGTTCCCTGAATGTTGTAGTACTTCCACCTGAAAACCAGGCAATGGTGTGGACTGCTTGTGCAATTAAGGAAATGCGGGGATGCAATTGGAAGCACCATCTGTGTCATCTGTCTTTAACTTTTTTGCAGATGAATGTGTGGTACCCCATCCACTCCTCACCAGATTGTATCCTCACTCCTCTCTGACCTATTGCTGCTCACACTTTTGGTCCCAGAATAAAATTCCAAGATGATGAAGGAGTGCCTCCTTATGACATGAAGCCCCTGCTCAGATGGGAACCGAATTTGAGATAAATTCTTGAAGCACTGCAGTCAGAACAGCTAGTGTTTCTCACTGGTTTAGCCATAGGACAATGAAACACTGGAAGTTGTCTGTTTTTTGGTGTGGTGTGTTCCTCTTCTCCCTAGAAGAGTGGATATTTTTTTTGCAGGGGGAGTTGACTTGGATGCCATTGGAACAAGGCCTGCCTCCTAATTCACTGCAGATTCTTGATCCACAGAACAATAAAGAACACAGAGCCCCACAGCCCCAGCAGAGCCACACAGACATGCCTTCAAAATGATGGAGGACTCAAAAATAAGCACTGACCTGCATTATCCACATTTGTTCAAGCAGATTTCACTTACAGGCACAGAAACACCCACACACAAAAACACAGCCACACACACACAGAGACATCCAACACTCACAACACTTCCAGAGAGACACATGGCCAGGCAGATTTTAAGCCTGTGGCTGTGTGGTTCTGCAGAAAGCCTCAACTGGGAGAGTGCAACACCAGGGAAAACAGGAGGGCTGCACCTGGAAATCACAGTGAGATAAGTTTCAAAAATGTTCACCCCTGCAATATCTAGGCAAGCCTCACAAATCCTGCAGATCTTTCTGGATCCTTACAGATTTTGTGGTTTATTCCTGGGGGTCTGCTTGATGTTTCTTTAGGCTGGCTCTTGTCTGCCCTCTCCTAGGATCATGGGACTATCTTGTGGATCCCACAGAATAAACAGGTGATAATCCACTGCTGAAGTACTTCTATAGAAGCCTCCATCTCCGTCAAGCAACGAGGACCTGTTGCTAGGCAAAGGTGACATTCATTGTGAGGCTAGCCTGAGATCATAGCTTAGCCCTGGTGCCCTGAGAATAGGGCATAGACATTCACGAGGCAGGCTCGTGTGTCCAGGTGTCAATGCTTTCAGCCTGCATACACAGGGGAAACTGGTACAGAGATGGCATGGTATCTGGAAAACTGCTGCCTGTGATAACCCGCTTTGGGACCCCAGAAGTGTAAAACGTATGGCCTCTTAGGGCTGTCTCTTGGTCAGATCCTGCTGGAGAAGGAGGTGTTTCAAGACTGTGAAGTGGTCACTGGAAACTGCTCTTCTGCTCCATTCTCAAAAGTGGCTTTGTGCAAGAATCAGGTCTCATGGGGATTGGAATGTAATCAGGGTAGTTGTTGAGTGGTCTTTGGGTGGCAGAATCATACCTGAGGTCCAAGAGGTCAGTATCAGTGAAATAAGACCATACTCTTGACCTCACATCCTTCCTTCATCCTGGCCTCACAAAAGCATGTTCGAGATGGGGCAGTGTTCTAACATCTCGAACTGCCCTCTCACGGGTGCAGAAAAAGTTGAGACAGTGTCACAGAGGCTGTCTGTGTCAATTGCAAGCCTGAAAAAGATGTCCAAGTAATGCTTTTGTGGGGCAATGTGGAACCATCAAGAAAGCTAAGAAAAATCAAGGTTCACTTCTGAGAAGGAGCTGACTTGTCCTGGAGTCTCAGAAACATTCAAAGATATCTGCCAGAGGACCCAAAAGCCTCCTGCAAATGCAAAGTCAGTCACAACAATATAACCACGACACAGATCCCGCAGCATAGCAAGCCTACCCAAGTTCCCTTTTGCTCCCTGAAATTCCAGGCAGCCAAAAGATCTGAGAGGCAGTCCCATCCAGCAAAAGCTCAATGAAAGTCTCCCTGACACAATGAGAAATAACATGTAGATGAGGTGAAACAGAGCCCTGATTACAAGACAAATCCAGACACGGCTCCCTACTTCTTATCCTACAGGTATAATGCAGCCTTCTGATAGAAGTGAGAGAACAATAGTTTCCTTGTTGGCAGCTGTAATTGGAATTTATATTTTTAAAAGAAATACAGCTGCCCAGTCATTAAAACATGAGTGTTTCGAAGGAAACACTTATGCAATGGATTCTTATGAGTTCGATCTCCATGAAGTGGGAAATGTTTAGCGTGGAAGACATCAAGCCACACACGAAATATCTTAGGCTGATGAGGAACATGGAAGTCAGGAAAAGAAAAGACAAGTGTAGAGGGCACATCCTACTCAGCATCTGTTCATCCCACTTCCATTTGGCTCTGGGTATGAAAGCCTACAAATAAAAAATTTGCCAGGATGTCCCCAGTTTGCACTCCAAATGTTCTTTGCATGTTGGTATACTCCCATCTGAACAACGGGCCATGGTGTGGGCTACTTGTGCAATTAAGGGGATGGCATTGGAAGCACCTTCTGTGTCATTTTTCTTGACCTTTTTTGCAGGTTAAGGTGAGGAACCCCATCCACACCTCACCAGATTGTATCCTCACCCCTATCTGACATTGCTGCTCACACTATCTGTCCAAGAATCATAACCCAAGGTTATGGAGGAGAGCTCCTCAAGACATGAAGCACCTGCTCACCTGGGAACAGAATTTGAGGTAAATTTAAGGGTCCCTGTGGACAGAAATGATTGTGTCTCTCCCTGGGTTGGCTGCAGGACAATTAGAAACTAAGAGATGTCTGTTCTTGGGTGTGGTGTGCTTCTCTTCCTTCTAGAAGAGTGGTGCTTTTTTTGCAGAATGAGGTGATTTGGACAGTGGCCTGTCTCAGCCATGGTCTCAATTCACTGCAAATTCATGATACATGGAAAAATAAAGCACATGGAACTCTGCATCCCAAGCAGAGGCACACAGAAAGACATCAAAAGACACCAAAATGTTGGCAGACTCCACAAAATAAAGGGCTGCAGTGCATTAGCCACATTTGTTTAAGCAGAATCCACTTACAGGCACACAGACAAACACACACACACACACACACAAACACAAACAAACGCAATGCCACACACACACAGATATCTAACACTCTCAACACTCCCACAGAAACACACAACACAGCATGTCCTGAGGCTGCATGGCTCTACAGGAAGCCCCACCTGGGAGGGAGAAACAGTGAGGAACACAGGATGGATCTACCTAGAAATCAAAGTGGGGCAAGTTTCAAAAAGACTCATCCCTAAAATGACAAGATGGGCCTAAGGCATCCTGCAGATCCTTTTGAATCCTTTGGGAATTCCCAGTTTATTCCTTGGACTCCAGTTGACTTTTTTTTCAGGCCTGCTCATGTCTGCCCTCTCCTAGGATCATGGAACTATCCCATAAATCCAAAAGAGAGAAAGGCGAGGGTCCACCATTGACACATCTCCAAAAAGATCTTTTTCTCCACCAAGCCAGGGAACTTGTCGCTAGGCAACAGGGGCATTCACTGTGAAGCTAGTCAGAGCTCATAACTCAGGCCTGGTGCTTTGAGACTAATGCATTTGCTTTCATGAGGCAGGTTCTGAACCCTGGCTGTCAGAGCTGTCAGCCCGCCTAAGCAGAGGAACATGGTACAAGTAGAGCCGGCCTGGTATGAGGAAAAAAGCTGCCTGCCATAACCCACTGCCAGAACCAACAAGCCTAGACTATAGGGCCCTTTGCGTAGTCTCCTTGGTCGTGTTCTGCTGAAAGAGGAGTCACTTAGAGACTGTGAGGTGGTCACCGCATTCTGCTTCTCTGTCTCCATTCCTGAAAGAGCCTGTGTGCAAGACAGGGTTCCCATAGGCATTAGAATACCATCTGATGAGTTTTTGAGGGGTTTTTTGGTGATGGAATCATCGCTGAGACCAAAAAAGCAAGTGTCAACAAAAGATGGCCAGGCTCTTGACCTCACTGCCTCCCTTCCTCCTGGGCCTCACAGGTGCTCTCAGGGAAAGCCAGGAACCACAACAAAAACAATTCCAAGATAAAGCGTTGTTCTCACACCTCCAACTGGCCTCTCACAAGTGCTGATGAGGTTGAATCGTGTTTCAGAGGCCGTCTGTGGAGATTGCAAGCCAGAAGAAAGTGTCCACTAGTGATGATTGGGGCAAGATGAACCCCCCCCTGTGAAAGCAAAGAAAAATAAAGGCTCACCTGAGAGAATGAGCTGACTTGTGAACGAGTCCAAGCGATGTTCAAAGATTCCTGTCAGAGAAAACAAAGCCCTCCTGCAAAGTGCAAATAACATCAGCCCCCACAATGAGACCACGACCCACAACCTGGAGCATAGGCAGCCTACATAAAGTCGTTTTTGCTTCCTGGCAGCCAAAAGATCTGTAGGGAGAGGCGGCAGTCCCATCCAGCAAGAGCCAATGAAAGATCCATTCCAAAGCAAGGAAGGACGTACAGATGAAGTGAAACAGAGCATAGATTAACAGTCAAATACAGACATGGCTTCCTGCTTTTTATGTACAGAAATCATGCAGCCCTCTGATAAAAGTGGAAGAACAAGATTTTCCATGTAGGTGGCTCTGATGGGAATTTATTCTTTTAAAAGTACAAAACTGTCCAGTCACTAAAATGTGACAAAGTTTAGAAAGAAAGAATCATGCAATGGATTCCCATAAGGGTCATCCTCCATGAACTGGGAAATTTTATTGTGGAAGGCATGGAGCCAGGCCCAGGAAACCCAAGATGAAAGAGGAACATGGAAGTCACAGAAAGAAGAGGCAAATTTGGAGGCCACATTCCACCCAGCATCAATCTATCAATGTGTGTATGAATGCCCTCACATCAGGAGTTCACCAGGATGGCCCCAGTTTGTAGTCAAAATCTTCCCTGCATGTTGCAGTACTTCCACCTTAACACTGGGCTATGGAGTTAGAAGTATCTATTGTGTCATATGTCTTCATTTTCTTTACAGGTGATCTTGTGGTAGCCCAGGTACCCCTCACCAGATTGTGCCCTCACCCCATCTGACCTTATTGCTGCTCATACACTATGTCCAATGATGAAATCCAAAGATGATGGAGGATTGCCCCCCAACATGTAAATCACCTGCTCAGCTGGGAATTGAATTTGAGGTTAATTCAAAGGGCCCTTTGTACAGAACTTCTAGTGTCTCTTCCTGGGTTGGCTGAAGGAGGATGAAACAGTGGGAGATGTCTCTTTTTTGGGTGTAGTTCACTCTCTTCTTTCTAGAATAGTGGGTTTTTTTTTTTGCTTGTTTGTTTTTTCTTCCCTTTTTTTTTTTTTTTGTTTTTTGTAAACACAATGCCACAGAAGCACTCAGATATCCAACACTGGCAACACTCCCACAGAAACTCACAGCTGAGCAGCTCCTGAGGCTGTGTTGCTGCGCAGGAAGCACCAAATTGGAGAAAGTCCCACAGCCCAAACAGAGCCACATAGAAAGGCCACCAAAAGCTTGGGAAATTCAAAAAAATGAAGGGCTGAAATGCATTAGCAGCATTCCTTTAAGAGTACTCCACTTACAGTCACACACTCATACACACCCACAAACCACAATGTCATGCATACATGCAGACATCCAATACCCACAACACTCCCACAGGAAAACACAGCCTGGCAGCTCCTGAGGCTGCATGGTTCTACAGGAATACCTACCTGGGAGAGAGCAACCCCAAGAAACACTGGCATGTTATACCAAGAAATCCCAGTGGGGGAAGTTTCAAAAAAAAACTCACACTTACGACATCTAGGCAGGCTTGAGAAATCCTGCAGATCCTTTTGGATTCTTAGGGATTTTGCAGTTTATTCCTGTGGCTGTGCTTGACGTATCTTCAGGCTGGCTTATGTTTTTCCTCTCCTAGGATCATGGGACAACCCCGTGGATACCATAGAGAAGACAGGCAAGACTCCACAACCAACACACTTCCACAGAGGTCTCCTTCTCCACCAAGCAGCAGGGACTCTTTGCTAGGCAATGGTGACATTCATTGTGATGCTAACCAGAGCTCACAATGAGGCCTTGTGTTCCAAGACTAGTGCATGTGCATTTGCGATGTAGGCTTGGTCACCTGACTGTCAGATGTGTCAGCTTGCCTAATCAGAGGAACATGGTACAGGCAGAGCCGGCCTGGTAATGAGAAAATGCTGCCTGTGAAAACCTACTGCAAGACCCTAAAAGTCTTGAACTCAGTATCAGTACCCCTTCAGGCCAACTACATGGTCGAGTGATGCTGGAGGAGTCATTTTGAGAAAGTGAGCTTGTCGCTGGAAATTCCTTTTCTGACTCCATTCCCTAAAGGGGGTGTGGGCAATAATCTGGTTTCATGGGGATTGGAATGTGGTCTGGTGTGTTGTTGGGGGTCTTTGGGTGACAGAATCATACCCGAGACCCCAGAGAAGGGTGTCAGCAAAAGATGGCCAGGCTCTTGACCTAATTTCTCCTTTCATCCTGGGCCTGACAGGTGCTCTCTAGGAAAAATAAGGACCACAACAAAGACAATTCTAAGTTGGGGCAGTGTTCTCCTGCCTCAAACTGGCCTTTCACATGTGCAGATGGGGATGAGACTGTCTCAGATGTTGTATGTTGCAATGGCAAGCCTGAAACTGATGTCCTGTTTTGCTGTTGAGAGACACTGTGGATTCCTCATGAAAGCAAAGATGAATCAAAACATGCCTGAGAGAATGAGCTGCCTTGTTCTATAGTCCAAGCAATGTACAATGACTCCTGTCAGAGGACCCAAAATCCTCCTACAAAGTGCAAACTCAACTTCAACCATGAGACAATGACCCACAACCTGGATTGCAGCCAGACTATCTGAAGTCAAATTGCTCTCTGAAATCACTAGCAGCTAAATAATCTGTGGCCAAGGCAGTCCCATTCAGCAATAGGCCAATGTAAGAGCCCCATTACAAGGAAAGGGTTGTCCAGATGAAATGAAACAGACCACAGTTTACCAGGCAAAAGCCAGATATGACTGCCTGCTTCTCATCCTGCAAGAATCATTCAGCCCTCTGATGGAAGTGGGAAAACAAGGGTTTCATGGTTGTTGGCTGTAATGGGAATTTATGATATTAAAAGTATCAAACCTTCCCAGTTATTAAAATGTGACAATGTTTGGAAAGAAACAATTAGGAAATAAATTCCCGTGAGGGTTGTTCTCCATAAAGTGGGAAATGTTTATTGTGGAAGTCATCCAGCTAGACAAAGGAAACCCTAGGGTAATGAGAAACATGGTAGGCAAGAAAAGAAGAGGCAAGTATGGAGGTTACATCCCATGCAGCATCAATGCATTCCACTCCCATTTGACTCTGGGTATGAAAACTCTGAAATCCGTAGTTTTTCAGGATGGCCCTAATTTGCATGTTAAAATTTCCTTGCACTTTGAAGTATTCCTACTTTAACATCTGGCCATTGTGTGGACTGCTTATGCAATTAAAGGAATGAGGGGATGGGGTTGGAAGCACGTTTTGTGTCATCTGTGTTCATTTATTGTTTTTGCAGGTGAAATTGTGGGACCCCATCCACCCCTCACCAGATTGTATCTTCACCCCTATGTGACACTTTTCTGCTCACACTTAATGTCCCAGGATGAAAAGCCAAGATGATAGAGGAGTGTCTACTCACCTTATGAAGCACCTGCTTGGCTGGGAACTGAATTCGAGGTAATTTCAAGAAGCCTGGTGGACAGCACTACTAGTGTCTCATGCTGGGTTGGTTGCAGGATGATGGAACGCTAATAGATACTTGTGTTTTGGTGTGGTATGCTCCTCTTCTTTCTAGAAGAGTGGCTTTTTTTTTTGCAGGGGTAGATGACTCAGATGCTAGCAGGTCTCAGCCCACCTCCCAATTCATTGTGGATATATGATCCACCAAAAAATCAAGAACACAGAGCCCTGCAGCCCAAGCAGAGGAACACAGACAGGTCATCGAAATTTTGACAGACACAAAACAAAATTGTTGAAGTCCGTTAGCCATATTACTTTAAGCAGACTCCACTTACAGACACACACACACACAAACATCCACACACACGCACACACTCACACACACAATGACACACATATAAGCAGACATCCAACACTTACAACACTCCCACAGAAACAGACGACAGCCCATCAGCTTCTGAGGTTGCATGGTTCTGCAGAAAGCTCCACCTGGGAGAGAGCAACCCCAGGTAACACAGACAGGCTGTACTTAGACATCTCAGTGGGGCAAGTTTCATAAAGACCTCCCTACAACATGTAGGCAGCCTGAGGAATTCTGCAGATTTTTTTGGATATTTAGGAATGTTGCAGTTTATTACTGGGACTCTGCTTGATGTTTCTTCAGGCTGGC
The DNA here is from genome assembly GCF_000001405.40 of Homo sapiens. Classification (NCBI taxonomy): domain Eukaryota; kingdom Metazoa; phylum Chordata; class Mammalia; order Primates; family Hominidae; genus Homo; species Homo sapiens. The sequence goes on along the minus strand of NC_000024.10, from coordinate 8,581,101 downwards.
TGATGTCTGCTATCTTCTAGGATCATGGGAAAAATCTCATAAATGCCACAGAGAAGACAGGAGAGAGCCCACAGCGGACGCACCTCCAGGGAGGTCTCCTTATCCGCCAAGCCACGGAGACTTGTTTCTCATTAATAATGACATTTATTTTGATGCTAGACTGAGCTCTCAATCAAGCATGGTGCTCTGAAACTAGCAGAGGCACATTCATAAGGCAGGCTTGGGTACCAACCTGTCAGAGTTTTCAGCCTGCCAAAGCAGAGAAAAATGGTACAAGCAGAGCAGACATGGTATAGGAAAAAAGGCTGCCTGCAAAATCTCACGATGGGACCCTAAATGTCTCAATATCAGAGCACTTTTGGGCTGTCTCCGTGGTTGGATCCTGCTTGAGTAGGGGTTGTTCCGAACTCTGAAGTGGTCACTGGAAACTGCTCCTCTGATTCCATTCCTAAAGGAGGCTGTGTGCAAAATCGAGTCCCATGGGAACTGGATTATAGTCTGGTGTGTTTCTGAGGGGTCTCTGGGTGATAGAATCATACCTGAGACCCCAGAGGGAGACGCCAGCAAAGCATAGCCGGGCACTTCATTTTATTGACTCCCTTCATCCTGGGCCTTGCTGGGGTTGTCGGGGAAAGGCATGAACCATGACAAAGGCAAATCCAAGGTGGGGCAGTCTTCTCAAATTTTGAAATTGTTTTTCAAGTGTGCAGATGGGGTTGAGACAGAGTCTCAGATGCCATCTGTGGCCATTACAAACTGGAAAATTATGTCCAGTAGTTCTGCTGTGGGGCAATGTGGACACCACATGAAAGCAAAGAAAAATCATGGCTTGCCTGAGAGCATGATCTTTCTTGTGTTGGAGTCAAAGCAATGTTCAATCATTCCTATCAAAGGACCCAAAATATTAATGCAAAGTGCAAACCATCTCAGCCTCCACAAGGAGACCACAACCCACAACCTGCAGCACAGCCAGCCTACCTGAAGTTTCTTTTGCTCTCTGTAATCCTTGGCAGAAAAAAAAAATCTGTGATGAGAGACAGTACCATCCAGCAGCAGCCCAGTGAAATACCACCCACTCAAATAGGAAAAAGGACACACAGATGAAATGCATCAGAGGCTAGAATGTCAGGCAAAAGCCAGACATGGCTGCCTACTTCTCATCCTATATAAATCTTGCAGTCTTCGGATAGAAGTGGTAGAACAAGAGGTTCCTTGATGGCAGATGTGATGGGAATTCACGTTTTTAAATGTATCACAGCTGCCAAATAATTAAAACTTGACAGTGTTAAGATGAAAAACTCATACAATGAATTCCCATAAGGGCCGTCCTCCCTGTACTGGGAAACCTTTAGTGTGGAAGAACTTGAGCCAGACCCAGAAAACCCTAGGCCAATGAGGAACATGGAAGTCAGGAAAAAAAAAAGAGGCAAGTGTGGACACCACATCCCACCCACTATCAATCCATCACACTCTCATTTGGCTTCTGGTATGAAAGTCCTCAAATCAGGAGTTTACACAATGGCCTCAGTTTGCACTCCAAATGTTCCCTGCACGTTGGAGTACTCCCACCTGAACACTGGGCCATTTGGTGGACTGCTGTGCAATTAAAGTAATTTGAGGATGCAGTTGGAAGCACTTTCTATGTCATCTGTTTTCACCTTTTTTGCAGGTGAAGGTGTGAGTCCCCATCCACCCTTCACCACATTGTATCCTCACCACTTTCTGACTTTATTGCTGATCACACGCTCTGTCCCAGAATGAGATCCCAAGACAATGGAGGAGTGACCCTCATGATGTGAAGTACCTTCTAAGCTGGGATCCAAATTTGAGGAAAATTCAAGAAGCCCCACAGGTAGGACTACTAGTGGTTTGGCTCATAAACAATGAAACACTGGGAGTTTCTATTCTTGGTTGTGGTGTGCTTTTATTCTTTCTAGAAGAGTGGCTTCTTTTTTTTTTTCAGAAGGAAGTTGTTTGGACCCCAGTGGGTCTCAGCCAGCCTTTGCCTTCATTGCGGATTCATGATCCACAGAAAAATGAAGAACACGGGGCCCTGCAGCCTAAGCAGAGCCACACAGACAGGCCAACAAAAAGTTTGAAGTCAAAAAGAGGAAGCACTGAAGTGCATTAGCCACAGTCCTTTAAGGAGATTCCACTTATAGGCATGCACACACATGCACACACACACAAAGACACATACATAGAGACATCCTACACTAGCAACACTCTCACAGAAACCCACAGACAGGCAGCTCTTGAGGCTGCATGGTTCTGCAGGAAGCCCCACCTGGGAGAGACTGCCTGCCTGTCAGAGCACTCAGAGCTCTCAGTCTGCCTAAGCAGAGGAAAATGGTATAGGCAGATCCGGCCTGGTGTTGTGAAAAAGGCTGCCTGCAATAGTCCACTGCGGGACCATAAAATTCTCGACCCTAATGCCCCTTTGGGACATCTCTGTGGTTGGGACCTGCTGGAGGACGCATTTCTAAACTCTGAGGTGGTCGCTGAGAACTGCTTTTCTGACTTCATTCCCGAAAGAGGCTGTGTGCAAGAATCAGGTCCCATGGAGATTGGATTATTATCTGGTGAGCTGTTGAGGGGTTTTTGTGTGATGGAATTATACCTGAGACCTCAGAGGCAGGTGTCAGCAAACTGGCTGGACCCTTGACTTCATGCCTCCCATAATCCTGGGCCTTGCACGGGCTATCTGGGAAAGGCAGGCACCATGACAAAGGCAAGTCCAAGATCAAGCAGTGTTCCCATATGTCTAACTGGCCTCTTAAAGGTGCAGATGATGTTGAGAAATTGCCACACCAGACATCCATGGTGATAGCAAACCTGAAAGGGTGTTCAGTAGTGCTGTTGTGGGATAATGTGGACCCAGCATGAAAGCAAATGAAAATCAAGGCTCACTTGAGAAAATGAGCTGATGAGCTGGAGTCCAAGAAACTTTCAAAGACTGCTGTCAGAGGAAACAGAAGCCTGCAAATTAAAAAGAACCTCAGCCCCCATAACGAGACAATGACCCTCAAGCTGGAGTGCAGCCAGCGTACTCGAAGTCCTATTTGCTCCCTGAAATTGGTGGCATTAAGAAGATCTGTATGGAGAGGTAGTCCCATCCAGCAACAGCCCAATGAAATACACCATCCACAATGAGAAAGGATTTGCAGATGAAATGAAACAGTGTGTAGATTACCAGGAAAAAGCCATACATGACTGCCTGCTCCTCATCCTAAAGGAATCAGGCAGCCCTCCAATAAAAGTGGGAGAACAAGAGTTTCCCTGTTGGCAGCTGAAACAGGAATTTATCATTTTAAAAGTATCACATCAGCTTAGTCATTAAAATGTGACAGTGTTTAGAAGGAAACACTCATGCAATGCATTTCCATGAGGGTCCTCCTCCACGAACTGGGAAATATTTAGTGTGGAAGATGTTGAGACAGACCCAGGAAATTCTAGGCCAATGAAGAACATGAAAGTGAGAAAAAGAAGAAGAAAGTGTGGAGGCAACATCTCAACCAGCATCAATCTACCCCACTGTCGTTTTTCTCCACGTACACAAACCCTCAAATCAAAAGTTTTCCAGAATGACCAGTTTGCACTTCCAATGTTCCCTGCACCGTGGAGTATTCACATTGGAACACCGGGCCATGGTGTCAACTGTTTTGCAATTAAGGAAATGTGGAAATGAAGTTGGAAGCACCTTCGAAGTCTTTCTTCCCATAATGAAATCCCAGGAAGATAGAAAATTGACCCCTCATAACGCAAAGCACCTGCTCATCTGGGAAGGGAATTCAAGGTAAATTCAAGAGGCCATGTGGACAGGATTGCTACTGTTTCTTTCTGGGTTTGCTGCAGGATAATGAAACACCAATAGATATATCTTCTTGGGTGTGATGTGCTCTTCTTAATCCTAGAAGAGTGTTTTTTGTTTGTTTGTTTGTTTGTTTTCAGAAGGAGTTGGTTTGGACTGCAGCACGTGTCAGCCAGGCTCCCAATTCACTGCAGATTCATGATCCACAGGAAAATTAAGAACACAGAGCCCCACATCCTAAGCAGAGTCAGACAGAGAGGTCAAGAGAGGTCATCAGAAACTTCGGAGACTCAAAAAAAAAAAAAAGAAGAAGTGCTGCAGTGTGTTACCAACATTCCTTTAAGCCGACTTTACTTACAGGCACACAAACACACATACACAGTAAGCCACGCATACATGCAGACTTTCAACACATGCAACACTCTCACAGTAAAACACAGCCTGGCAGCTTCTGAAGCTGTGTGATTCTGTAGAAAGCCCCACCTGGAAGAGAGCAACTCCAGGGAACGCAGGCAAGCTCTACCTAGAAATCATAGTGGAGCAAGTTTCAAAAAGACTCACCCTCACAATGTCTAGGTAGGTTGAGGCATCCTGCAGATCTTTCTGGATCCTTAGGGATTTCATGGTTTATTCCTAAGGCTCTGCTTGAGGTTACTTCAGGCTGGCTCATGTCTGCCATCTCCAGTTATCATGGGACTACCCCATGGACCCCACAGAGAAGACAAGCAAGAGTCGATGACTGATGCACCTCCATGAAAATATCCTTCTTCACCAAGCCTCAAGGACTTGTCCCTAGGCAATGGTGGCATTCATTGTGATGCTACCAGAGTTTGCCATTGGCCCTGAGACAAGCGCATCCATATTTGTGAGGCACACTCAGGCACCCGGCTGTCAGAGCTGTCAGACTGCCTAAGCAAAGGAAAATGGAACAAGAAAAGTTGGCCTGTTATCGGGGAAAAGGCTGCCTGTGGTAACCCACATCAGGACCCTAGAAATCTCGACCTTAGGGCCCCTTCGTGCCATCTCCATGGTTGGGTCATGCTGGAGGAGAAGACGTTTCCTGACTGTGAGGTGGTCACTGGAAACTACTCTTCTGACTCTGTTCCCAAAAGAGGCTCTGTGCAAGAATAAGACCCCATGGGGATTGGAATACAGTCTGGTGAGAGTTTGTGGGGTCTTTGAGTGATGTAATCATACCTGAGACCCCTGAGGAACATGTCAACAAAAGATGGTCAGGCTCTTAACATCACTGCCTTCCTTCATCCTGGGAGTCACAGTGGCTCTCTGGGAAAGCTGGGAACCACAACAAAGACAAGTCTATATGAGAGTAGTGTTCTCACACCTCAAAATGTCTTCTCACAGGTGTAGATAAGGTTGAGATTATGTCTCAGAGGCCTTCTCTGGCAATTGCAAACCTGAAGTGTGTCCAGTAGTGCAGTTGAGGGAACTGTGGAACCCAGTGAAATCAAAGAAAAATAAAGCTCCCCTGAGAGAAGAAGCAGACATGTGCTGGAGTTTAAGCGACGTTGCAGTATTTGCCAGAGGACTCAAAAACCTCCTGCAAAGTGCAAACAACCTCAGTCCCCACAAAAAGACCACAACCTACAACCTGAAGCACAGCCAGCCAACCCAAAGTCCCTTTTGCTCACTAAAATCCCTGGCAGCCAAAATATTTGTGGCGAGAGGCAATCCCATGCATTAACAACCCAATGAAAGACCCTCTCCATAAAGAGAAAAGACCTATATAAGAATTGAAACAGAGCCTAGATTATAAGGGAAAAGCTAGACACAGCTGCCTGCTTCTCACCCTAAAGGAATCATGCAGCCTTCTGATAGAAGTTGGAGAATAAAAGTTTCCTTGTTAGCAGCTGTAATGGGAATTTATGGTTTTAAAAGTGTCACAGCTGCCCAGTCATTAAAACGTGACAGTGTTTAGAAGAAAACACTCATGCAATGGATTCCCATGAGGGTCATACTCTGTGAACTCAAAAACCTTTAGTATGGAAGAGGTTGAGCAAGACCCAGAAAACCCTAGGCTGATGAGAAACATGGAAGTCAGGAAAAGAAGAGGCAAGTTTGGAGGCCACATTCCTCTCAGCATCAATCCATTCCATTCTCATTTGTCTCCAGGTATGAAATCCCTCAGATTGGGAGTTTGTCAGGATGGCCCCAGTTTGCACTCCAAATGTTCCCTGCAGTAATCCCACCTGAACACTGGCCACGTTGTGGACTGCTTGTGCAATTAACTGATGCAGGGATGCATTTGGAAGCACCTTCTCTGTCATCTGTCTTCATTTTTTTGCACATGAATTTGTGGGACTCCATCTACTCCTCCAGATTTTATCCTCATCCCTCTCTGACCCTATTGCTGCTCACACTTTTTGTACCAGAATGAAATCCCAAGATGATGGAGGAGTGCCTGGTCATGATGTGAAGCACCTGCTCAGCTAGGAATTGAATTCAACATAAATCAATTGGCCCTGCAGACAGGACTGCTAGAGTTTCTCCCTGGGATGACCACAGGACAAGAAAACACTGAAAGGTCTCTGTTCTTGGGTTTGGTGTGCTCCTCTTCTTCCTAGAAGAGTGGCTTTTTCTTGTAGGATGAGGTAATGTGGACCCCGGCTGGTCACAGCCAGCCTTCCAATTTATTGTGGATTCAAGATCCATAGAAAAATAAAGAACACGGGGCTACACAGCCCGGGCTGAGCCACAGAGACAGGCCACTAATAGGTTGGGAGACTCAAAAAAAAAAAAAAAGCACTACAGTGTCTTAGCCACATTTCTTTAAGCAGACTCCACTTACCGGCATGTGCACACACACACACATACAAACTCAAACACACAAATACAAAATGACTCACACACAGGTAGACATCCAACACTCACAACTTTCCCATGGAAACACACATGCCAGCAGCTTCTGAGGATGTGTGGTTCTGGAGGAAGCCCCATCTGAGAGACAGCAATTCTGGGGAACATAGGCAGGCCGTACCTAGAAATCACAATGAGGCGAGGTTCTAAAGGATTCACCCCTACAACATCTAGGCAGGCTTGAGGCATCCTGCAGGTTTTTTGGATACTTAGGACTTTTGTGGTCTATTACTGGGTCTCTGCTTGAAGTTTCTTCAGGCTAGCTCATTTCTGCCCTCTCCTAGGACCATGGGGCTATCCCATAAATACCACAGAGAAGACAGGCAAGAGTCCAGCACTAAAGCACCTCTAGAGAAGTCTTCTCTGCCAAGCCCCAGGGACATGTCACTAGGCAATGGTGACATACATTGTGATGCTAGCTAGAGCTCACATTCATGCTTGGTGCATGAGACTAGATAATGGTCATTTGTGGGCAGGCTCAAACACCGGGCTGTTAGAGCTGTCAACCTGCCTAAGCAGAGGAAAATGATATGGGAAGGCACACCTCCAAGGAGGTCTCCTTCTCTGCAAAGCCACAAAGAATTGTTGCTAGACAATGGTGGCATTCACAGTGATGCTAGCTAGAGCTCACATCTCAGGCTTGGTGTCTTGAGACTAGCACGTGCCCATTGCTGAGGCAGTTTGAACACCTGGCTGTCAGAGCTGTCAGCCTGTCTAAGCAGAAAAGAATGTTACAGGCAGAGCCAGCCTGGTATCGAGAAAAAAGCTGCCTGTGATAAGCCACTGCAGGACCAGAAAATCTGGACCTCAGGGCTGCTTTGGGCCGTCCCCATGCTTGCATTGGAAGAGGAGGTGTTTTGATACTGTGAGATGGTTGCTGGAAACTGCTTTTCTGACTCCATTCTTGAAAGAGGTTGCATGCAAGAATCAGGTCCCATAGGGACTGGAAAATAGTCTGGTGAGTTGTTGATAAGTCTTTCATTAATGTAATCATAAATGAGACACCAGGGGCGGGTGTCAGTGGAAGATGGATGGGCCCTTGACCTCATTGCCTCCCTTCATCCTGGGTCTCACAGGGGCTCTCTCAAAAAGGCAGGAGTCATGACAAAGGCAAATCCAAGCGGAAGCAGTGTTTTCACACATCAAACTGGCTTCCCATGGGTGTAGCTGAGGTTGAGATAGTGATGCTGAGGACATCTGTGGTGATTGGAAGCCTCAAAAAGGTTTCCAGTAGTGCTGTTGATGGGCACTGTGGACCCAACATGAAAGCAAAGAAAAATCAATACTCACCTAAGAGAACAAGCTGACTTGTGCTGGAGTCCAAGCAAAGTTTAAAGGTTTCTGTCAGAAAACGCAGAAGCCTCCTGCAAAGTGCAAACAACCTCAGCCCACACACTGAGACAGCAACCCACAACCTGCAGAACCCTCAGCATGACTGAAGTCCTTTTTGCTCTCCAAAATCCCTGGCATCTAAATAATCTGTGGAGAGGGGCAGTCCAATGCAGCAGCAGCCCAATGAAATGGCCCCTCCACAATAAGAAGGCCGTGCAGATGAAGGGAAACAGAGGCTAAATTACCAAGAAAAAGTGAGACATGGCTGCCTGCTTTTCATCCTTTAGGAGTCATGCAGCCCTCTGATAGAAGTGGGAGAATAAGAATTTCCTTGTTGGCAGCTGTAAATGGAATTTATGGTTTCAAATGTGTCAAAGCTGCCCAGTCAATAAAACATTACGGTGTTTAGAAGGGAACACTCATGCAATGGATTCTGATGAGGGTTGTTCTCCGTGAACTGAGAAATGTTTATTGTGGAAGTCATTGAGCCAGACCCAGAAAACCCTAGGCCAAGGATGAACATGGAAATCAGGGAAAGAAGAGGCAAGTCTAGAGGCCACATCCCACACAGCATCAATCCATTAAGCATCCATTTGGCTCCAGGTATGGCAACGTTCAAATAGGGAGTTTGCCAGCATGGTCTCAATTTACATTCCATATGTTCCTTGCAGGTTATAGTACTCCCACATGAACACTGGACCACGGTGTGGACTGCTTGTGCAATTAAGGGAATTCAGGGATGGAGTTGAAAGCACCTTCTGTGTCATCTGTCTTCATTTATTTTTCAGGTGAAGTTGCAGGACCCCATCCACCCCTCTTTATATTGTATCCTCACCCCTATCTGTGACTGTGCTGCACACACTCCATGTCACAGGATAAAATAACAAGATGATGTAGGAGTACACCCTCACGAAGTGAAGCACCTTCTCAGCTGGGAACTGAATTCAAGGTAAATTCAAGGGGCTCTGCAAACCGGACTCCTACTGTCTCTCCATGGGTTGGCCACAGGACAATGAAACACTGGGAGATATTTGTTTTTCCATGTGCTGCGCTCTTCCTGCTTCTAGAAAAGTGGCTTTCTTTTTTCAGGGGGAGGTGATTTGGATGCTGGCACATCTCAGAATGCTTCACAATTCACTGCAGATTCATGATCCACAGAAAAATAAAGAACACAGAGTCCCACAGCCCAAACAGAGCCACACAAACAGGCCACCAAAAGGTTGGAAGACCTAAAAAAAAAATCGCTGAACTGCATTAGCCACATTCCTTTAAGCAGGCTCCACTTAAAGGGACAGAGACACACCCACTGAAACACACAATACCACACCCACACACAGACATCCAACTCTCACAACACTTCCACAGAAATGCACAGTTCGGAAGCTCCTGAGGCTGTGTGCTTCTGCAGGAAGCCCCACCTGGGGAAGAGCAACCCAGTAAAACACAGGCGAGCTGAGCTGTTCCTAGAAACCACGGTGGGGTAAGTTTCAAATAAGTTCAAGTCTACAAAGTCTAGACAGGCCAGAGAAATTCTGCAGATCCTTTTGGATTCTTAGGGATTTCATGGTTTATTCCTGGGGCTGTGCTTAATGTTTCTTCAGAAAGGCTCACATCTGCCCTCTCCTAGGATCATGAGTTGATTCTGTGGATCCCACAGAGAAGACAGGCTACAGTCCACTGCTGACACTTTTCCATGGAGGTCTCTTTCTCCGCCAGTCCACAGGGACTTGTTGCTAGGCAATGGATACATTTAATGTGATGCTAGCCAGAGCTCACAATCAGGCCTAATGCCCTAGCACTAGCACATGAGCACTTCTGAGGTGCCTGGCTGTCAGAGCTATCCATCTGCCTAAGCAGAGAATAATGGTACAAGTTGAGCCAGCCTGGTATTAAAAAAAAAAAAAACTGCCTATGAAAACCCACTGTGGGACACTAAAACTCTCAAATTCAGGGCCTCTTCTGGCCAAGTCGGTGGTTGGTTCCCACTAAGGGCTGAGGCATTTTTAGACTGTGAAGTGGTCACTGGAAACTGCTCTTCTGACTCCATTTCCGAAAGAGGCTGTGTGCAAGAATGGGGTCCCATGGGGAGTTGGAATATTGTCTGGTGTGTTGTTGAGAGTTCTTTGGGTGATAAAATTGTACCTGAGACACTAGAGGTGGGTGTCAGAAAAAGATGGTAAAGCTCTTGACTTCAGTGCCTCCCTTCATTTTTGACCTTGGAGGGGCTCCCTGGAAAAGACAAGAACCACGACAAAAGCAAGTCCAATTTGGAGCAGTGTACTCACACCTTGGACTGGCCTCTCATGGGTGCAGTTGAGGTTGAGTGTCCCAGAGGCTGTCTGTGTCAATGGCAAGCCTGAAAAGAGTATCCAATAGTGCTGTAAAGGGGCAGTGTGGTTTCCTCATGAAAATAAATAAAAATCAAGGCTTGCCTGATAAGATAAGCTGCCATGTTCAATGTTCAATGGTTCCTATCAGAGAACCCAAATGCCTCCTGCAAAGTGCAAACAATCTTAGCCCTCACAATGAGTCAGTGACCAACAACCTGGAGCACAGCCAGACTATCTGAGGTCCCTTTTGCTCTCTGAAATCCCTGGTATCTAAGTAATCTGTGTACAGAGGCAGTCCCATCTAATAAAAGCCCAATGAAAGAGATCCTCCAAAATGAGGATGCCATGCAGATGAAATATAACAAAGGCTAAATTACCAGGCAAACGCCAGACACAGCCTCCTGCTTCTCATCCTACAGGAATCATACAGCCCTCCAATGAAAGTAGAAGAACAAATTTCCATGTTGTCTGCTGTTACAGAAATTTATGGTTTTAAAATTATCAAAACTGTCCAATTATTAAAACATCCATTCTTTAGAAGAAAACAGTCATGCAATGGACTCCATGAGGGTTGTTGTCCATGAACTAGGAAATGTTTAGTGTGGAACTCCCTGACCCAGACCCGGGAAACCTTAGACAAACAAGGAATATGGAAGTCAGGAAAAGAAGAGGCAAATCTGGAGGCCACATCCCACCCAGCATCAATCCATTCCACTCATATTTGGCTCTTGGTATGAAAACCCTCAAATTGAAAGTTTCCAAGGATGGTCCAAATTGGCACTCCAAATGTTCCTTTAGCATTGGACAATCCCACTGAACACTGGGCCATTCTTGCGCAATTAAGAGAATGTGGAGATGAAGTTGGAAGCACCATGTGTATCATCTGTCTTCATTGTTTTGCAGGTGAATTTGTGGGAACAGTTCCACCCCTCACTGATTGTATCCTCATCTCTATCTGACCTTATTTCTGCCCATACTCTGTCCCAGGATGAAACCTCAAGATGATGGAAGACTGCCCCCCCATGAGATGAAGTAAATACTTGGCTGGCAACCAAATTCAAGGTAAATTCAATGGTCCCTGTGGAAAGGAATCCTAGTGTCTCTTTCTGGGTTGGCTGCAGGACAATGAAACACTGGGGGAGGTCTGTTTTTTGGTGTGATGTACTCCTCTTCATTCTAGAAGAGTGGCTTTCTGTGTAGGGGCGGTGATTTGGATACTGACATGTCTTGGCCCTCCTCCCAATTTACTGTGGATTCATGATCCACAGAAAAATAAAGAACATGGGGCCCCAGAGCCAAGCAGAGCCACACAGGCAGGCCAAAAAATGGTTTTGAGATTCAAAAAAAAAAAGAAGCACTGAAGTGCATTAGCCACATTCCTTTACACAGACACCATTTAAGGGAAACACACACACCCACAAAAACACATAATACCACACACACGATGACATCCAACTCTTGAAATACTTCCACAGAAACACACAGCCTGGAAGCTCCTGAGGCTGTGTGGCTCTGCAGAAAGCCCTACCTGAGAGAGACCTCACTGCCTCCCTTCATCCTGGGCCTCTCAAGGGCTCTCTGGGAAAGAGAGGAACCACATTAAAGGCAAGTCCAAGGTGGAGCAGTGTTCACATAGCTCAGAATGGCCTCTCACAGGTGCAGATGAGGTTGAGACTGTTTCAGATGTCATGTGTTGTGATGGAAAGCTTGAAAATCTGGCCCAGTAGTACTGTTGAGGGGCATTGTGGATTCTCCATGAAAGCTAAGAAAAATCAAAGCTCACCTGAGGGAATGAGTTGCCTTGTGCAGGAGTCCAAGCAATGTTTAATGATTCCTGTCAGAGGACCCAAAAGCCTATTGCAAAGAGCAAACAACCTCAGCCCCCACAAGGAGTCAACAACCCACAACTTGGAGTGCAGGCAGTCTACCCAAAGTCCGTTTTGCTCTCTGAAATCCCTGGCAGCTAAATAATCTGCAGTGACAGGGAGTCCCATCCAGCAACAACCCAATTAAAAGGGCCCTCCATAATAAGAAGGCCTTGAATATGAAATGAAACAGAGGCTAGAATACCAGGAAAAAGCCAGACGTGGCTGCTTGCTTCTCATATTACAGGAATCATGCAGCCCTGAGATAGAGATGGGAGAAAAAGAATTTCTTTGTTGGCAGCTGTAATGGGAGTCTACAGTTTTAAAATTATCAAAGGTGCCCAGTCTTTAAAACATGATGGCGTTTAGAAGGAAACACTCACACAATGCATTCCCCTGGGGGTCGTTCTCCAGGAACTGAGTAACGTTTAGTGTGGAAGTTGTTGAACCAGACCCAGGAAACACTAGGCTGATGAAGAACATGGAAATCAGAAAAAGAAGAGGCAAGTTTGGAGACCACATCCAACCCGGCATCAATCCATTCCATTTCCATTTGACTCCAGATATGAAAGCCCTCAAATTGGGAGTTTGCCAGGGTGGCCTCAATTTGCACTATGAATTTTCCTTGACTGTTGGAGTACTCCTACATGAACACCGAGCCACTGTGTGCACTGTTTGTGCAATTAAGGAAATGCGGAGATGGAATTGGAAGCACATTCTCTGTCATCTGTCTTTTTTTTTCCTGCTTGTGAAGTTGTGGGATCTCATCCACCCCTCACCAGATTTTACCCTCACGACTATCTGACCTTATTGCTGCTCACACTCTATATTCGAGGATGAAATCCTAAGACAATTGTGAAGTGCCCCCTCATGATGTGAAGCACTTGCTCAGCTGGGAACCGAATTTGAGGTAAGTTCAAAGGGCCCTGCAGGCAGGACTGCTAGTGTCTTTCCCTGGGTTGATTACAGGGCAATAAAACACTGGGAGATATTTGTTTTTTGGTATGGTATCCTCCTCTTATTTCTAGAAGAGTGGCTTTTTTTGCAACGGGAGGTGATTTCAATGCCAGCGGGTCTCAGCCTGCCTCTCAATTTACACTGGATTCATGATTCGCTGAAAAATAAAGGACTAGGGGTCCTGCAGCCCAAGCAGAGCAACACAGACCTGCCACCAAAAGGTTAAGAGATTGAAATAAAATAAGCACTGAAGTACATTAGCTGCACTTCTTTAAGCTGACTCCACTTACTGCCACACACACACATACACACACACACACTCACACAGATAATGCCGCACACACATGCAGACATCCAATATTCTCAACACTCCCACAGAGACAAACAGCCCAGAAACTCCTGAGGTTGTGTGGTTGTGCAGGAAGCCTCACTTGGGAGAGAGCAACCCTGGAGAACACAGGCAGGCTGTACCTAGAAATTACAGTGCTGTAAGTTTCAAAAACACCCACCGCTACAATGCCTAGGGAGGCCTGATGAATCCTGCAGGTATTTTTGGATCCTTAGGAATATTGCGGTGTATTCCTGGGGCTCTGCTTAAGATTTCTCCAGACTGGCTCATGTTTCTCCTCTCGTAGGATCGTGGGACTATCCCATGGATCCCACAGAGAAGACAGAAGAGGGTCCACTGCCAACGCACCTCTATGGATGTCTTTTTCTCTGCCAAGCCACAGGGACTTTTTGCTAGGAAACAGTGACTTTCATTGTGATGCTAGGCAGAGCTCACAATCAGTCCTAGTGCCCTGAGACTAGCACATGCACATTCGTGAGACAGGCCAGGATGTCTGGCTGTCAGAACTGTCAGCCTGCCTAAGAAGAGGCAAATGGTACAGGCAGAGGTGGCCTGGTATTGGGAAAAAGGCTGCCTGTGAAAACCTACTGGGAGACCTAAAATTCTCGACCTCATGGTCCCTTCAGTCTGTCTCCATGGTCAGGACCTGCAAGAGGAACAGGCATTTCAAGACTGTGAGGTCATGGCTGGAAACTGCTCTTCTGAGTCCACATCTGCAAGAGGCTGTGTGCAAGAATTGAATCCCAAGAGGATAGGAATATAGTGTGGTGTGTTGTGGAGGGTTCTTTGGGTGATAGAATCTTACCTGAGACAGTAGAAGCAAGTGTCACTCAAAGATAGACAGGCTCTTGAGCTCACTAACTCCCTACTTCCTGGGCCTTTCAGGGGCTCTCTGGGAAAGACAGGAACAATGTCAATGGCAAGTCCAAGGTGGAGCAGTGTTCTCACACCTTGGACTGGCCATGCAGTGGTGCAGATGCGGTTGAGACAGTGTCTCAGAGGCCGTCTGTTGTGATGGCAAGCCTGAAAATTGTGTTCAGTAGTGCTTTTGAGGGGCAACATAGATTATTCATGAAAGCAAAGAAAAATCAAGCCAAGCCTGAGAGAGCCAGCTGTCTTGTGCTGAAGTCCAAGCAAAGTTCAATGATTACTGTCAGAAAACACAAAAGCCTCCTGCAAAGTGCACACAACCTCAGCCCCCACAATGAGTCAATAACCCACAACCTGGAGCATAGCCAGCCTACCCGAAAGCCCATATTGCTTTCTGAAATATCTGGTAGCTAAATAATCTGTGGCAAGAAACAGTCCCATTCAGTAACAGCCCAATGAAAGAGACCTTCCACAATGAGAAGGCCATGCAGATGAAATGAAACAGAGGTTAGACTACCAGGCAAAAGCCAGACACGCCTTTCTGCTTCTCATCCTACAGGAATCATGCAGCCCTCAGGAAAGATAAAAAGGGGGGCGGGGAGAATAAGTTTCCTTGTTGGTGGCTCTAACAGTGAATCTACTGTTTTAAAATATCAATGCTGCCCAGTCATTAAAACGTGACAGTGTTTAGAAGGAAACACTCATGCTATTGATTCCCATGAGGATTGTTCTTATGAACTAGGAAGTGTTTAGTGTGGAAGTTGTTGAGCCAGACCCATAAAACCCTAGGCTGATGAGGAACATGGAAATCAAGAAATGAAAAGTCA
This sequence comes from Homo sapiens, assembly GCF_000001405.40. NCBI lineage: Eukaryota > Metazoa > Chordata > Mammalia > Primates > Hominidae > Homo > Homo sapiens. Next base: position 8,565,886 of record NC_000024.10, on the reverse strand, counting down.
AGTGTGGAGGCCACATCCTACTGGGCATCAATACATTCCACTCCCATTTAGCTCCATGAAAGCCCTCAAATTGGGAGTTTACCAGGATGGCCCCAGTTGGCACTTCAAATATTCTTTGCATGTTGAAGTTCTAAAACCAAAACACAAGGCCATGAGGTGGACTGCTTCTGCAATTAAGAGAATGTGAGAATGGAATTTGAAGCACCTCTGGGTCATATGCCTTCATTTTTTTTTCAGGTAAAGTTGAGGGACCGCATCCACCCCTCACCAGATTGTATCCTCTCCCCTATCTAATCTTATTCCTGCTCACACTCTGTGTCCCAAAATGAAATTCCAAGACGATGGCGGAGTGCCCCCTCACAATGTGAAGCACCAGCTCAGATGGAAACTGAATTTGAGGTAAGTTCAAGGGACCCTGTGGAGAGGACTACTAGTGTCTTTCCCTGGTTTGGCCACAGAGCAATGAAACACTGGGATATGTCTTTTTATATATGCGGGGTGTGCTTCTTTTATATCTGGAAGAAGGGATTTTTTTGCAGAAGGAGTTCATTTCAATGCCGGTGGATCTCAACCCTCCTCCCAATTCACTGTGGATTCTTGATTCACAGAAAAAATAAAGAAAATGGAGGCTAGCAGCTCAAGCAAATCCACAAAGACAGGACACCAAAAGATTGGCAGTCTCAACAAAAAGAAGGGCTGAAGTGCATTAGCCACATTCCTTTAAGCGGTTTCCAGTTTTAGGCACATCACACACACACACATACAAACACACAATGCCACAGACACATGCAGCCATCCAACACTCACTACACTGCCACAGAAATACACAGCCCAGCAGCTCCTGAGGCTGCATGGTTCTCTAGGAAGTCCCACCTGAAAGAGAGCAATCCAGGGAACAGAGGTGGGCTCTACCTAAAAATTACAGTGGGACAATTTCCAAAAGACTCACTCCTACAACTTCTAGGCGGGCCTGAGGAATCCTGAAGATAATTTTGGATTCTTAGGTATTTTTTGGTTTATTCCTGGGGCTGTGCTTGACATTTCTTCAGGCTGGCTCAATTCTGCCCTGTCCTATGATCATGAGAGTATCCAGTGGATCTCACGGAGAAGACAGGTGACAGTACATGGCTAACACACCTCCACAGAGGTCTCCTTCTCCCGCAAGCTGCAGGGACTTGTTACTAGGCAATGGTGACATTCATTATTATGCTAGCCAGAGTGCACAATCAGGCCTGGTGCCCTGAGACTAGGGCATATACATTTGTGAGGCAGGCTTGGGGGCCCATCTGTCAGAGCTGTCATCCTGCCAAAGCAGAGGAAAATGGTACAGGCAGAGCCGGCCTGGCATTAGGAAAAAGCTGCCAGTGAAAACCCACTCTGGGAGCTTAAAAGTCTCAATCTCAGGGCCACTTTGGGTGTCTCCATGGTCAAGTTCCTCTGGAGAAGGAGGCATTTTGAGACTGTGAGGTGTTTGCTGGAAACTGCCCTTCTATCTCCATTCCCAAAAGAGACTGTGTGCAAGAATCGGGTCCCACAGGGATTGGAATATAGTCTGGTGTGTTGTTGAGGCTTCTTTGGGTGATAGAATCATACCTGAGACCCCAAAAGTGGGTGTCAGCAAAAGATGCCTGGGCTCTTGACTTTATTGCACTGCCTTCCTTAATCCTTAGCCTCACAAGGCTCTCTGGGTAAGGCAGAAACCTAGACAAATGCAAGTCCAAGATAAAGTAGTGTTCTCACACCCCAGACTGGCCTCTCATGCATGCAGATGAGATTGAGACAGTGTCTCAGAGGTTGGCAGCTGTAATGGAAATTTATGTTTTTAAAAGGATCAAAGCTTCCCAGTATTAAAACGTGGCAGTGTGTAGAAGGAAACACTCATGCAATGGATTTTCATGAGGGTGGTTCTCCGTTAACTGGAAAAAGTTTAGCGTGGAAGTCGTAGAGCCAGACCCAGGAAACTCTAGGCCAATGAGGAACATGTAAGTCAGGAAAAAAAAAAAGGCAAGTGTGGAGGCCACTTCCCACCCAGCATCAATTCATTCCACTCCCATTTGAATCTGGGTATGAAAGCCCTCAATTTGGGAGTTTGCCAGGATGGCCCCAATTTATACTCCAAATGTTTCTTGAATGTTGGAGTACTCTTACCTGAACACTGTGTCATGTTGTGGACTGCTTTTGCAATTATGGGAATGTGAGGATGGTGTTGAAGCCACCTTCTCTGTCATCTCTCTTCCTTTTCTTTTTGCAGATAAAGTTGTGGGACCCCATCCACCCCTCACTAAATTGTATCCTCACCCCATCTGACCTTATTTCTGCTCACACTCTATGTCCCAGGATGAAATCCCAAGACAACAGAGGAGTGCCCTCTTATGACCTGAAGCACTTGTTCAACTGGGAACCAAAGTGGAGGTAATTTTGGACAGAATTGTTAGTGTCTCTCCTTGGGTTGGCCACAAGACAATAAAACACTGGGAGATGTCTATCTTTTCATGTGGTATGCTCCTCTTCTTTCTAGAAGAGTGGCTTTTTTTTTCCAGGGGGAGGTGACTTGGACACTGATAGGTCTCCACCCACCTCCCAATTCACTTCAGATTCATAATCCACAGAAAAATGAAGAACACAGAGCCCCACAGCCCATGCAGAGCCACACAGACAGGTGACCAAAAGGATGGAAGACTCAAAAAAAAAAAAAAAAAGGAGCTCTGACGTGCGGTAGCCACATTCCTTTAAGCACATTCCACTTACAGTCACACACAGACACACACACACAAACACACTATGCCACACACATACTCAGACATCCAACTTTCACAACATTCTCACAGAAAAACACAGCTGGGCAGCTCCTGAGTCTGTGCAGTTCTGCAGGAAGCCACACCTGAGACAGTGCAACCCCAGGGAACACAGGCAAGCTGTACCTAGAAGTCTCAGTATGGAAAGTTTCAAAGACATTCAACCCTAAAATACCTAGGCAGGCCTGAGGAATGCTGAAGATACTTGTGGTTCCTTAGAAATTTCACGGTTTATTCCTAAGGCTTTGCTTGGGATTTCTTCAGTCTGGCTCATGTCTGCCCTCTCCTAGGATCATGAGACTATGCCGTGCATCCCACATAAAAGACAGGCAAGGGTCCACCTCCTACACACCTCCATGGATTTCTCATTCTTTGCCAAGCTGCAGTGACTTGTCGCTAGGCAACGGTGGCATTCATTGTGAGGCTACCCAGAGCTCACAATCATGCCTGCTGCTCTGAAACTAGTGCATTAGCATTCGTGATGCAGGCTCACGTGCCTGACTGTCAGAGCTGACAGCCTGCCTAAGCAGAGGAAAATGGTACATGAAGAGCAGATCTGGAATCGCAGAAAAAGTTGCCTGTGAAAACCCACTGCGTTACAGTAAAACTCTGCAACTCAGGGCCCCTTCAGGCTGTCTCTCTTGTCTGGTTCAATTGGAGTAGGGGTTTTGAGATTATGAATTGTTCACTGAAAACTGCTCTTCTCTCTCCATTCCTGAAAGGGGCTGTTTGCAAGAATCAGGTCGCTTGGGGATTAGAATATAGTCTGGTGTGTTGTTTAAGGTTCTTTGGGTGATAGAATCTTACCTGAGGCCCCAGAGGCATGTGTCAGTGAAAGATGTCTGGGCTGTAGACCTAGCTGTCTCCCTTCATCTTGCATCTTGCAGGGGCTCTCTGGGAAAGACAGGAACCACGACAAAGGCAAGTCCAAGGTGGAACAGTGTTCTCACATCTCGGGCTGGCCTCTCACAGGTGCAGAAGATGTTGAGACAGTGACGATGGTAAGCCTGAATAACATGTCTGGTAGTGCTGTTGAAGGGCACTGTGGATTCCCCATGGAAGCCAAGAAAAATCAAAGTTAGCCTGAGAGAATGAGGTGCTTTTTGCTGGAGTCCAAGCAATTCTTAGTGATTCCTGTCAGAGGATCCAAAAGCCTCCTTCAAAGTGCAAACAACCTCTGCCCCCAAAATGAGACAAGGACCCACAACCTGGAGCACAGCCAGACTCCTCAAAGTCCCTTTTGCTCTCTGAAATCCCTGACAGCTAAATAATCTGTGCTGAGAGGCAGACCCATCCAGCAACAGAACAATGAAAGAGATCCTCTACAATAAAAAGGCCATGCAGATGAAATGAAATACAGGCTAGATATGAGGAAAAGCCAGACACAGCTGCCTGCTTCTCTTGCTTTGGGAATCATGCAGCCCTATGATAGAAGTGGGAAAGCAAGAGTTTATTTGTTTTAAAAGTATCAAAGCTTCCCAGTCGTTAAAACATGGCAGTGTTTCAAAAAAAACACTCACACAATGGTTGCCCAGGAAGGTCAGTCTCAATGAACTGGGCTATGTTTAGTGTGGAAATCACTGAGCCAGAAAACCCTAGGCTATTGAGGAACATGGAAGTCAAGAAAAGAAGAGGAAAGCGTGGAGACAACATCCCACCCAGCATCAATCCATTCCATGCCTATTTGCCTCTGGGTATGAAAGCCCTCAAATTGGGAGTTTGCCAGCATGGCCCCAATTTGCACCCCAAATGTTCCTTGCATGTTGGTCTAATCACACCTGAACACCGGGCCATGGTGTGGATTGCTTGTGAAGTTAAGGGAATGCTGGGATGAAGTTGGAAGCACCTTCTGTGTCATCTGTCCTTATTTATTTATTTATTGCAGGTAAAGTTGCAGGAACATAATCACCAGATTGTGTCCTCATCCTTATCTTACCTTAATGTTGCTTACACTCTATGTCCCAGGATGAAATTACAAGATGACGAAGGAGTGCCCCATCACAACTTGAAGCACCTGCTTGACAGAGAAACAAATTCAAGGTAAATTCAAGGGGTCCCTGAGGACTGCTAATGTCTCTTCCTGGGTTGGACAAGGGACAGTAAAGCACTGAATGTTGTTGGTTTTTTGGTGTGGTGTGCTCCTCTTCTTTCTAGAAAAGTAGCTTTTTTTTTTTTTTTTTTTTTTTTTGCAGGGGGAGGTGATTTCGATGCCAGCATGTCTCAGCCTACCTCCCAATTCACAGTGGATTCATGATCTGCAGAAAAATGAAGAACACAAAGCCCTGCAGGTCAAGCAGAACCACACAGACAGGACACCAAAGGGTTGGGAGACAAAAGAAAGAAGTGCTAAAGTGTGTTAGCCACATTTCTTTAAGCATGCTATACTTACAGGCACACAAAGACACAAACACAGCCACAAACATGCAAGGAAACAAGCACATTGATATCCAACACTCACAACACTCTCACAAAAACACACTTTCTTTCAGCTCATGAGGTTTTATGGTTCTGCAGAAATCCTCACTTTGAATAGAGCAACCTGGTACATAGAAATCACAGTGGGGCAAGTTTCAAAAAGACTCACCCTAAAATGTGTAGGCAGGCCTCAGAAATCTTGCAGATCCTTTTGATATTTAGGGAATTCAAGATTTATTCCTGGGGTGGTACTTGATGTTTCTTCAGGCTGGCTCACGTCTGTCCTCTCCTAGAATCATAGTACTACCCCGTGTATCCCACAGAGAAGACAGGCGAGAGTCCACCACCGATGCAAATCTACACGGAGGTCTCCTTTTCTCCCAAGCCACAGGGATTTGTCACTAGGCCATGGTTCCTTTCAATGTGAAGCTAGCCAGAACTCGCTATCAGCTGATTATCCTGAGACTAACGTATGGGCATGCTTAGTGGCCTGACTCTCAGAGCTGCCAGCCTGCCTAAGCAGAGGAAAATGGTACATGCAGAGCTGGCCTGTTATCGGGAAAAGGACTGCCTATGAAAACCCAATGTGGGACACTAAAATCTCTACTTCAGAGCCCCTTCAGGCTGTCTCTGTAGTTATGTCTTTCCGGTGCATCAGGCATTTCGAGACCATGAGGTGGTCACTGAAAACTACTCTTCTGACTCCATTCCCGAAGAGGCTGTGTATAAGAATTGGGTCTCATGGGGATTGGAATATTGTCTGATGTGTTGTTGAGGGTTGTTTAGGTGAGAGAATCATACCTAATAGCCTAGAGGCAGCTATCAGCAAAAGATGGTTGGGATCTTGACCTTGCTGCCTCCCTTCATCCAGATGAGGTTGAGACAGTGTCTCCATGCCATCTGTGGGGATGGCAAGTCTAAAAATCATGTTCAGTTGTGCTGTTGAGGGACACTGTGGATTCAACATGAAAGCTTAAAAAAAAATCAAGACTCACTTGAGAGAAGGAGCTGCCTTGTGCTGGAGTCTAAGCAATATTCATTGAGTTCTGTCAGAGGACCCAAAAGCCTCCTGCAAAGTGCAAACAACTTCAGCCCACACAATGAGACAATGACCCACAACCTGGAGGGCAGCCAGCCTACCTGAAGTCCCTTTTGCTCTCTGAAATTCCAGGCAGCTAAATAATCTGTGGTGAGAGGCAGTCCCATCCAGCAACAGCCAAATGACAGAACCCCTCCAGTGAGACGGTCCTGCAGATGAAATGAAAAAAAGGCTAAATTACCAGGCAAAAGCCAGACAAGGCTGCCTGTTTCTCATTTTTCAGGAATTGTGCAGCTCTCTGATAGAAGTGGGAGGACAAGAGTTTTCTTGTTGGTGGCTGTAATGGGAATTTATTGTTATAAAAGTATCAAAGTTGGACAGTCATTAAACATGACAGTGTTTAGAATAAAACACTCACGCAATGGATGACCATGAGTGTAATTCTCCATGGACTAGGAAATGTTTAAGGTGGAAGTCATTGAGCCAGACCCAGAAAACCCTAGGCCAAGGAGGAAAATGGAAGTCAAGAAAAGAAGAGGAAACTCTGGAGGCAACATCCTATGCAGTATCAAAATATTCAACTCCCATTTGGCTCTGTGTATGAAAGCCCTCAAATCACGAGTTTGCCAACATGGCCCCGATTTGCATATAAAATGTTCCTTGAAGGTTGGAGTTCTTCCATCTGAACACTGGGCCATGATGCGGACTGCGTGTGCAATTAAGGCAATGTGGTAATGGAATTAGAAGCAACTTCTGCATCATCTGTCTTTATTTATTTATTTTGCAGGTCAAGTTGCATGAACCCATCCACACCTCACCAGATTGTATACTCACCTTTATCTGAAATAGTTGCTGTTCACACTCTATGCCACAGAATGAAACCCTAAGAAGATGGAGGAGTGCCCCCTCACAGAGTGAAATACATTTTCCCCTGGGAACCAAATTTGAGGTAAATTCAAGGGGCCCTGAAGAAAGGACTGCTAGTGTCTCTCCTTGGTTTGGCCATAGGATAATGAAACACAGGGAGATGCATTTTTTTTCATGTGGTGTGCTTCTCTTCCTTCTAGAGGAGTGGCTTTTCTTTTTCAAGGGTAGTCATATGGATGCCAGCATGTCTTGGCATACTTAACAATTCATTGCAGATTCTTGGTCCACAGAAAAAAATCAGAACACAGAGCCCCACAACCCAAGAAGAGCCACACAGACAGCTCACCAGAAGGTTGCAAGACTCAAAAAAGAAGAAGAAGAAGAAGAAGAAGAAGAAGAAGAAGAAGAAGAAGAAGAAGAAGAAGAAGAAGAAGCAGCATGCTGAACAGCGTTAGCCACATTCCTTTTAGCAGACTCCTCTTAAAGGGACAGACACACACACACACAAACAGAATATCACACACACATAGACATCTAACTCTCGCAACACTCTCACAGAAACACAGAGCCCGGCAGCTACTGAGGCTGTGTGGTTCTACAGGAAGCCCCACCTAGCAGAAAGCAACCCCAGAAAACACAAGGGTTGTACATAAAAATCAGAGTGGGGCAAGTTTCCAAAAGACTCACCCCTACAACATCTGGGCCATCCTGAGGAATTAGGTGGATACTTTTGGATCCTTAGGGATTTACAGTTTATTTCTGGGACTTTTATTGATGTTTCTTCAGAGTCACTCATATCTGCCCTCTCTTAGGATCATGAGATGATTCCGCGGATCCCACAAAGAAGACAGGCAACAGTCCAACATCAATGCAACTCCATGGAGGTCCCCTTTTCCGCCAAGCTGAAGGGACTTTTGACTAAGCAATGTGACATTCATTGTGATACTAGCCAGAGCTCACAGTCTAGCCAGGTGCCCTCAGATTATGGCATAGGCATTCATAATGCAGGTTTGGATGCCAGACTTTCAGAGCTATCAACCTGCCTAATCAGAAAATAATGGTACAGGAAGAGCCAGCAAGCTACGGGGGAAAACTTCCTGAAAAAAAAAAAAACAACCATGAGGCCCTGAAACTCCTGACCTCAGGGCCCCTTCAGGTTGTCTCGTGGTCAGGTCTAGCTAAAGGAGGAGGCGTTTTGAGACTGTGAGGTGGTCTCAGGAAACTGCTCTTCTGACTCCATTCCCAAAAGGAGTGTGAAAGAATCAGGTCCCATGGGGATTGCAATATAGTCTGTTGTGTTTTTCAGGGTTCTTTGGGTGATGGAATTATACCTAAGACCTCAGAGATGGGTGTCAGTGAAAGATGGTGGCACTCTAGACCTCACTGCCTCTTTTTATCCTGGGACTCTGGGGTCTTTCTGGGAAATGCAATAGCCAATACAAAGGCAAGTCCAAGGTGAAGCAGTGTTCTTACACCTCGGAGCTTCCCACAAGTGCAAATGAGGTTGATACAGTGTCTCACAGGCATTCTGTTGCAATGGCAAGCCTGAAAATGATGTCCAGTAGTGCTGTTGAGGGGCACTGGGATTCCTGATGAAAGCAAAGAAAAATTAAGGCTTGCCTGAGAGAGAGAGCTGTATTTTGCAGGATTCCAAATGATTTTCAATGAGTTATGTCAGAGAACCCAAAAGCCTCCTGCAAAGGGCAAACCACCTCAGCCCCCACAATGAGAAAATGACCCACAACCTAGTTCACAGCCAGCCTATCCAAAGTCCTTTTTGCTCTCTGAAATTTCTGGCAGCTAAATAATCTGTAGCGAGAAGCAGTTCCATCCAGCAACAGCCCAATGAAAGAGCTCCTCCACAATGAGAAAAACATGCAGATGAAATGAAACAGAGGATAGATTACCGGGAAAAACCCAGACACCACTGTCTGCTTCCCATCCTACAGGAATCATGCAGCCCTCCAATAGAAGTGGAGGAATAAGAGTTTTAATGGTGGCAGCTGTAATGGGAATTTAGGGTTTTAAAAGTATAAAAGCTACCCAGTCATTAAAACGTGGCAGTGTTTAGAATGAAACTCTCATGAAATGGATTCCCATGAGGGTCATTCTTTGTGAACTGGGAAACGTTTAGTGTGGAAGTCATTGAGCTGGAAACAGGAAAGCCTAGGCTGATGAGAAACATGGAAGTCAGGGAAAGAAAAGGCAAGTGTGGTTGTCACATCCCACCCAACATCAATCTATTCCACTCCCATTTGGCTCAGGATATGAAAGCCCTCAAATCAGGTGTTTGCCAGGTTGGTCCCAATTTCCAATCCAAATGTTTCTTGCACATTAGAGTACTCACACCTGAGCACTGGTCCTTGGGGTGCACTGCTTGGGCAATTAGAGGAATGCAGGGATGGAGATGGCAGCACCTTCTGTGTCATCTGTCTTTATTTTTTATTTTTATTTTTTTGCAGGTGAAGTTGCGGGACCCAATCCACCCCTCACCAGGTTGTATCCTCACCCCTATCTGACCTTATTGCTGCTCACACTCTATGTCCCAGGACGAAACCCAAGATGATTGAGAATTGCCCCCTCATGACGTGAAGCACATGCTCAAAGGGGGTCCAAATATGAGGTAAAATCAAGAGGCCCCTGTGAAGAGGACTGCTAGCATCTCTTCCTGGGTTGAGACACTGAAACATTGGGAGATGTCTATTCTGGGTGTGATGTACTCTACTTCTTTCTGTAAGAGTGGCTTTGTTTTAAGGGGGAGGTGATTTGGACGCTGACAAGTATCAGGCCACCTCCCAATTCACGCAGATTCATGATTCAAAGAAAAATAAAGGAGGCAAAACTCCAAAGCCTAAGCAGAGCAACACAGGTAGGTCACCAAAAGGTTGGGAGGCTCAAAAACAAGAAGCACTGCAGTGGTTCGACACATTCCTTTAAGCAGACTCCACTTGCAGGCATACACATACACACACACACATAGAGAAACACACAAAGCCACACAAACATGTAGACATGCAACACTCCCACAGAAACACACAGCCTGGAATATCCTAAGGCTGTGTGGTTCTGCAGAAGGCCCCACCTGGGAGAGAGCAACCCCAGGAAACACAGCTGGGCTATACCTAGGCGGTCCCTAAAAACTACTCTTTTGACTCCATTCCTGAGAGAGCCTGTGTGCAGGAATCAGATCTCATGAGGACTGGAATATAGACTAGTGTGTTATTAAGGGTTCTTTGGGTGATAGAATCATACCTGAAACCCCACAAGTGGGTGTCAGTGAATTATGGCCAGGCTCTTGACCTCACTGCCTCCCATTTATCCTTTGCCTCAGAGAGGCTCTCTGGGAAAGGCAGGAAATGTGACAAAGGCATCTCCAAGGTAAAGCGGTGTTCTCATAACTCTTGCTTGCCTCTCAAGGGGCCCTGTGAACAGGACTGCTAGTGTCTCTTCCTGGGTTGATTGTGGTTCAATTAAATGTTGGGAGATGTCTGTTCTTGGGTGTAGTGTGCTCCACTTCTTTCTAAAAGAGTGGCTTTGTTTTCAGCGGGAGGTGATTAGAAGGAAACACTCAGGTAATGGATTCCCATGAGGGTCATTCTCCATGAACTGGGAAATGTTTATTGTGGAAGTCATTGAGCCTGACCCAGGAAACCCTAGGCCAACAACGAATATGGAAGTCAGGAAAAGAAAAGGCAAGTGTGGAGGCCACAACCCACCCAGCAACAATTTATTCCACTTTTATTTGGCTATAGTTACAAAAGCCCTCAAATCGGGAATTTGCCAGTATAGTCCCAATTTGCACTCCAAATGTTCCTTGCATGTTGTAGTTCTCCCACCTGAACACTGAACCATGGTCTACACTGCTTGTGCAACTAAGGGAAAGTGGGGATGGATTTGGAAGCACATTCTGTGTCATCTGTGTTCATTTTTTTTTTTTTTTTTGCAGTTGAAGTTGCAGTAACCCATCCAGCCCTCACCAGATTGAATCCTCAACCCTATCTGACCTTATTGCTGCTCACACTCTATGTCACATGATGAAATCCCAAGACAATGGAGAATTACCCCATCATGACGTGAAGCACCTGCTGGGCTGGAAACCAAATTCGACGTAAATTCAAAAGGCCCTGCAGCAGGACTACTACTACCTCTTTCTGGGTTGCCTGCAGGACAACAAAACACTGGAAGATGTCTATTTTTTGGTGTGGAGTGATCCTCTTCTTTCTAGAAGAGTGGGCTTTTTTTGCAGGGGTAGGTGATTTGGATGCCAGCGGGTCTCAGCTCACCTCCCAATTCACTGCAGATTCATGATACACAAAAATGTAAAGAACATGGAACCCTTCAGCTTAACCAGAGCCACACAGATAGGCCACCAAAAGGTTTTGAGACTCGAAAAAAAAAAAAGAACGCTGAAATGCATTAGCACATTCCTTTAAGCAGACTCCAGTTTCAAGCGCGCGCACACACACACACACACACACACACACACAGAAAATGCCACACACACACACAGAAATCCAACACTCGAAACACTCCGACAGAAACACACAGCCTGGTAAATCCTGAGGCTCTGTAGTTCTGCAGAAAGGTCCACCTGGGAGAAAGCAACCCCAAGGAAAACAGCCGGGCTGTACCTAGAAATCACAGTGGGGCAAGATTTAAAAAGACCAATTGCTACAATCTAGGCAGGCCCGAAGACTCCTGCAGATCCTTGTGGATCCTTAGGGACTTGAGTTTTATTCTTGGGGCTCTGCTTGATGTTCTTCAGGCTGGCTCATATCTGTGTTCTCCTAGAATTATAAGACTATCCCATGAATCCCACAGAGAAGCCAAGCGAGAGTCCACCGCCCACACACCTCCAAAGTCTCCTTCTCCTTCAAGCCGCAGGGACTTGTCGCTAGGCAATGATGACATTAATTGTGACACTAACCAGAGTTCAGTCAGGCCTCGTGCCAGGAGACTAGCACATGCACATTTGTGATGCAGGATCGTTCACCTGGCAGTCAGAGCTGTCAGCCTGCCCAAGCAGAGGAAAATGGTACAGGCAGAGCCGGCATGTTATCAGGAAAAAGGCTGCCTGTGAAAACCCACTGCAAAGCTCTAAAAGTCTCAACCTTACAGCCGCTTCAGGAAGTCTCCCTGGCCATGTCCCACTGGATGAGGAGATGTTTTGAGACTGTGAGGTGGTCACTGTAAACTGCTCTTCTGGCTGTACTTCTGAAAGAGACTGTGCGCAAGAATTAGGTCCCATGGGGATTGGAATATAGTCCGGTGTGTTGTTGTGGTTTCTTTGGGTGACAGAATCATACCTGAGACCCCAGAGGTGGATGTCAGTGAAAGATAGCTGAGCTGTCTCCCCTTATCGTTTGCCTCATGGGTGCTCTCTGGAAATGGCAGGAACCATGACAAAGGCACACCAATGTGGATCAGTGTTCTCACGCCTTGGACTGGTCTCTCAAGCATGCAGATGGGGGTGATGCAGTGTCTCACAGATTGTCTGTGGCAATGACATATCTGACAAACAGGCCCACTAGTGCTGTTGAGGGGCACTGTGGCTTCCATACCAAAGAAAAGAAAAACCAAGACTCAAATGATAGAATGAGCAGCCTTGTGCTGGAGTCCAAGTAATTTTCAAAGATTCTGGTCAGAAGACCAAAAGCCTACTGAAATGTGGAAATAACCTCAACCCCCACAACAAGACAACAACTCAAAACCTGGAGCGTGGCTAGGCTACCCAAAGTCTCTTTTGCTCTCTGAAATCCCTGGAAGCTAAATAATCTGTGGTGAGAGGGAGTCCCATATAGCAAAAGCCCAATGAAAGAGCCCCTCCATAATGAGAAGGCTGTGCAGATGAGATGAAACGTAGGCTAGATTACCAGGCAACAGCTAGACACAGCGGCATACTTCTCATCCTACAAGAATCATGAAGCCCCCTCCGATAGAAGTAGGAGAACAAGAGTTTCATTTCTGGTGGCTGTAATGGGAATTTACAGTTTTAAAAGTATCAAAAAAAGTATTTAAAAGTATCAAAGCTACCCATTAAAATGTTCAGAAAAAAACACTCATGCAATGGATTCTCATGAGGGCTGTTCTTCATGACCAGGGAAACATTTGGTGTGGACATTGTTAAGCCAGATCCAGGAAAGCCTAGGTCAATGAATAACATAGTAGTCAGAAAAAGAAGAGGCAAATATGGAGGCCAAATCCCACCAGGCATCAATCCATTGCACACCCATTTGGCTCTGGGTATGAAAGTTTCAAATTGAAAATTTGCTTGGATAACCCCAATTTGCACCCAAATGTTTCTTGCACATTGGAGTACTCCCACTGGAACACGAGAACAGGGTGTGGACTGCTTGTGCAATTAAGGGAATGCAGGGATGGAGTTGGAAGCACATTCTGTCTCATCTGTCTTAATTTGTTTTGCAGGAGAAGTTGTGGGATTCCATCCACCCCTTACCAGATTTTATACTCACCCCTATTTGACCTTACTGCTAATCACACTCTATGTCCCAAGATGAAATCCCAAGATGATGGTGCAGTGCTACCTCATGATATTAAGCATCTGCCAGGCTAGGAACCAAATTTGAGGTCAATTTAAGGGTCCTGTGGAAAGAACTTCTAGTGTCTCTCCTTGGGTTGGTGACAGGACAATGAAAAATTAAGAGATATCTGTTTTTTGGTGTGGTGTGCTTCTTTTCAGAAGAGTGACTTTATTTTTTTTTGCAGGAGGAGGTGAACTGGATGCTGACAGGTCTCGGCACACCTCACAATTCCCTGCTGATTCATGATCCACAATAAAATAAAGAAAAAAGAATGCCACAACCCAAGCAGAGCCACACAGATAGGCCAACAAAAGGTTGGGAAAGTAAAAAAATAAATAAAAATAAAAATAAATAAATAAATAAATAAAACAGTTAGGTGTGTTAGCAACATTCTTTTATGCTGACTCAAATTACAGGCACACACTCACACACACAAAAAAAGACCACAATGAAACACACACACGCATGCATTCAACGCTCCCAACACTATCACAGAAACACATAGCCTGGAAACTCCTGAGGCTGCGTGGTTCTGCAGGATGCCACACCTAGGAGAGATCAAGCCCAGGGAACACAGGAAGTCTGTATCTAGAAATCACAGTGGGCAAGTTTCAAAAAGCCTCATCCCTACAAATTCTAGTCAGGCCTGAGGAATCCTGCAGATCCTTTTGGATCCTTAGCAATTTTGCAGTTTATTCCTGGGGCTCTCCTTCACATTTCTTCAGGATGACTCACATCTGCCCTCTCTTAGGATCCAGGGACTATCCTGTGTATCCCACAGAGAAGACATGTGAGAGTTCTCCTTCTCTGCCAAGCTGCCAGTATTGGTCCCTAGGCAACGGTGACATTCACTGTGATGCTAGCCAGAGCTCATGATCAGGCCTGGTGCCTCAACCTGAGGGTCTCTCAACCTAAGGACCCCTCTGGCTGTCTCCATGGTTGGGTCAAGCTGGAGGAGGGGGCATTTTGAGACTGTGAGTTGGTGGGTGGAAACTGTTCTTCTGGCTCCATTTCCAAAAGTAGCTATGTGTAACAATTGGGTCCCATGAAAACTGGAATATAACCTGGTGTGTTCAGATCCCTCTGGTAAAGAATGGGTTTTGAGACATGTAGTGGTCACTGGAATCTGCTCTTCTGACTCCATTTCCAAAAGAGGCTATGTGCAAGTATCAGGTCCCATGGGGATTGGAATATAGTTTGGTGTGTTTTTAAGGTTTCTGCATTTGATAGAATCAAACCTGAAAACCCAGAGGTGGGGGTCAGTGAAAGATAGCCAGGCTCTTGACCTCACTGACTCCCTTCATCCAGGGCCTTGCAGGGGCTTTCTGGGAAAGGGAGCAACCATAGCAAAGGCAAGTCGAAGGTGAAGTGTCATCTCATAGGCCATCTGTGATGACGGCAAGACTGAAAAAGCTTTTCAGTGGTGCTGTTGAGGGACAATGTGAATTCCTCATGAAAACAAAGAAAAATGAAGGCTCACATGAGAGAACAAGCTGCTTGTGCTGGTTTCCAAGCAATGCGCAATGATTCCTGACAGATAACCCAAAAGCCTCCGCAAAGTGAAAACAACCTCAGCCCCCACAGAAAGACAACAAACCATAACCTGGAGCACATCCAGCCTACCTGAAGTCCCTTTTGCTCTCTGAAATCCCTGGCTGCTAAATAATCTGTGGTGAGAGGCAGTCTCATCCAGAAACAGCCCAATTAAAGAACCCCTCTGCAAAGAAAAGGCCACGGAGATGAAATGAAACAGAGGCTATATTACCAGGCAAAAGCCAGACACAGCTGCCTGCTTCTCATCCTACAGGAATCATGCAGCCTGCTGATAGAAGTGTGAGAACAGGAGGTTCCTTGTGTGTGGCTGTAACCAGAATTTATGGTTTTAAAAGTATCAAAGCTGCCTAGTTATTAAAATGTAACAGTGTTTAGAATCAAATGCTCACACAATGGATTTTCTTGAGGATCATTCTATGTGAACTGGGAAACTTTCAGTGTGGAAATCATTGAGCCAGACATAGGGAACCCTAGGTTGATGAGGTAAATGGAAATAGGAAAAAAGAGGCAATTGTGGAGGCCACATACCACCAAGCATCAACCCATTCCACACCCATTTCGCTCCAGGTATGAAAGCCCTTAAACTGGGAGGTTCAAGGATAACCCCAATTTACACTCCAAATTTTTCTTGCCCCTTGTAGTACTCCCACCTGAACATGTAGCCTTGGTGTGGACTGCTTGTGCCATTAAGGGAATGAAGGAATGGAGTTTAAAGAACCTTCTGTTTCATATGTCTCCATTTTTTTTTTTGGCAGGTGAAGTTATGAGACCCCATTCACTCCTCAACAGATTGTAGCCTCACAATTATCTGACCTTATTGTTGTTCAAACTCTACATCCTAGGATAAAGTCCAAAGATGATGGAAGAGTGCCCCCTCACGCCATGAAGCTCCTGCTCAGCTGTGAACCAAATTTGAGGTAAATTCAAGGGGCCCTGAAAACAGCACTTCTAGTGTCTCTCCCTGGGTTGGTTGCAGGACAATAAAACACTGGGAGATATCTGTTTTTGGTGTGGTGTGCTCCTCCTCTGCCTAGAAGAGTGACCTTTTTTGCAGGGGGGTTTGATTTCGATGCCAGTGGGTCTCATCCAGCCTCCCAATTTATGTGGATTCACAATCCACAGAAAACTAAATAACACAATGCCCTGCAGCCCAAGAAGAGCCACACAGACAGGCCACCAAAATGTTGGATGACTCAAAAAAAAAAAAAAAGTGCTGAAGGGCATTAGCTACATTGTTTTAAGCAGACTCCACTTACAAGCACACACACGTATACACACACATGCAAATAAACACAGAAAGCCACACACACACACAGACATCCAACACTGGCAACTCTCCCATGGAAACCCATAGCTAGGCAGATCCTAAGCATGTGTGGTTCTGCAGGAAGCCCCCCCCCCGGCAGAGAGCAACCCCAGGGGACACAGGTGGGCTGTACCTAGAAATCATAGTGGGGCAAGTTTCTAAAAGACTCACCCCTACAAGGTCTACACAGACTTACCAAATCCTGCAGATCCTTTTGGGTCCTTAAGGATTTTGTGGCTTATTTCTGGGTCTGTGCTTGATGTTTCTTAAGGCTGGCTAATATCTGACCTCTCCTAGGATCTTGGGACTATACCCTGGATCCCACTGAGAAGATAAGCGAGAGTCCATTACCACTGAAACTTCACAGAGGACTCCTTCTCCATCAAGCCACAAGACTTGGCACTGGGCAACAGTGATATTTATTATGATACCAGAGCTCACAATCAGGCCTGGTGCTGAGACTAGTGTGTGCGCATTCACAGGGCAGGCTCAGGCACCTGACTGTCAGAGCCTTCAGCCTGCCTAAGCAGAGGAAAATGACACAGGCAGAGCTGGCCTGTTATCTGGAAAAAGGCTGCCTGTGAAAATCCATGGCAGGACCATGAAAGTCTCGACCTCAGAGCCCCTTTGGGCCATCTCAGTGGTCAGGTTCTGTGGAGGAGGAAGCATTTTGAGACTGTGAGGTTGTCGCTGGAAACTGCTTCTCTGACTCCATTCTCAAAAGAAAATGTGTGTGTGCAAGAATTGGGTCCCACAGGTAGTGGGATATAGTCTGGTGTGTTGTTGAGTGTTCTTTTGGTAGTATAATCATACCTGAGACCCCAGAGGGAGGTGTCAGTGAAAGATGGCTGGGTTCTTGACCTCACTGCCTCCCTTCATCATAGGCTTTTCAGTGGCTCTGTGGGAAAGGCAGGAACCAAGACAAAAGTAAGTTCAAGGTGGAGCAGTGTTCTTGCATCTCAGACTTGCCTCTCACTGGTAAGATGAGGTTGAGACAGTTTCTCAGAGGACGTCTGTGGTGATATCAAGCCTGAAAAGATTGTCCAGTAGTGCTTTTGTGGGGCACTGTGGATTCTCCATGAAAGCAAAGAAAAATCAAGGCTCATGTGAGAGAATGAGCTGCCTTGTGCTGGAGTCCCAGCAATGTTTAATGATTCATGTCAGAGGACCCAAATCCTAAGGCAAAGTGAAAACAACCTCAGCCCCCAAAACAAGACAATGCACCACAACCTGGAATGCAGCCAGCATACCTGAAATTCCTTTTGCTCATTGAAATCCCTAGCAGCTAAATAATCTGTGGCAAGATGCAGTCCCATCCAGCAACATCCTGAGGAAAGAGCCCCTCCACAATTAGAAGGCCATGCAGATGAAATGAAACAGAGGCTAGATTACCAGAAAAAAAAGCCAGACATGGCTCCCTGTTTCTGATCTGAGAGGAATCATGCAGCCCTCCAACAGAAGTGGGAGAACAAGAGTTTCCTTGTTGGCAACTCTAATGGGAATTTACAATTTTAGACGTAGCAAAGCTGCCCAGTCATTAAAACATGACAATGTTTAGAAGAAAACACTGAGGCAATGGATTTCCATGAGGGTCATTCTCCTGGGACTGGGAAATGTTTAGTGTGGAAATCGTTTAGCCAGACCCCAGAAACCTTAGGCTGATGAGAGACATGGAATTCGGGAAAAGACGAGGTCACATCCCACCCACCATCAATACATTCCACTTCCGTTTGGCTCTGGGTATGAAAGCCCTCAAATAGGGAGTTTGATAGGATAGCCCCAATTTCCAATCCAAATATTCCTTGCATGTTGGAGTACTCCCACCTGAACAATAGACCATGGTGTGGATTTCTTGTGCAATTAAGATAATGTGGGGATGGGTTTGCAAGCACCTTCTGATTCATCTGTCTTCATTTTTTTTTCCCCAGGTGAAGTTGTGGGACCCCATCCACCCCTCACCAAATTGTATCCTCACCCATATCTGACCTTATTGCTGCTCACACTCTATGTCCCAGGATGAAATCCCAAGAAGATGGAGCAGTGACCCCTTATGACATGAAGCAACTGCTCTGCTGCGAATTGAATTCGAGATAAACTCAAGGGGTCCTGCGGACGGGACTGCTAATGTCTCTCCCTGGGTTCGTCGCAGGGCAATAAAACACTAGAAGATGTCATTTTTTGCTTTAATGTACTCCCCTTCTTTCTATAATTGTGGCTTTTTTTGCAGGGGGAGGTGATTTGGATGAAGGTGGATCTCAGTCTGCCTCCCACTTCACTGCAAATTCATGATCCACAGAAATTAAAGAACATGGAGCCCTTCAGCCCAAGCAGAGCCACAAAGACAGGCCACCATAAGGTTGAGAAACTCAAAAAAAAGAAGCCCTGAGGTGTGTTAGTCACATTTCTTTAAGCAGACTCCACTTACAGACACAAACACACACACACACACACAAATACAAAATGCACTACACACACTCAGCTATCCAACACTTGCAACACTCCCACAGAAACACACAGCCCAGCAGCTCCTGTGGCTGCGTGATTCTGCAGGAATCTTCATCTGGGAGAGAGCAGCCCCGGGGAAGAGAGGCAGGCTATACATATAAATCAAAGTGGAGCAAGTTTCAAAAAGACTCACCCCTGCAATGTCTAGGCAAGCCTCACAAATCCTGCTGATATTTTAGGATTCTTAGGGATTTTGCAGTTTATTCCTGGGGCTTTGCTTGATGTTTCTTCAGGCTGACACACATCTGCCCTCTCTTAGGGTCATGGGACAATCCCCTTGATACCATAGAGAAGACAGGTGGAAGTCCATGGCTGATGAAACTCCATGGCAGTCTTCTTTATTGCCAAGCCTCAGGTACTTGTCCCTAGGCTACAGTGACATTGGTTGTAATGTTAGCCAGAGTTTACTTTCAGACCTGGTGCCCTGAGACTAGAGCATGCTCATTTGTGTGCAGGCTTGGGTGCCCAGCTGTCAGAGCTGTCAGACTGCCTAAGCAGAGGAAAATGGTACAGACAAAGCCGGCTTGTTATTGGGAGAAAAGCTGCCTGCACTAACCCACTGAGGGACCCTAAAAGTCTCCACCTTAGGGCCCCTCGGGCTGTCTTTGTGGTCGGGTCCCTCTGGAGGAAGAGACATTTCAAGACAGTGAGGTGATCCCTGGAAACTGCTCTTCTGATTCCATTCCTGAAAGTGGCTGTGTGCCAGAATTGAGTCCCATGTGGATTAGAACATTGTCTCCTGAGTTGTGCAGTGGTCTTTGGGTGATAGAATCATACCTGAGACCCCAGAGGTGGATGTCAATGAAAGATGTCCAGGATGTTATACTCACTGTTTCCCTTCATCCTGGACCTCACAGGGGCTCTCTAGGATATGCAGGAACCACCAGAAATGCAAGTCCAAGGTGAAGACGTGTTCTCACTTTGAACTGGTCTCTTACAGATGCAGAGAATATTTATACAGTGTCTCAGAGGCCGTCTGTGATGATTGAAACACTGGAAATGGTGTTCTGTAGTGTGCGTGAGGGGCAGTGTGGACCTACCCTGAAAGCAAAGGAACATCAAGGCTGGAGTGAGAGAAAGAGAAGACTTGTGCAGGAGTCCAAGCAACATTCAAATATTTCCATCAGAGAACCCAAAAGCCTCCTGCAAAATGCAAACAACCTAAGCCCCCATAAGGAGACCAAGACCCACAACCTGGGGGGAGACCAGCTTACCCAAAATCCCTTGTGCTCCCTGAAATCTATGGCAGCCAATAAATCTGTGTTGAGAGGCAGCCCCATCCAGCAACAGCACAACGAAAGACCCTCTTCATGATGAAAAAGAATGTGTAGATGCAATGAAACATAGCCTAGATTACCATTCCATGAACTGAGAAATATTTAGTTTGGGAGACTTTAAGCTGGACAGAAGAAACCCTAGGCTGATGAGGAACATGTAAGTCAGGATATGAAGAGGGAACTGTGGAGGCCACATTCTACCTTGCATCAATTGATCTCATTCCCATTTGGCTTCGGGTATAAAAGCCCTCAAATCAGGGGTTTGCCAGGATGGCCCAAATTTGCACTTGAAATGTTACTTGCACTTTGGAAAACTCCCATTTTAGCAGTTTGAGCCACAGACAGAACCCTTCAGACATGGGTTAAAGAAGGAATTGGCTTTATTAGGCAGGCAGTTTTGGCATATTTGCATTTCAAAAATCAAGCTCCTTGAGAGGGAGATTCCTGCCCATTTTAAAGGCTTACAACTCTAAGGGGGTCCATGTGAAAGGGTCGTAATTGATTGAGCAAACATGTGGTACATGGTTGGGGCTGCATACGTTGGTAATCAAGAGAGAACAGAACAGAACAGAACAGAACAGAACAGAACAGAAAGTTTCACAATGCTTGCTCATACATTGTCTGGAATCTATAATAATACAAGCAGTTATGTGAGGGATTGATTTTTAACTAACAGGCTTGGGGTGTGGTGTGGGCTGTCTGACTATTGATCTCATTTCTGCTTTTCTTTAGCTTTTGTTTCCTCTTTCATTTTCTGAGGTATGAGACAATAAGAGAGGTGGTCTCCTTCCTTATCCCCCCCTTTGAGAGTCTCACTTATTACAGAGATTTCTCAGCCTTATCCCCACTAACTAGGCCTTCCTGCAAGACAGATCAATAGTTATTTATGTAACATGCTTGTGCTGAATCATTTTGGTGGACAAAGGCAGTAACAAAGCTTCCCATTATCAGAAGGAGCATGGGTAGCAAGCAGGGGAGAAAGTAGCAGGTTCCTATCACTATTATTATTCCTAATATAAGAATTTTAAATCTTCCTATAAATGGAAACCATTTTCCAAATACTGATCCAGGATCAAACCCCTGCCAAACCTGCACAGGCACGTGTGCCAGTTTTGTCATATCTCTGACTATATTTTTGACTGCTTGCCTTTGATGATCTATATGCAGATAGCAACTGGTTAGGTTAAGTTTTCTGCAGACCCCTCCTTCAGCTGTTATCAAGTAGTTTAGAGCTAATATACTTTGATACGTAACGTTTCTCACCTGGATTTCCTGCAGGCCTAAAACAGTCAAAGCTCTGCCGATTATATTAGTGATTATTTCTAAGACAGCTTGTAACTGTGTGATCTGGTTGAGCATGTAAATGGGGGTTTGGTATGCCCATGAGCCATCACAAGATGACTCAAGTGGCAGGCCCATAATACTGCATAATTATTTCAGGGGACCACTCATCATCTTTCCAATCACCTATAGCTATGCTTCTCTTTTCTTGGGAAGCATAGGCCAGGAAGCCCAGGAGTTCACTTCTTTTCATGGGCAGTAGGAAAAGGGATGGTTTAATGGTGTCCATAACACAACTACCTGCCCATTGGTCAGGTAACTTGGCTTATGCTCTGTGCCCACATATCCAGTATAGTCCGGTGGGGGCTGTCCAGTCCCAGTGAGACTTTGGGTGGGTCCACACAGTTTGCAACTTTGGAAATTTACTAACTGGATTTTTCTCACTGTGGTTTGAACCCCCCACATGGCTGTTTTTGCTGTGATGTTATACAGGTTTTGTCCAAGACAGTTGAGCCTTCCCACAGGGAGGGTGAAGTTCTGTCCTTCTCTAGCTATAGAGTGCCACTCAATAACTGTGTCTCTTAAAACACAGAAGTTGCCAGTGTGGGCCTTCTGGGCTGGAATCTTATTGGTAAGTGGATGAGTGGGCACTAATTTTTGGGTTTCCCAAGGCCAGTCGTCTTCCCCAGTGGTTCCCTCACATACATAACAGGAAGTAACATTGAGGGAACGGGTTACATTTTCTGCTAACTGCAGGAACAACTTCTTTGTCTTCTCTGGGAGATCTGGTACAGGCACATTCAATTCATCATAGAAGGTCTAACACACTGGTTTGGGAGACCACCGTTTGATCTGTTTTAGGACTAAAGCATTTACTCAAGGACCCAGTTCAGCTCTGTTGGTCACTAGAGTTACATGTTCTCCCTTTTTTCAAAGTGGGTCCAGGGAATTGGTGATTATTAGTTCTAAGGGGTTACAGTGGCCACTTCTGCAAGAGAAATTCCCCTTTCCTTTCTGAAGCCATATCAGAACTTTTTCATTCTTTTTCCAGGTAGCCCAAATGACACAAGACCAGTAATTACATACTTTATCACATAGGCCCAAATCATGACGAATATACGTATTCTCTGCTGTATAACTTTTTCCCCAATCTAGAGAGCCACATCCTAATCCTTGCTGATTACTCTTTATGGTGGCACAAGCATCAAAATTTAAGGTTATGTGCTTGGGGGTTCGTTTTTCTTCTGTTTTAGCTATTATTTTACTTGTATCACTTAGAAAAGGACTAGTTTTTAATCTTATTTGAAAGACTGTGATCATAGGAGGCTCAGATGGGTTATAGCACACATTAGATTGGTAATTTCCTAGGCTGCATACTTTATACAGCGTGAAGTTAAACAGACAGTTTCCTTTTGAAGTTTATAGGCATTCATAATAACTATAAAACAGAAAGATTGTTTTAACGTGTTGCCCTACCTCAGTAACCTAATTATTATAGTGGGACTATTTCTTCATTTGGGAAAAATCAGTCTTTATTATACAAGTCCAAATTTTAAGGAGAATAAGTCCCACAATGTGTTTCATCATGCGTTGACTGTGTGTAGACCAGTCAGCTACTGGGTGTGACTGGAGAAGGGCTTGTCATCTTTCTCAGTGTCACTTTCCAGGGGTTGTCCCAGCTTGGTCTCACCTCCCAGGTCTCAGGCACTACAGGTTTTACACGATGGTGATGGATCCAGGCCGGGATTACTTCTACCTTCAAGGCAGTGGGAGTGGTCAAATTTATGGTCTTGGGCCCTTTCAACAGTGGCCTTAGGGGGACTACATTCCAATCCTTGAAGCACACTTGATCACCTGGGGAGAAGAGGTGAACTGGGGAGAATAAGCTAATAGAGCACCTCTCGTTAACTCAAGCTGAAATTGTGCAATTTTTCCTAGAGCCTGTAGCTGTTGCTCTAACTCAACTTCACCTCATTCTGAAGGATTGCCTGGGAGTCCTCATAATATGGGAGGGATTCTACAATATAATATTTCATAAGGGAAACACCCTGCTCTTTTAGAAGTGGCACATCTTATCTTAAGCAATACCAAAGGGAGAGCCTGTAACCATTTTAATCCTGTTTCTGGCACACTTTCCCTAATCTATTTTTGATGGTTCAATTCATTCACTCTACCTTTCCAGACCTCTGAGGTCAGTAGGCTACATGCAGTTTTCATATGATCCCCAATATCTTTGCTGTCTTCTGCACAAAGTCAGCAACAAATGCCAGCCCATCATCTGAGCTGATTCATAAGGGCAGTGCAAATCTAGGAATAAGACTTCGAAGAAGCACATGGTTTACTTCACTAGCTTTTTCAGTTCAGATTGGAAAACCTCCACCCACCCAGTGTAGGTACACACAAAACAAGTAGATACATGTTAACTCCACACTGGGATTTCTGTGAAGTCCACCTGGAGATTTTCAAAAGGGGTTGCTCCATAAACTTGTGTACTGGGTGGAAAGCCTGGACCCTGCCTTACATTGTGCTGTTAGCAGGTAATACCTTGCTCGGCCACAGTTTTGGCAAGGGCTGACAAATATGATATGTAAAAGTACTGGCCTAACAGCTTTTCAAGTGATTCCTAAGCTAGATGGGTAGTTTCATGCAAAGCCAGTACAACTGTGGCTCCTAGCAGCTGTGGCATGACTATTCTTTTATCTGGTAACCAGATCCATCCTTCTTGCTCTTTGCCTTCCTTCTGCCTGATAGGGTGTGCAGGCTGCTTTTTGAGCCTCTGAGTCAGCTCTGGAGTTCTCTAAAGCAACCATGGTAGAAGCTCACTATTGTCCTCTGCAATGCACGACTGCCACCTTTCGGATTTCTATACTGCTTCTAATAAGTGCAAGATTTCTTTTTTTTTTTGTACTCTAAGTTTTAGGGTACATGTGCACAACATGCAGGTTAGTTACATATGTATACATGTGTCATGCTGGTGCGCTGCACCCACTAACTCGTCATGTAGCATTAGGTATATCTCCCAAAGCAATCCCTCCCTCCTCCCCCAACCCCACAACAGTCTCCAGAGTGTGATATTCTCCTTCCTGTGTCCATGTGATCTCATTGTTCAATTCCCAGCTATGAGTGAGAATATGCAGTGTTTGGTTTTTTGTTCTTGCGATAGTTTACTGAGAATGATGATTTCCAATTTCATCCATGTCCCTACAAAGGACATGAACTCATCATTTTTTATGGCTGCATAGTATTCCATGGTGTATATGTGCCACATTTTCTTAATCCAGTCTATCATTGTTGGACATTTGGGTTGGTTCTAAGTCTTTGCTATTGTGAATAACGCTGCAATAAACATACTTGTGCGTAGGCATGGGCAAGGACTTCATGTCTAAAACACCAAAAGCAATGGCAACAAAAGACAAAACTGACAAATGGGATCTAATTAAACTAAAGAGCTTCTGCACAGCAAAAGAAACTACCATCAGAGTGAGCAGGCAACCTACAAATTGGGAGAAAATTTTCACAACCTACTCATCTGACAAAGGGCTAATATCTAGAATCTACAATGAACTCAAACAAATTTACAAGAAAAAAAACAACAACCCCATCAAAAAGTGGGCAAAGGACATGAACAGAAACTTCTCAAAAGAAGACATTTATGCAGCCAAAAAACACATGAAAAAATGCTCATCATCACTGGCCATCAGAGAAATGCAAATCAAAACCACAATGAGATACCGTCTCACACCAGTTAGAATGGCAATCATTAAAGTCAGGAAACAACAGGTGCTGGAGAGGATGTGGAGAAATTGGAACACTTTTACACTGTTGGTGAGACTGTAAACTAGTTCAACCATTATGGAAATCAGTGTGGCGGTTCCTCAGGGATCTAGAACTGGAAATGCTATTTGACCAGCCAGGGATCTAGAACTGGAAATACCATTTGACCCAGCCATCCCATTACTGGGTATATACCCAAAGGACTATAAATCATGCTGCTATAAAGACACATGCACACGTATGTTTATTGCAGCATTATTCACAAGTGCAAGTTTTCTTGCTGATGTTTTATGTCCTTTCCTCCAGAGTTTAACTGGTGCTTTTATTTGTATAATGTTCCATGCACTTGGAGTGTTAAGAAGTCATACCGGGAGTCACTGTAACTGTTTACAGTCTTACCTTCACTGAGTTCTAAGGCCTGAATTAAAGCAATGAGCTCAGGTTTCTGGGCTGAAGTACCCTTGGGCAATGGTTTGACCTAAATCACAGCGTCCAGTGTTACCACTGCGTATCCCGCATACTTATCCCCTTGTGGGTTGACAAAGCGATTCTCATTCACATACAGCTAGTTCCCAGTGCAGTGATGCCCAAGGCTGGTCCCGGAGGTGAGGTCTGCTAAAGTAGACTCAGTCCAACACCTCTACACAGTTATGCTTGACAGGCCTTCCTGATACCAGCAGCAAGGTGGCAGATTTCAGGTTGTTACAAACTTCAATGGTTATGTGGGGATTTTCAAAGAACAAGCTTTGGTACTTGCTTAGTCTAGCATTCATTAGTCAATGGTGTCCTTTGGTTTTCACTAAAGTCACCACAGCTTGGAGGGGGGGGGCTTTATGTTCAGGTTTCACCCAAGAGTGAATTTATCTGCTTCTTGTGCTAGAGGATAGTTGCTCCTAAGTCCCTCAAACACAGGGGCCAACCTTTAGAAACCCCATCTAGTTGCTTAGAGAGGTAGACCACTGGCCTCAGCAAGGCCCCAGAGTCTGGATCAAAACACCAACTGCCGTTTTTTCTCTCTCTGACACATAGAGTGTAAATGGATTGGTCAGGTAGGGCAGACCCAGGTTTGGGGCTGACCTGAGTTCCTCTTTTAACTCATGAAAGGCTTACTGTTGTTGGGACGCCCATTCAAAATGTTCCTGGTCACCCCCCTTTTTAACCCCATACAGAGGCTTGGCTAGTACTGCAAGGTTTGGGATCCACAGTCTGCAGAACCCCACAGTTCCTAAGAATTATCTCACCTTCCTTCTGATCCTAGGCTCCAACAGGCTGCAGATGACCTGCTTTCTTTGTGACCACAAGCTGTGTTCTCTCTGCTGGATAGTGAATCCCAGGTAGCGTACCTGATATCTGCAGATCTGGGTTATCTTCTTGGACACCTTATACCCACAATCCTCCAGGTGCCTGCTGAAGCAGGGCATCTGTCTCTCTCATGCACTCAACTGCTTTGGGGTGTCCCAGCAGAAGGTAGTCGATGTACTGGTGCAAAACGCAGCCTAGGTGATTGGTGGGGGACTTTGGGAGGTCTTGAGCCAGTGCCTCCCTGAAGATGGTGGGGGAGTTCTTGAACCCTTGGGGAAGCCATATCCAAGTGTACTGAGTGGTGATACCTGAGCCCGGATTTTCCCACTGAAAGACAAGTAGTTTCTGGTTCTCAGGAGCTAGACTGATGCTAACAAAAATGTCCTTCGGGTCTAGGTAGGTGAACCATCTGTCCTTAGCTGGCAATAACCCCAAAAGTGTGTATGGGCTAGGTACTGTTGGATTTAAACTCACTGTAGCTTGACTGACCAAGCACAAGTCCTGTACTGGTCTGTAGTCCTTGGTCCTTAGCTTGGGAACAGGCAGGAAGGGAGTGTTCCATGGAGACTGATAAGGGACTATAATTTCAAAGGCTCTCAGGCATTTGAGATGAACCTGGATACCTTCAGCAGCTTCTCTGGGGACCAGGTACTGTGTATGCCTGAATGGCTTTCCCCAGGCTTAACTTTTTTTAGAACAGGGGCTTGGTTGACTACCAGCCCTGGAGGATTATCTTCTGCCCACACCCTTGGCCACCACTTAGCCAGAGCTGGTTTTATCTCTTGGACTGACTCAGTTAAGAAAAGTCTCAATTCCTCCTCCCAGAGAAACTTCAGGGCCATGAAGAATCACTTCATGTCCCCCTATGGCACGAGTCTGGTGCAAGGAGATTGTTTTGCCAAGACTCATGTGGCTCCAATTATATCAATAGTCTTTTTGGATAAGGGGGTGACCGAGGTGGTCATTACTGAATGTTCAGCACAAGTATGGACAAGAAACTCAATATCCTTGCCCCAGACTGTCATCCTGACCATGGGCTCATTGGGAGCACCTGAGACCCATCCCCCTCAGTCCTTGCAATCTTCAAGATTAAACAAGGCCCCTTCATCCTTGCTTGAGACCTCAGGCTTGGAGCCATTTTTTTTTTATCTTTTAACTGGGGTCACTTGTCTTTTCAAAGCCCTATTTCTCTGCAATATGCACACTGGTTATGCTGCAGGCATGGTTGGTCAGACTGGGTGTTTTCCCCAGGCCCCCACTTCCTCAGACCTTTGGCGGGACACCTCTAATAGCTGCAGCTAGCAGGTTGGCGTTTTGGCGGGCTTGGAACTCACTTTATTTGTGGCTTTCTCTGTGGCCTGCTGCATCTCTATTAACAAACACCTGATTGGCTATTTCCAATAACTGTGAAGTGTTCATACCCACAAACCCAGCCTGTTTCTGAAGTTTTCTTCTAATGCCTTCTGTGCTTTGACTAACTAAAGCCATGCTAATCATGCACTGATTTTCAGGGCTTTCAGGATCACAGACCTCACACAGTCTTTCATAAAATTGTGCCAGACTCTATTCTTTTCATTGAATGACATTAGAGACTTTGTTAACATTTGTGGCCTTCTGAGCTCCCTCCTTTAACCCTTCTAGGAGGGCTTCCTTATATTGCTTTAGCCTTTCTATAACTTTCTCTTCATTTGTGTCCCACTAAGAGTCCGTACCTGGTAACTGGAGCCTCACATATTCCTGGGGGTTTTGGTAATCAGTCAGAGCATGTTGCTCCAGCCACTTGATGGTTGCCTGGAGCACCCATCACCTTTCATCTATGTTAAAGAGGTACATAAGCAGCTGATGGCAATTAGCCCAAGTAGGGTTGTGGGTCTGGATAATAGTTTGGAGCAAATCGATTAAAGCTTGAGGCTTTTCAGTATAAGATTTTTTTTTTCTCCAATTTAGGAGATCAGCTGAGGTAAAGTATTGCCACACACAGGAACAACTTTTCACCATATGCCTGTCCTTGTCTACCCCAGTATGCTGCTCTTCCCTCAGGGGCATTTGTATTACAGTCTTAGGTCATAAATGAGCTGCCAAGGGTGGGGTTTCTCCTACAGCTTCATATACTCTCTTTTCTACTCTGGGTAGCCTAGGGTTGTGTGTGTCCTGCAGAGGCACAAGTGCTGTGGGTTCAGGAGTCGAGAGTCTCTCTTCTCAGTAAGGGGAGGCATCGCCAGTGCCACTTCCTGCCATAAGTCTTCTGATATTGGGTCGGACAGAACTTTAGGAACCATCTTCCCAAGGTGGGTGGAGCAGGATCCTTCCTTGGTTATCTGTCCCTTCGCCACTAACATTGCTGCTGCTGCCTGTCCTTGTAACCATTGTGGCAGTTCTAAAACCAGTTGTAACCAAGTGTCTATGTATAGAAACTGGTCTGGGTGCCCTGACGTACAGGTTATCTTATGGCATACCTTTGAAACAAGGGACCTATCTAGGCTTCACTCTGATGGCCAACCCATTTCTAATGCTGACCAGTCTATCTCACACAAAGTTCTAAGTTTACCTGGTAAACTTAGTGTCATAGTAACTCCATAGTCTCTTTTAAATCCCTTCTTGAAATTGTTCAACACAGTTCCTAGAAGTATGGGCTTATTTTGTGTCTGACCATTTTTCTCCTGAGACAATACAACACTCACACTGCAAGAGGGAAAGGGTAAAGGTCACTCACTCATCTGATTCACACTAAATCAAGTAATTCAAGCCAAGCCAAAATCAAAACCAAAACCAAAGTGCTGATAAAGGCATGCCGTGGGTATTCAGGTCATGATTCTACTCAAACAGGGTGGGCAAGTTTCCAAGACTGGTCCTACCATGTTCCAGATATCCAGACTCCAAGTGCCAGTTCCTTCCCATCATTCAGCCACTGCATCAATCCTCCACAGGGGCCTGCCGTACACTGCTCTGGTGAGGCATTCCACTGGAGCAATTCCCTAACTGGAAGCACTCTCAGGATTCATGTCACTCAAGCTGCATGGAGTCTCCCTCAGGGATACTCCATAGGTAAGGCATAAGCTGCCTAAGGGGCTGCCTCAATCTTCTGTTAACCACCTCACTTTCTGCTCAGGGAACCAAGAAATGTAGCAGGACAAACCACAGATAAAACCCTTCAGACACCAGGTTAAAGAAGGAAGTTGGTTTATTTGGTACGAAGTGTCGGCCGACTTGCCTCTCAAAAACCTAACTCCCCAGTAGAGAGATTACTTCCCCTTTTAAAGGCTTACAACTCTACGGAGTCCATGTGAAAGGGTTGTGATCATTGAAGCAAGCAAGGGGTACACGGCTGAGGGTGCATGCATCGGTAATCAGGACAGAAGAGAACAGAACAGAAAGTTTCACAATGCATCCTCACACAATGTCTGAAATCTATTAGACAATACAAGTGGTTAGGTCAGTGATTGATTTTTAACTACCAGGCCTAGGGTGCTGCCTCAGGCTATCTGACTATTGGTCTCATGTCTGCCTTTCTTTCACTTTTGCTTTCTATTTATTTTTCTGAGTTATGAGACAATAATTTGGTGGTCTTCCTTACCACCTGAAAACTGGGCCATGGTGTGGACTGCTTGTGAAATTAAGGGAATGTGGGACAGAGTTAGAAGCAGTTTCTGTGTCATTCTGTCTGTATGTCTTTTGCAGGTGAAGTTATGGGACTGCATACACCCCTTACCAGATTGTATCCTCAACCCTACCTGACCTTATTGCTGCTCACTCTCTATGTCCCAGGATGAAATCCCAAGACAATGGAGAAGTGCCCCTTCATGATGTGAAGCACCTAGTCAACTGGGAACAGAATTTGAGGTAAATTCAAGGAGCCCTGAAGACAGGACTGCTAGTGTCTCTCCCTGGGTTGGCCACAAGACAATGAAACACTGGAAGATGTTTGTTTTTTGGTGTAGTATGCTACTCTTCTTTCTAGAAGACAGTTTTCTTTTTTTTTTTTTTTTTTTTTTTTTTTTGCAGGGAGAGGTGATTTGGATGATGGAGGGTCTCAGCCCCATTCCCAATTCACTGCGGATTCATGCTCCACAGGAAAACAAAACAAAACAAAACAAAACAAACAAACAAACAAACAAAAATATGGAGCCCCACAGTCCAAGCACAGCCACACAGGCCAGCAAAAGTTTAGGAGATTAAAAAAAAAAGAGAGAAGAAGCACAGAAGTGTGTTAGCTACACTCCTTTGAGCAGACTCCACTTACAGGCATACACACACAGAAACACACAATGTAACACACACACACGCAGACATACAACACCCACAACACTCCCACAGAAACACACAGCCCAGCAGCTCCTGAGGCTGCGTGGCTCTATAGGAAGCCACATCTGGGAGAGAGCAACCCCAGAGAACACAGGCAAGCTCTACCTAAAACCACAGTGGGGCAAGATTCAAAAAGACACACCCCTACAATGGCTAGGTAGGACTGAGGAATCTTGTAGATCCTTTTGCGTCCTTAGGAATTTTGCAGTTTATTTCTGGGGCTCTGCTTGGTGTTTTCTCAGGCTGCCTCACTTCTGCCCTTCCCCAGGTCCATGGGGACTGTCCCATGGATCCCACAAAAAAGGTAGGTGAGAATCCAGTGCTGATGAACCCCCACAGAAGTCTCCTCTGCCAAGATGCAAGGAATTGTTGTAAGGCAATGGTGACATTCATTGTGAAGATAGCCAAAGCTCATAAATAGGTCAGGTGCCCTGAGCCTCAGTGATGTGCATTCATGAGGCAGTCTTGGGTGCCTGGCTGTCAGAGCTGTCAACTTGCCTAAGCAGAGGAAAATGGTATATAGGTAGAGCCAGCCTGGTATCAGGAAAAAGGCTGCCTGCAAAAACCCACTGGAAGACCAGGGACCCTTCAGCTATCTCCATGGCCAGGTCCCCCTGGAGTAGATGTTTCAATACTGTGAGGTGGTCTGTAGAAACTGCTCTTCTGACTTTATTCCTAAAAGACACTGTGTTGCAGAATGGAGTCCCATGAAAATTGGAATATAATTGGTTTGTTGTTGAGGGTTCCTTTGGTGATAGAATCATACCTGACACCCTAGGGGTGGGGGTCAGTGAAAGATGGCTGGGCTCTAGACCTCATTGCCTCCCTTCATCCTGGGCCTCACAGGAGCTCTCTTGGAAAGACAGAAACCCTGAAAAAAGCAAGTCAGAGATGGAACAGTGTTCTCACACCATGGACTGACCTCTCATGAGTGCAGATGAGATTGAAACAGTGTCTCAGAGGTCATCTGTGGCAATGGCAAGCCTGAAAAGCAAGTCCGTTAGTTCTGTTGAGGGTCACTGTGGACTCCCAATGAAAGCAAAGGAAATCAAGGCTCACCTGAGAGAATGAGTTGCCTTGTGCTTGAGTCTAAGCAACGCTCAATGATTCTTGTCAGAGGAGCCAAAAGCCTTCTGCAAAGTGCCAAAAATCTCTGTCCCCAGAATGAGAAAACAACCTGAATCCTGGAGCTCAGCCAGCCAAACAAAAGTCCCTTTTGATCTTTGAAATCCCTGGCAGCAAAGTAATCTGTGATGAAAGGCAGTCATATCCAGCAACAGGCCAATGAATAAGCCCCAACACAAAGAGAAGGCCATGTAGATGAAATGAAACAGAGGCTAGAACACAAGACAAAGGCCAGACACCTATGCCTGCTTCTCATCCTACAGGAATCATGCAGCCCTCCAATAGAAGTGGGAGAACAAGTGTTTCTTGGTGGCTGTACCACAATTTACAGTTTTAAATGTATCAAAGCTGCCCAGTTATTTAAATGTAACAGTGTTTAGAAGGAAACACTCATGCAATAGATCCATTGAGGGTCATTCTCCATGAACTGGGAAGCCTTTAGTGCAAAAGCCATTGAACCAGACCCAGAGAAACCCTTGGCAGATGAAGAACATGGAAGTCAGGAAAAGAAGAGGTAATTCTGGAGGCCACATCCCATTCAGCATCAATCCATACCACTAACATTTTGTTCCAGGAATGAAAGCCCTCAAATCAGGAATTGGCCAAAATGGTCCCAACTTGTGCTTCAAATGTTCCTTGAACTTTGGAGCACTCCCGCCTGAACACTGGGCTGTGGTGAGGACTGCTTGTGCAATTAAGGTAATGCAAGGATAAAATTGGAAGCATCTTCAGGTCATCTGTAGTCATTTTTTTTTTTTTTGCAGGTGAAGTTGCAGGATCCCATCCACCCCTCACCATTGTGTCCTCACCCCTATCTGACGTTGCTGGTCACACTCTATGCCCCAGGATGAAATTCCAAGAGGATGGAGGAATTCCCCCTCATGACTTGAAGAACCTACTCATCTGGGAGTCAAAGTGTGGGAGACTCCAAAAAAAAAAAAAAGAAAAAGAAAAAGATAAAGAAAATAAATAGAAGGAAAAGAAAAGCACTGAAGCATTTTAGCCACATTCCTTTAAGCAGACTTTAATTACAGGCACACAACACACACAAATGCACAATGATACATGCACACGCAGATATCCAACACTCATAACACTCCGACAGAAACACAGAGCCCAACAGTTCCTGAGGCTGCATGATTCTGCAGGAAGCCCCACATGGGAGTGAGCAACCCCAAGGAATATAGGCTGGCTGTACCTAAAAATCACAGTGGGGCAAGTTTCAAAAAGACTCACCCCTACAACATCTAGGGAGTCCTGAGCAATCCTGCAGATCATTTTGGAGCTTTAGGATTTTCATGGTTCATTCCTGGGGCTCTACTTGATGTTTCTTCAGACTGGATCATGCCCTCTCCTAGGATCATGTGGCAATCCCTTGGATCCCACAGAAAAGACAGGTGACTGTCCATGGCTGACACACATCTATGGAGGCCTCCTTCTCTGCCAAGTGGCAGAGACTTGTCACTAGGCAACGGTGACATTCATTGTAACCTAGCCAGAGCTCATAGTCAGGTCAGGTGACCTGAGACTAGCACATGCGCATTCATGAGGCAGGCAGGGGTGTCCGGCTGTCAGAGCTGTCAGCCTGCCTAAACAGAGGAACATGAAACAGGCAGAGCCTGCCTGATATCAAGAAAAGGGTTGCCTGCAAAAACCCACTGTGAGACCCTAAATGTATCGACCTTAGGGCCCCTTTGGGCGATCTCCATTTTCAGGTCCCACTGGAGGAAGAGGCATTTTGAGATTCTGGGGTGGTCGTAGGAAGCTACTCTTCTGACTCTATTCCTGAAAGAGACCACGTGCAAGAATCAGGTCCCATGGGGATTGGAATATAGTCTGGTGTGTTGTTGAGGGTTCATTGGGTAATAGAATTTTACCTGAGTCCTCAGATGCAGGTGTCAGCAAAAGATGGTCAGGCTCTTGATCTCACTGCCTCCCTTCATTCTGGGCCTTGCAGGGGCTCTCTGGAAAAAAACAAGAATCCTGACAAAGGCAAGTCCAACATGGAGCAGTGTTCTCACACCTCAGACTGGCCTCTCACGGATGAAGATGAAGTAGAGACAGTGTCTGAAAGGCTGTTTGTGGCTATGGTAAGCCTGAAAAGGGTGTCTAGTAGTGCTGTTCAGTGGCACTGAGGAGTCCCCATAAAAGCAAATAAAAATCAAAGTTTGCCTGAGAGAATGAGCCGCCTTGTGCTGGAGTCCAAGCAATGTTCCATGATTCCTGTCAAAAAACTGAAAAGCCTCCTGCAACAATGCAAACAACCTCAGCCCCTCCAAGGAGAAAATGACCACAATCTGGAGCACAGCCAGCCTACTTGAAGTACCTTTTGTTCAGTGAAATTTCTGGCAGCTAAATAATCTGTAGGGAGAGGCAGTCCCATCAGCAATAGCCCAATAAAAGAGCCCCTCCATAATGAGAAGGCCGTGTAGATGAAATGAAACAGAGGCTAGATTACAAGCCAAAAGCCAGACATGGCTGTGTGCTTCTCATCCTACAGGAATCATGCCACCCTCCAATGGAAGTGGGAGAACAAGAGTTTCCTTTTGGAGGCTGTAACAGGAATTTATGGCTTTAAAAGCATCAAAGCTGCCCAGTCATTTAAAACTTGACAGTGTTTAGAAGGAAACACTCACATAATGGATTCCCATGAGGGTCGTTCTCCGTGAACTGGGAAACATTTAGTGTGGAAGTTGTTGAGCCAGACGTGGGAAACACTAGGCCGATCACGAACATGGAAGTCAGGAAAAGAAGAGGTAACTGTGGAGACCACATCTCACCCAGCATCAATCCATTCCACTCACCTTTGGCTCCGGGCATAAAAGTCCTCAAATCAGGAGTTTGCGAGGATGGCCCCAATTTGCACTCCAAATATTCCTTGCACATTTGAGTACTCCCACCTAAACACTGGGCCATGGTGTGGACTGCTTGTGCAATTAAGGAAATGCAGGGATGGGGTTGGAAGCATCTTCTGTAATCTGTCTTCTTTTTTTTTTTTTTTTTGCAGGTGAGGTTATAGGAACCCATCCAATTCTCACTACATTGTATCTTCACCCCTATCTGACCTTACTGCTGCTCACACTCTATGTCCCAGGATGAAATCCCAAGACAATGCAGGTGTGATCCCTCATGAAGTGAAGCACCAGCTCAGCTGGGAACGGAAGTCGAGGTAAATTCAAGGGGCCCTGTGGACAGGACTGCTAGTGTCTCTCTGGTTTGGCTGCAGGACAATGAAACACCAGGGATGTTTGTTTTTTGGTGTGGTGTGCTTTTCTTCTTTCTAGAAGAGTGACTTTTTTTTTTTTTAACCAAGAGGTGATTTGGACACTTGTGGGTTTCAGCACACCTCCTAATTCACTGTGGATTCATGATACACAGAAAAATATAGAACACATAGACCCACAACAGAAGCAG
Organism: Homo sapiens; assembly: GCF_000001405.40. Classification (NCBI taxonomy): domain Eukaryota; kingdom Metazoa; phylum Chordata; class Mammalia; order Primates; family Hominidae; genus Homo; species Homo sapiens. The sequence goes on along the minus strand of NC_000024.10, from coordinate 8,530,388 downwards.
AGGAACACACACAGGCTCCCCACACAAGGTTGGAAGACAAAAAATAAGTGCTGAAGTGCGTTAGCCACATTCCTTTAGGCGGACTCCACTTACAGGTACACACACACACACACACACACACACAAAATACCACACACAGGGAGATATCCAACACTTGCAAGAATCCCATAGAAACACACAGCCCATCAGCACCTGAGTCCACGTGTTTCTGCAGGAAGCCCCATTTCATAGAAAGCAACCCCAGGGAACACAGGCAGGCTGTACCTAGAAATCACAGTGGGGCAATTTCCAAAAGACTCACCCCTAAAATATCTAGGCAGGCCTGAATAATCCAGCAGACTTTTTTGGAACCTTAAGAATATCATGGTTTATTCCTGAGGTTCTGATGTTTTCTGAGGCTGACTCATGTTTGCCCTGTCCTAGAATCATGGGACTAACCCATGGATCCCACAGAGAAAACAGGTGAGAGTCCACAGCTGATGAACCTCCATGGAGGTTTCCTACTCTGCCAAGCTTCAGGGACTTGTCGCTAGCCAATGGTGACATTCACTGTGACACTAGCCAGCACTCACAATCAGGCCAGGTGCCCTGAGACTAGCACATGTGCATTTGTGAGGCAGGCTCAGCCACTCTGCTGTAAGAAAGTCAGCCTGCCTAAGCAGAGAAAAACAGTACAGGTAGAGCCGGCCTGGTATTGGGAAAAAGGCTGCCTGTGAAACCCACAGTGGGACCCTAAAAGTCACAGCCTCAGAGCCATTTCAGGCCACCTGCGTGTTCGAGTCTTGCAGGAGGAGGAGGCATTTAGAGACTCTGAGGTGATCACTAGAAACTGCTCTTCTGACTCCATTATGAGAGAGGCTATGAGGCAGAATCTGGTCTCATGACAATTTGTATATAGTCTGGTGTGTGGTTGAGGGCGCTTTGGGTAATAGAATCATACTGAGACCCCAGAGGTGGGTGTCAGTGAAAGATGACTGGGCTTTGGACCTCACTGCCTCCCTTCATCCTGGGCCTTGCAGGGGCTTTTTGGGAAAGGCAGGAACCACTACAAAGGCATGTCCAAGGTGGAGTGTGTTCTTACACCTCAGACTGGCCCTTCCTGGGTGCAGATGAGGTTGAGACAATGTCTCAATGACCATCTGTGGCTATGGCAAGCCTAAAAGGGATGTCCATTAGTGCTGATGTAGGGCACTGTGGATTCCCCATGAAAGCAAAGAAAAATCAAGGCTCGCCTGAGAGAATGAGCTGCCTTGTGCTGGAGTCCATGCAATGCTCAATGATTCCTGTCAGAGGACCCAAAAGTCTCCTGCAAAGTGCAAAGAACCTAAGCCCCCAAAATGAGACCATGACCCACAACCTGGAAGGTAGCCAGCCTACCTGAAGTTCCTTTTGCTCTCTGAAATCCCTGGCAGCTAAACAATCTGTGGCAAGAGACAGTTCCATCAAGCAACAGCCCAACAAAAGAGCCCCTCCACAATGAGAGGTCCATGTAGTTGAAATAAAACTGAGGCTAGATTTCCAGGAAAAAGCTAGACATGCCTGCCTGCTTCTCATCCTACCAGAATCATGCAGCCCGCCAATATAAGTGGGAGAACAAGAGTTTCCTTGCTGGCACTGTAACAGGAATTTATGATTTTAAAACTATTGAAAATGTCCAGTTTTTAAAACATGACAGTGTTTAGAAGGAAACACTCATGCAATGGATTTTCATGAGGGTCATTGTCGGTGAACTGAGAAATGTGTAGTGTGGAAGACAGTGAGCCGGACCCAGGATACACGAGGCAGACGAGGAATATGGAAGTCAGGATAAGAAGATGCAAGTCCGGAGGCCACATCCCACCCAGCATCAATCCATACCACTCCCATTTGGCTCTGGGTATAAAAGCCCTCAAATTGGGAGTTTGCCGAGATGGCCCCAATTTGCACTCCAAATGTTTTTTGTACGTTGGAGTACTCCCTCCTGAACACCGGGCCATGGTGTGGACTGCTTGTGCAACTAAAGGAATGTGGGAATTCAGCTGGAAGAAACTTCTGTGTCAGCATGCTTCACCTTTTTTTTGCAGGTGAAGGTGCAGGACCCCATCCAATCCTAACCAGACTGCATCCTCATGCCTCTCTGACCTTATTCATTTTTTCTTTCTTTCATAGTCGGTCCACAGTGACTTTCAACAACACTCAAATTGTTGAGGAGTGCTGCCTCATGACAGGAAGCACCTACTCAGCAGCTAACTAAATTTGAGGTAATTTCAAAAGGCCCTGCATGTAGGACTGCTAGTGTCTCTCTTGGGCTTGGCCACAGGACAGTGAAACACTGGGAGATGTCCATTCTTGGGTAATGTGTGATCCTCTTCTTTGAAGAAGAGTGGCTTTTATTTCAGGGGTAGGTGATTTGCACCTGGACAGGTCACAGCCAGCCTCTCAAATCACTGCAGATTCTTTATCCATAGGAAAATAAAGAACACAGAGTCTCACAGCCCAGGCAGAGCCACACAGGCCACCAAATGCTTGGGGGACTCAACCTAAATAAGGTCTTCAGTGCATTAGCCACATTTATGTAAGCAGACTCCACTTACAGGAACACACGCACACACGCACACACACACCACACAAGCACACAAAACCACACAAAAAGGCAGACATCCAACACTAGCAACACTCCCACAAAAACACACAGCCCAGCAGCTTCTGAGGCTGCATGGTTCAGCAGAAATCCCCACTATGGAGAGAGCAACCCCAGGAACACAGGCGGGTTGTACCTAGAAATCACAGTGGGGCAAGTTTCTAAAGAACTCACCACTGTAACATGTAGGCAGGCCTGAGCCATCCTTCTGATTCTTTTGGATCCTTAGGAATTTCACTGTTTATTGCTAGGACATTGCTTGATGATTCTTCAGGCTGGCACATGTCTGCCCTCTCCTAGGATCATGGGACTATCCCATGCATCCCACAAAGAAAAGAGGTGACAATCCACCCCCGACACACCTCCACGGAGCTATCCTTCTGCACCAAACTGCAATGACTTTTCACTAGGCAATGGTGTCATTTATTATGACGCCACACAGAGCTCACATCTCAGACCTGGTGTCAGGAGAATAGTGCGCAGGCATTTGAGAGGCAGGGGTGGATGCCCAACTCTCAGATACGTGAGCCTTCCTAAGCAGAGGAAAATGGTACAGGCGGAGCCGGCCTGGTATCGGGAGAAAGGCTGCCTGCAATAACACTCTGTGGGACCCTGTAAGTCTCAACCTTACGGATCTGTTGGGCCGTTTTAGTACTGCTGGAGAAGCAGTTTTGAGACAGTAAGAGGGTCCCTGGAAACTGCTCTTCTGACGCCATTCCTGAAAGAGGCTGTGTGCAAGAATCAGGTCCTTTGGGTTTGGAATATAGTCCAGTGAGTTTTTGAGGGATTTTTGATGGGTAGAATCATACCTGAGACCCCAGAGGTGGGTGTCAGTGAAAGAAGGCTGTGTCCTTTACCTCACTTCCTCCCTTGAACCTGGACCCCACAAGAACTGTCTGGGAAAGGCAGAGACCATGAAGAAGGCAAATCCAAGGTGGAGCTGTGCTCTCACACCTCAAACTGGGGGCTCACAGATGCAGATTTGGTTAAGACACTGTGTCAGAGGCCATCTGTTGTGATTGCAAGCCTGAAAATTATGTCCAGTAGTGTTGTTGAAAGTCACTGTGGACCCACTATGAAAGAAAGAAAAATCAAATCTCACCTGAGAGAATGAGCTGACTTGTGCTGAAGTCCAAATGACATTCAAACATTCTAGTCAGATGATCCAAAAGCCTCCTGCAAAGTGTAAATAACCTCAGCCCCAACAAAGAGACCATGACCAACACCCTGAAGTGCAGCCAGCCTACCCGACTTCTCTTTGCCCCCTGAAATCCCTGGCAGCCAAGAGATCTTTGGTGAAAGGCAGTCACATCCAGAAACAGCTCAATGAAATACTCCCTCCACAAAGAGAAAGGATGTGCAGATGCAATGAAATGCAGCCTAGATTACCAGGAAAAAATCCAGACATGCCTACCTGCTTCTCACCCTACAGGAATCATGCAGACATCTGATGGAACTGGGAGAACAAGGGTTTTCTTTCTCATGTCTGTAACAGAAATTTACAATAACAGAAATACACATTAAAATGTTAAAGGTGTCAAGAAGCCCAGTCATTAAAAGATGACAGTGTTTAGAAGGACACACTCAAGCAATGGATTCCCATGATGGTCATCTTCCGTGAACTGGGAAACAGTTAGTGTGTAAGACATTTAGCCAGATCCAGGAAATCCTAGGCAGACAAGGAGCATGGAAGTCAGGAAAAGAATAGCCAATCATGGAGAACACATTCTATTCAGCATTAATCCATGCCATTCCCATTTGGCTATGGGAATGAAAGCCCTCAAATTGGGAATTTGCCAGGATGGCCCGTTTGCATTCCAAATGTTCCATGCACATTGGAGTACTCCCAGATGAATACACAGCCATGGTGTAGACCGCTGGTGCAATTAAGAGGATGCAGGGATGCAGTTGGAAGCACCTTCTGTGTCATTTGTCTTCACCTTTTTTGCAAATGAAGGTGCAGGACCCCATCCACCCCTCACCAGATTGTATCCTCACCCCATCTGACCTTATTGCTGCTCACACTCTCTGACCCACAATGAAATCTCAATACAGTGGAGGAGTGTTCTCTGATGACTTTAAGCACTGGCTCAGCTGGGAACCAAATTTGAGGTAAATTCAAGGGGTCCTGCGGACAAGACTGCTGGTGTCTCTCCCTGGGTTGGCTGCGGGACAATGAAACACAAGGAGATGTTAGTTCTTGGGTATGATGTCCTCCTCTTCTTTCTAGAAGAATAGCTGTTTGTTTGTTTGTTTGTTTGTTTGTTTGTTTGTTTTTTACGGGAAGGTGATTTTGACCCTGGCGGGTCTCAGCCAGACTCGCAACTCATTATGAATTCAAGATCCACAGAAAAATAAAGAACATGGAATTCTGCAGCCCAAGCAGAGCTACCCACAGGCCACCAGAATGTTGGGTTACTTCAAAAAAAGAAGCACTGCAATGGGATAGCCACATTACTTTAATCAGACTCCACTTACAGGCACACACTCCCACACACACACCCACAAATACATTAAGCCACACACGCAAAGCAGACATCAAACACTCACAACACTCATACAGAAACACACAGCCCTGCAGCTTATGAGGTTCTTCCTTCAGCTGTGTTTCTGCAGGAAGACCCAACTGGGAGAGAGCAATGCCAGGTAACACGGGCGGGCTGTATCTAGTAATCGCCATTGGACAAGTTTAAAAAAAAGTCAACTGTACAACATCTAAGCAGACCTGAGGAATCCTGCAGATTCTTTTGGATCCTTAAGGATTTTGTGGTTCATTCCTGGGACTCTGCTTGATGTTTCTTCAGACTGTCTCATGTCTACCCTCTCCTAGAATCATGGGACTGCCCTTGGATCCCACAGAGAAGACAGGTGAGAGTCCACCATTGATGCATCTCCATGGAGGTCTAATTCTCCTCCAAGCCACCGTGACTTGTCTCTGGGCAACAATGGCATTCAATGTGACACCAGTCATAGCTCACTGTTTAGGCCTGGTGCTTTGAAAATAGCGCATGCACATTTGTGAGGCAGACTCTGGCACTTGGCTGTCTGAGCTGTCAGCCTGCCAAAGCAGAGGAAAATGGTACAGTCAAAGCCGGCCTGGTATTGGGAAAAAGGCTGCCTGTGATAACCTACTGCAGGACCCTAAAAGTCTTGACCTTATTGCTACTTCCAGTCATCTTGGTAGTGGGGTCCTGGTGGAGAAGGAGGTATCTGAGACTGTAACATGGTCTCTGGAAACTGCTCTTCTGACTTCTTTCCCAAAAGAGGCTGGGTGCAAGAATCGGGTCCCATGGGGACTTCATTGTGAAACACAATGTTTCATATTACTTCCTTATTATCCACCATTTATTTTCTTCTCACTTTAGTTATAGTTTGTAACTTATTTTGTCAAATATATGCAATGAGATAACACTGCAGTATTGCAGAAAGCACACTGCATTGGAAACAGACTCATTGAAATGGGAAAACATCCCTTATCCTCCACCTCTGGGTGAGCAATGAGGACAGGTTGTAGGGGTTTGACCCCAGGCAGCATCTAAGGGTGAATGTTTATAGTTCCTGAATACCCAGTGGGCATATGTTACACAGTGATAATTTAGTTTCTCCATCTGTAGGTGGCTTGTGTTAGCTCTATTAGACACCCTGCCTTACTGCAAAGACAGTGGGCTTTCTGGATCCTGGGGTTTCCTGCTTTGGTGTACCTGAAGAATTGGCTCACATGTGGGCTTGGAGAATAAGTGCAAGGTTTCACTGAGTGGAAGTTCTCAGCAGGTGAATGGGGAGCCAGAAGGAAGATGGAGTGGGAAGGTCGTTTTCCCTTAGAATGGGGCAGCTCAGCGCTCCCCCTCAACAGCCCCGTGGAACTCCCTGTTCTTCTTTGGTGGATGGTCTGCTGCCAGTCCTTGTGTTCTCCTTTCTCTGGTATCCTTTCAAGGTCCAGTTGCTGTGCCTTCCTCTGCTGATGGTTCCTCTCGACGCCTAGCTGCTGTGTTTCTGCCAGCTAGGGTCTCGGGGTTTCTTATAGCACAGGATGGGGGTATGGCAGGCCAGGGTGGTCTTAGAAAATGCAACACTTTGGCAAAAAAAAACAGAAGCACAAGTCCTCAAGAATTTGGGCAAGAAAACAGTAGTGCATGTACTCATCTAGTTCAGTGAGCACAGGCCTGAGGGTGGACCCATAGCCAAGAACCACACCATTCTCTAACAGCCATTTCCCTGCCCTCCTTCCATATCAATTTTTTTTTTAATTTAAAACTCCAAAAATAGTACCCAAATCCTTTAGAGAAGACAACTGGATAAAATGGCATTAGAAGAGCCAATTTAGGATTAGGGTCACTACATGGAAAATGGAAGCACATGGAGCATGTCCTGCAGGCCATAGAATCACTGCAGAAACATATCCCCTACTGAGAAGGAAAGGGAAACAAACTGGCTTCTCTCATCTTCTTGTTATCTAATCTCTGCATTGTCACCCCTTGGCTGAACTGAAACAGGAAGTAATTTTTACGGGAGCCTAGGAACCATGCCTCCGAGGGGCCAGGCCTCTCTTTTACAGAACAGTGATAGGGAGAGGTAAAAGATGTAGCTGTGGGCATACAAACCCAGGACCTCACATAAAGGAGTAACAGAGACAAACATAGTATCAAGGGATAAAGAGAAAGTAGTCTCAGGAACAATTTATGCATGATATTTGTGAAAAAACCAAAAAGTAAAACAGAGCTTATGAGGTAGTAAACAACAAGAATGTAAAGAAGAGCAGACAAAATTGTGAAGTACAGTGTACTTACCTTTCCTTTATAGGATTTTGAAAATCCCCTCATGAATCCTTTTCCCAATATTTTCCATTCATGGATTCTTTCAAGAAATATTTATGGAGCTAGTATGATGTAAGAATTGGGCAGATGGCATCATATGCACTGTTAGTACTTTTATCATTGATAGAAAGAATGTTTCTTTTTTTATACAATGTTATTCTCCCATTCTTCTTGCAAATTGGTATACTTACAGATGCAGTCAATTGTTCCTGCCCTAAGAAGGTTGCCCACATCCCTGCAAACCCAGTTAAGAACTTCCTTCCTCTCCAACTAAGTTACGAAATTGTATATATTGTAACACTTGTCAGAGTACATTGCAATTATTACTTTCCTCTTCATTCTCCAATTAAACTATGAATATTTTGAAGGAAAAGTCTATAAGCACAATGGCTTGACATTTATCAATACTTATTTTACAAAATGTTGTTAGATATTTATATATAATATTCTAACATATTTATCATAATTTTTGGAAAACAATATAAACAATGTTCAATGCCCATTCCCCATGAACTGATCAGCTTTAAACTGTGTATTCTTTTGGAGCAATTATATGAACTTCCAAAAAACATCTGAAAGTGTTTTTATTTTAATTTATTTTGTTTTATTGTATTGAAATATTTTGTAGAGACAAAGTCTTGCCCCATGGCTCAGGCTGAAGTGCAGTGTGCGATCACAGTTCACTACAACCTTCCACTCCTAAATAAATAGAACAACAGATGTGTGCCATCATGTCCAATGTATTTAATTAATCAGTTAGTTACATTTGTAGAGATAGGTCTTGCTATGTTGCCTGTGCTGGTCTCAAACTTTGGGCTTGAAACAATCCTCCCTTCTCAGCCTCCCAAAGATCTGCAATTTCAGGCATGAACCACCAGAACTCCAAGAGGAAATTTTAAATTTGAGAATATTGCAATATATTAGACTTAGTTTCTTCTTTCAATTTTGCATGTGCAGTGGCACTTGAGAATAATTATTTCTTATGGTGAGAGTGTGATTTCCCATATTTGATCACCAAATTTTGAAATCTTTATTCTGTTTACTTAAACTCTAATAACTGGTAGTCAACTCAGCTGAAAGTCGAGTACATGGGTGTTTTTGTCTTGAGGTTATGAAGACAAATGTAGAGAGATATTAAGAACCAAAGACATTCAGCACTTTGGGAGGCCGAGGCGGGCGGATCACGAGGTCAGGAGATCGAGACCATCCTGGCTAACACGGTGAAACCCCGTCTCTACTAAAAATACAAAAAATTAGCCGGGCGAGGTGGCGGGCGCCTGTAGTCCCAGCTACTCGGGAGGCTGAGGCAGGAGAATGGCGTGAACCCCAGGGGGCGGAGGCTGCAGTGAGCCGAGATTGCGCCACTGCACTCCAGCGTGGGCGACAGCGAGACTCCGTCTCAAAAAAAAAAAAAAAAAAAAAAAAAGAACCAAAGACATTTATTTTTATATATGTTACAGGTTTATCTTGCAGGTAAGGCATCATACATGGCACAGATAGTTTTATAAAATACCCTGAAATACATATTTCAGTAGCCAGTTGCAATTTCCCAACTTTGTTTTCATCAGAAGTTAATGATGTATGGCACTTCTAGTAAGTAAATGAATGTTTGAATTGCTGTGAGTTATTTTAGTTATTGCTCAGCTAACCATTTAAGTTATCAAAACTTGTGCAATATCATAAATGCTGAACATTAAAAATTAATCAATAGGATTTATTTAACTAAAAGTTGCCATCTAATGTTATATTTTTCAGTAAGATGATAGCAGTAATTATGCCGAAACATAGTCATTCCTGTAATTTGAACCATTATAGCAATTTCCACCTGAGGATTTCAGAGTCAAGATCTGGACAGCAGTGATTAACATAATGGCTATTAATTAGAAGAGATTTTGATACATCTAGCTGTGTTTAGAGGTCCTTGCTTTGAAGGGAGTGGTTTGGCATATTAATAAGAAGGGGCGCATTGGACTGGATACTAAGAAACATATTTAATTGTTTTTCTTGTCCTCTATAACATGAAAGGTGAATTTGAGATACAGAAAAAATGGAACATTTCACAGCATGGCCTGACATTTCATTGCACTTTTATTTTTTTAACCATGCACAAAGTTCATTAAATATGCAAATATAGGACTCTTATAGGATGAAAGTGGTGGAGTCAGAGGTCACAATCCACAGCAAGGGGATAGTTTCTTGTGGATGGCACCCTGAGCACTGAAATAGAGTGAGAATCAACTTTCAGCTGCCAACAGGAGACAAAGAGAATGAAGCTATCAGCAGTTCACATTATTGGATTAACTGAAAGAAATATTGATAGAGATTTTGTTGGCTTTACATCAAATTGAGTATAGCACTTCAAATTGAGGACTTGATAAGTCCTTACCAAATTTCCCACATGTAAAAGGGAGGATTAATTAAAAGATTACACAACACACACATTATGGGTATCACATACACATTTATATACCCATGCACAAACTTGCAGTGTGAAAATATTTGTCTATATCTAAATATAGCCAAATGCATTGATGAACAGTTAGAAATTTGGAAATTATTCTCCCATTTTACCATTCCTTTCTCGAGAATTTTTTCACAAATATAATTTTCCCATCTGTTTGAAGCCTACTCTCCGAAGACATGTAATGTATGGATACAGGAAAGCTGTGAGTATCACAGTGTTTATATCAGAGAAAACACTAATACTGATGTTATAAAAGATCCACTGTGAGGAGAAAGTTATACTTCACATTACTACAAATACAGAAGTATTATTTCATTGAAAGCTGATATCAGTCGGTACCATTTGTTTTTAAAGTTTTATTTAAAATACTTAATCTCAAAAGGATTGCTTGAGTAGAATCATGTTATTGGTAATAAATAATTATTAAGAACTTCCTTTAATTTGTTGATGATTTAAAATGTAAGTAAAATACTAAAAAGTACTATATAATGTAGTTTCATGAAGCATTCTCTATGGTTTTTGTAAAATTAATAGCCTCAATGAAATTTTTTGATACAGATAAATTTCCTTATATCATTTTATTATTGTTCTTTCACTTTATTACTTGCTTGCATGTCATAACTGAGAGAAATAAAAATATTTTTATTTACACATATACAAAACATTGATTTTTGTTTGTTTTCTAGTGAGAGAAAGTCTCCAATAATTTTATCATATAGGAAAATTTTGACAAGCCCAAAGTTCTTAACTTCCTTTTCAAGATTCATATTTCAGTCTAGGTATGAGATGAAATTGACTATGAATTTTTTTATTTCACTATTACTACTGAGTTTCTGATATAGTGTTACAAATGTATAGATATGAAACTTCTCTTCTTCCTCTTCCTTTTCCAGTTCTTCTCCTTCTCCTTCTCCTTCTCCTTCTCCTTCTCCTTCTCCTTCTCCTTCTCCTTCTCCTTCTTCTTCTCCTCCTCCTACTCCTCCTCCTCCTCCCGCTGCTGCCTTTGGACCTGTACATGTCATTTATGCAGTAAAGGGCACGGTTATCTGAAATAAGGTTGCTGAAAGATACAAGCATACATGGAATTCTTTATTTCTGTGAACCACTTGGAACAGACAAATAAGACTGAAAGATAATTATGATGTGAATTTAAGTCTTCAGCTTATCACAGAAGTACAATAAGGGTGAAAATACATTTAAAAATACATACATCATCCAAAACATTTGGTAGAAAAATGAAAAATTTAATTTGACATAAAGAACTGTTTAAAAGTTATGATGTTTTCTGGTGAGGGCAAGTAGTACTAAAAATCCTGTATTCCCTGTTTTAATACATGAAACTGTTACTGTATCTACAGGCTTTTAAAATAGTTAACTCTAACTTAAGCAACAAGTTTATGGTCATTCAAACAGCGGGTGCATCATTTTAGAATTTCTCTGAGGATCTTTTAGGAGAAATATAATCTAATCTCACTTTATAAGCAATTGAATTAGTCAATGAAATTATGACTGTTGTCTCACAATTTCATTGTCCTTCTCTTTTCTGTTTATATATATTCTCTTTAAAATTCAAAAGCCCCTAGAAATCATATGATAAATAATAATGACTGAAACATTTGAAAAATAAAAACTGAGCAGCAGACACATTTCAAGATTTCCTTTATGAGAATGCTATGCTAACCATGTGATATACACAGTATAAATCCACCATGAGACAATAACAGTTGTGTAGCACTTGACAGTTAATACAGTAACAGTAAATATTCTCATTTGATCTTCAAAAGGATCTGTGAACTGGTGTTTCATAAATGAGGAAAATATGATTGAGTAATACAAATCAGAGTTGTTACATCTACTTAGGAGCATGTCAGCCAATGAAGCAGAGGCATGAGTTTTCTTCTGGAGGGATGAAGAAGGAAATGCTTATTAAAATCATGTCTTTTTTTTTACATTTCATTGTTTATTAATGTTTTGTCAAAATCATTGCCCATATTTCCAGTTATATTTCCTGTATTTGCCTATTACAACAGTTCTCACACTTATTATTCCTCATTTATCTATGTGCCTGTAACAACTGCACACTCAGAAAAGCAAAGACCATGTTTTTCTAAGCTTCTTGCAGACCACCAGGCTTATGGTGGCATTTAGAAACTATCTGCTACATATCTGTGATGTTTTCATGTAAGTTACACTCTAGGCCACTTGATACTCATTTTTTATTTAGTATTTGGGTTTGGAGAGCTATTTTTCTTTTTAATTTTTTTATTGTACTTTAAGCACTAGCATACAGGTGCAGAATGTGCAGGTTTGTTACATAGGGATACATGTGCCATGTTGGTTTGCTGCACCCATCAACTCACCATTCACATTAGGTATTTCCCCTAATGCTATCCCTCCCCAGCCCCCCAACCCCCTACCAGTGTGATGTTCCTCACCCTGTGTCCATGTGTCCTCATTGTTCAACTCCCACTTAAGAGTGACAACATGCAGTGTTTGGTTTTCTGTCCTTGTGATAGTTTGCTTAGTATGATGGTTTCCAGCTCCATACATGACCCTGTAATCACAATGAGAGACCATCTCATGCCAGTTAGAATGGCGATCATTAAAAAGTCAGGAAACAGCAGATGTTGGAGAGAATATGGAGAAATAGGAACACTTTTAAGGTTTTTTTTTTCTGAAGGATATTTTAAGGATGTATTATCCAGATGGGGAATGGACAGTGCAGGCTGTGGTCAGTGGGACCTCCAAAGGAGGCACCCCATTCAAATTGGAGGCTCTGCAGGAGAGGGCAGCCAGGGTATTAAGCACAGAGTCACCCTTTGGAGAGGAGAAGGTGCTGGTGGTGGACGACATCATGGCGATGGTCCAGATGGTGGTTGAGGAGAAGGCCGACATAGAGCAGCAGGAGGAGGACCAGAAGGCACAGCCTGGCCCTGGCCCTAGCATGTCCCAGCCAGCAACAGATATGCTTGAGGTCCTTCACTTGGAGCTGCACTCCATGAATACCCCAGGTCATATGGACTGCCCAGGGCTGAGGCAGAAGTTTTGGCAGAGGCATCTGCCTAGGCTGGATGGCACATGGGCCATCAGCCAGGGCATCTCCAGCTTCTGGGCCACAGCCATATCCTTGAGCTGCCCATTCGGGATGTCTGAGAGCAGGGGCTGGGCGTCAGGCTACCAGGGCAAGGGAGCCAGTCCAGAGGCACATGGGGTCAGCCAGGAGGCAGGGCACAGGGGACAACAAGGGGATCTGAGGGCAGACTCCCGCAGATAGGAGGGCAGCTTGTTTGCGGGTGCCCTGAGAGCATGTGGTAGGGACTGCGGGCCAAGCTCAGCATGCACAAGGGAGAATAGCGGTGCCAAGGACCCTTCTTGCACAGCAGAGAGTTGAAGGGTATGTTTCCCTGGGAAAGTCCTTGGAGGAAGGGGAGTCTGCATGCTCATACCAGCCACGGAACCACAACCACTACCCATGTCTGTGTCCAGCAAATTCACTCTAGAAACACAAGGTGCTGAAGACTCGGGTTCACAGTGCATGGGGCTGCTGTCCTCTGCAAGGCAAGCACCAGCTCCCCAAACAGGTTTTCTTCCCTCTGCCTGCCCTGCACCCAAAGAGCTGTAGGCCCTGAGCATATAAAATCTCTGTTGTACACATGTGAGCCCAATGGGGAGTGCCAGGCACAGCCCTGCAGTCCCTTCTACACACAGCAGTTCCCTCAAGTGCACATAACCAACCCACAGAGAGACCAGGACAAGAGGGCACCACACACCTGGACACCCTCAGCAGAGCCTGTCCAGCACCCAGCACACAATGGCCACGTGCAGCTCAGGAACTCTGAGGAAACAGCTGCCTCACACTACAGCACCCCACACCCAATCTCCCTGCTTGTCCCTCCTGCTCATTGTCAGCGGATGCTTTCCGGGACTCCCTCCACCGACCCACAAGACCACCACATCTGCTACCATGCCCCCAGTGCTGGACAGAGACAGGACCACCAATGCAGGGTGCCAGGCCAAAGGTCTGGGGAATAGCCCTACCCAACACTCTCCCAGGTCTTGTAAATTTGCAGGGTGTTTCCTGGCATGCCCATCCAATCATCTGGAGGCTCCTTGACCACAGGCAGATGGTGCACACACCCAGATGTCGGCAGGGTTCAGAAAACATGAGGAAGTCCTGCTAAGTAAGCTCCATGATCGATTTGCAGATCAGGCTTGGGTGGCTGAGTCTGGGGGAGGGGTCATGGGTCCTGGTCAGTTTGAGGACCTCCTGGGGACTGGGGGTGTCTCAGCAGGAGAGTTGGGAAGGGTAAATGCATGCTTCACCCCAGCCCACAGGCCCTCAGCCCAGCTAGATGAAATGGTCCCTTTGAGTCTGTCCTCTTCTTGGCCTGGCAGGTGGAGGAACTCAGCCATCCCAGGTACCAGTGGCAGGATGAAGTTTTCCTTTTATCACACGCATATTTCCACAATGAAGTGATCATTAAGGAGTATCAGGTTGGTATCCTCTGTAAGGAGTGCCTCCCAGCATGGTAGAGGGGGTGGAGTGTGGAAGGCTAGGCCTGACATTAGCCTTCCCGACTCCTCTTGCTCCAGGATGCAAGGTGTCTGGCTCTACCATAGCCCAGTTTTTCTAGAGTCATGCAGGAGAAGCCTCCAGCTTAAGGCAGGACAGCCTAACTGAGATTCTTCAGCTGGTTGGCTGACTGTCACCACTCAGGGTCAGCCAGGATTGCTGAGGTGGGCACCGCTGAGGTGTGTCATGGGAAAGGACCTTGCTAGTCTTTCCTTGGCGTCTGGGGAATTGGCTTTGAACCATGACATGACCAGTCATGGACCCCTTTCCACAGTCACCCAGTCCATCAGTCAGGGCCTCTGTCTCAATCCCCTGAAGTACTACCAGAAGGAGTTAAGCCCTAGGACAGGGAACAGAGAGAAGAGGTAAGAAGCCCAAGGCTGGAGGCTCAGGGTCCTGTGTGTCCTAGAGCTGGGACACACGTGGAAAACTCAAAGCTCAGGGAGGAGCCTGCAGTGAGAAATCCCAGGCCATCCCTGGGCTGGGGGAGAAAGGGTCTTTAGGGAACTCTAACACTCATATTTCAGAACTGGGGAAGCTGAAGTCACCTAAGAGGCAGAAGTGGCTAAGGTCAATGAGTGAGAAGCAAGGATTAATGAATAGCTGCCACATCATGCATCTCTGGCTCTCTTTCACACCTTGAGGCCTGCTACCACCTGGGGTTCAGTTTGGGCTCAACTAGGGCCCTCTTACCTTCCACACAGAGGTGCACATGAGGTGCACCTAGGTCTATGTCCTTCTAGAATGGCCAGCCCTATCATGATCTGTTTCAACGACCTCAGGCTCCCCTGACATGCTTTCTCCCCTCTGCCATCCTCACTCATGTTGCCCCTGCCCCTGAGACATTTCCTATGACATTAAAAGACATAAAATTTTTAAAATACCTTAACATTATAGATTCCAATAAAGTATTTTATTATAAAAATTACTCTTCCTCCTTACTTTTGTCAAAGTCTTTTTCATGATGGGGGAAAGAATGCAACATACTTTGGTAAGTTATGAAAGTATAAAAGTAAAAATAAATCCCACTGTAGCTGGTCAGTTAAATGGTAGGGGACCTTCTGTGTATGTCCAGCAGGGAATGTGGCTGAGCATGAAGGCCCATCTGAGTATTGGTGTAGACACCCAGTTTCCCTCGTACCAGTATGAGTGTGGGCATGTTCCAGCCTGCGTGTCTGAGCTGATGCATGCGTGTGCACACCTGTGCCTATGTACCTTTGTGTACCTTGGTTTAGGGTCTGCTGGGTTTGACAATCCAACTTCAGGACCCATGAAGCCTGTGCACTTGGGAGATGTAAAGTGTCCTTATGATTCTCACAAATGGAGAGGGAGGAGGAAAAGGGTGGCTAGTGTGAGCAACCTAGAGGATATGCCATGGAGCCAAAATGACAACCGGAGGGAAATAAAACCTTGAAGCTGCCTGTGTCTTCCTATCTGTTTGGTCAGGAAAGGCAGGCATTCGGGGAAGAAGCAATGGAAGCCACAGGGTTTTGGGATCGCTGTTCGGGAATCCTTGTGCATCAGACAGTGTCCAGCCCATGAGAGGGGAGGACAGCATGGGGTTCTGGCAGGGCCTGAGTCTCCAGGTAGGTTGTCATTCTCCCCAAGAGGGTCAGTAGGTGGAGGAGAAAGCTGGGCTGCAGTGTCATGTAGATGAGACACTTATTGCTTAGCCAGGTGGAAGTTCAGGAGAGGTCCTGGTGAGCAGTGGCCTAAGTGGCCGGTAACACCCCGTTTCAGTGCTACATGTGTGCATAGGAGCTTTGCCCCACACATCCTCTCCAGGATGCCTCACCTTGGTGGATAGGAAGTAAGGCACAAAAGATCCTAAGCTTACGGTCATGAGTGGTCTCAGAGCAGGGTCCCCAGGATCACTGGACCCAGGAGAGGCAGGCATGAAGGGTCTCTTCAGGACAGAGGTAAAATGCATAAGCCCAGCTGTCCACTCAGTGGGTGTCTTGCCCTGATGATGTCAGCCATGGCAAATACAGCTCTTCCTCTTAGATTGCAGATCCATAGGCTTATGACTTCCCCCCGGCCTTCTCCAGGACAGGCCCCTGGAATCTGGAAGAGCCAGTGCCCCACGACTGTTCCTTCCCAGCCGCCAAGCTCATGGGAGGCTCAGTAGGGACTCTCCTCCTAGTACATGACCACCCCCAGGCACTGTCAACAACCCAGGGCCCTTCTACATTCTGGGGTCCTGCCACCTTACCCAGGAGTGAGATAATGCAAAGGGAAACAGCTGGAACAGACAGAGCAGAGGTAACAAGCCCCATCCTGCTGCATGGCAAGGGAATGGGGTGATCCTTCCCAGTCAAGGGAGATGCTTCCCGAACACACCTGGAAGCCCAGAACAAGCTGAGGTATTCAACCCGCTGCAGTTGGGCATGGGGGATTTCAATATGTGTCAGAGACCTTGATCCTGGTCACCCTACCAGGTGTACCTCTCCTCCAAGTCACATTATGCTGACACCCTCCTTAACCCGGATGGACTCCTCATCCTCACCACACAGTGTTGGCCGGAGGTGTTACTCCTGGTGCCTCAGACACTGTTTCAAAGTGCAGAGACTGACCCACAGAACCCTGAGTCCTTGTTCTCCTGACCAAGTAATATCCATAGAAATAGTAAAAGAGTGGCACATTAGACCTCATGACATTTTTAAGGCTGACCTCTTTATAAGCATTTCATCCAGATATTTATGAGTTTATCTCATATATTTTATTTATTTATATAGCTCTTATTTCAAAATCAGTTTTTGCTTGAGAGTTATTTCAACATGGGGCCATGACATATAGGTTTTAAGCTTAAAAGTCTGTATCTGCTATCATGTTGGGTAAAACCCATCCAGAACTTATAAGAATAAGTAGTTATTAGGCATGGTCACTGTAGTGGTCTAAAACACTGAAATTCTCTTCAAACCCATTTGAAAACATTCCTGATGTGACTGAACATAGTATTTGCTTCTAATGAATAGAAAACAGTGCAAGCATTTTCTGGATACAGGGCCACCTCTGGCCTAGGTTAGAAAAGGTGACACAGCTCTGCCTAAGTCTCCTGCTGTCATGGGGAAAACCCCTCAGGAGTCCCAGAGCAGATCACAACGTCTGACACCCTCATACCACTATGCAGAAGGCACATTCCATGGAGATAATCATAGAAATAAAAGGAGATGCCTGAGGATCTCAGCAGTCCAACTCCTGCTATTTGAGTCATGCTAGCCATGACACCAGGAGATGAGAAGACACCTGACAATGTCCCTATCCTAAGCCATCACTAGATTGCATCCTCGTGAGTGCCCCTGAATGATAATCATTTGGCTGAGAGACTGTGGAAGATTGCAGAGCCTGAAGTAAGTAAATTATAATTATTGTTTTAAGCCACTAAGTTTTAGAAAATTTTGAACAGCACTTTAGACTCCTAGAAAAACTGAGTTGTCTACTGATTTGAGTAATTGCGGAGAGCTTTAAAGGTCAACGTCATGAATGCTAATACCCTGGAAAAGTCACACCATCAAGACTCTTCTAAGCACAACAGATCTTTAATGTCCCTTTGCTATGGCTGGAGAATAAACTGACCTGTATCTGATACAGTTTTTTGAAAGCATCTGTTCACATCTCTTGTCTAGGTATGGGTCAACTCTGGTCTGGCTTAATTCTAGTCAACTGCAGCAACTTATCTTTTGTTTTAGGTCCTGGCCTACACTGATCTTTTGGTCACTGACTATGTCTGTGTCTGTGTGTGTACATTTTGTGTGTCACCATATTTTATCCTAAGGAGGTAAATAATAGTGCTATAGTTGTTTTGTAAACATAAAGCATTTCAGGAAGACAATGTTGCTTATAAACTGAGCTTTACAACAGATATGAGTCAGGGCACGGAGGCTCACACTTGCACTCCCAGCTATTTGGCAGGCCAAGGTGGGCAGATCTCTTGACGTCAGGAGTTTGAGACAAGCCTGGCCAACATGGCAAGATCCCATGTCTAATATCATACCAAAGCTAGCTGGGCTTGGTGGCCCATGGTTGTAATCCAAGCTACCCACGAGGCTGATGTAGAAGAATCCACTGAACCCCAGGGATGGAGTTTGGAGTGAAGTGAGATCACACCTCTGCACTCCAGCCTGGGCACCAGAGCAAGATTCTGTCTCAGAAATAAAAATGAAATAAAACAATAAAATAGATATGGGTGAAGACTAAGGAGAGAAGTGTATAAAACTTGATGGGCATGGTGGCTCAGTCCCGGAATCCCAGCACTTTGAGAACCTGAGGTGGCTGCATCACTTGAGGACAGGAGTTCAAGACCAGCCTGAGCAAACATTGTGAAATCTGCTCTCTGCTAAACAAACACACACACACACACACACACACACACACACACACAGACACACAAGCCAGAATTGGTGTCACATGCGTGCAGTTGCAGCTACTTGGGAGGGGTGACTGGAGAATTGCTTGAACTTGGGATGGGGGGGTTGCAGTGAGTTGAGATCATGCCACTGCACTCCAGCCTAGGTGACAGAGCAGGATTCTGTCTAAAAAAAAATCAAAGAGAAAAACAGAGATACAGAAAAAAAAGAAAAAAAAAGAAAAAAGAAAAGAAAGAAAGAAATTAAGAGAAAGAAAGAAAAGAAGAAAGAGAAGGAAAGAAACAGAAAGAGAGAAAGAAAGGAATAAAAAAATAAAAGGAAGTAATGAAGGAAGGAAGGAAGGAAGAAAGAAGGAAAGAGAAAGAAAGAAAGAGCAAGAAAGAACGAAGAAAGAAAGAAAGAAAGAAAGAAAGAAAGAAAGAAAGAAAGAAAGAAAGAAAGAAAGAAGGAAAGAAAGAAAGAAACGAAGGAGGGAAGGAAGGAAGGAAGGAAAGGAAGGGAGGGAGGGAAGAAGGGAAGGAGGGAAAGCGGGAGGGAAGGAGAGGATGGAAGGAGGAAGGATGGAAGGAATGAAGCAAGGAAGGAAGGGAAGAAAGGAGAGAGTGAAAGGCATAAAACCAAAAGGAAATGAATAAAAATAAAAACCTGCCATTTTGCCCATTATCTACATTAATTTTGAACTATGTTTAAAATAATATTTAGGTGTCTAGTGGAGCAACTGAAACTTTAAAGTAAGCTAGTGTATTGTCAAAATTACGTATGTAACTAAGGTATTAAGTAAGATTCTTGTAGTTTTCAACAACCAAATCTAATTGACATTTGTCATCAAATTGCATACTACTAGGGGCAGGGTAGTCTGTGTTATGCTGCCTAATCTACACTAAATTAAAAATGAAATGAAATCTGCAAAAGATTTTATAGTTATTATTACCAATAGAGACTGTTTTGTTTCCTGACTTGTGAAGGTTTTTATTTCCACAGTTTTGATAGCTCAAGCAGAGACTTCCTGACCCTTATCATCACAATATACATGTGTTCAAGCATTAAGGGGAAAAAGCATCCAATCCCACTGCTTTCCTGCATTGGTTCCCATGCACATGCGTATGTGCTGTGTTAGTGACTATCACATATTTGTACATTTGATCAAGGACATTTGTGTTTCCAAACTGTAAACAAAAATATTACTATCAGTTGTATATTTATTATTTATTGATTAAAGCAGAGTGTTGCTCTGTCACCAGGATGAATCATACATCACTGTAGTCTCAGAATTCTGGGTTCAGAGAATCCTCAAACATCAACCTCTCAAAGTACTGAAATTATAGACTAGAGCCATTGTACCCAGCCTCAAGTTTAGAGATAAAGGCTAACAAATATATTATAAACCATATAAATAAATATAATTGCAGGTTCTCTAGAGAAGTGTGAGAGACCACTGAAAAACTGCCATTGTAGACAAGGCTGCTGGTAGCAATGTAATGCAAGCAAAGGAGTGGGTCCTTCCCCACTCAGCCTTTGGATGATACCAGAGGCCAGCTTGACATTTCCACTGCAGCTCTTTGGGAGAACATGAAACACAGGTGTGTGCAGTTTTTTTTGTTTGTTTGTTTGCTTGTTTTTGTTTTTTGTTTTTTGTGTGTGTGCGTGCATGTGTGTGTGTGTGTGTGTGTGTGTGTGTGTGTAAGCATGCATGCATAACCGGTGGAAGAAACTAGGATAATCCACACCATGGAATAAGATGCAGCTCTTTGTAGATCTGGTAGAATTCATACTGAATCTATTGGTTCCTCATTTTTTGTTTGTTTGTTTGTTTTTTACCTCGTATGGTATTTATTACTAATAATTCCATTTCAGAAATTGAAATCGGACAGGCTGGAGCTGAGACTGGGTCCACTTAGATTCTGTTGTGGAACAGAGAATGGCATGCCTGTAATTTGGCTGTGATGGTTACTGGAAGTTCTCTGTACAGATGGGCTAGTTTCCTACCTGCAGCACAAGGGCCTGGGGCTGAAAATCAGCTCCCTTGACATCTGCTGTTGAATAGATAATTTAGAGCCTGCGCTCTGCTAAGAAAGTTGCATATTGCCCAGAAAGTTTCTCAAAGATTATATAGTTCCCTGATTAAAGTGGAAGGGCCAGAGCTGAGAGTGGGTCCCCCCACAGAGGACACAGGCTGGCGAGTCTAGATCCATTTTCTGCTGGACAGAACCTGGATAGACTGCATTCATTGACTCAGAGAGGCATGTTCCACAACAGGGTAGTTTCTTCCCAATAGCAGTGGGAAGGGCTGGAGCTGAGACTGAGATTCTGTTTCTCAATAAAGTCATGTGCTCTAGAGATTCTAATTCCCCACTGATTTCCACTAGACATATCACAAGAGAATTTCCTTCCAGGGGTACCAAGGCTTATTATATAAGCTACTTGCTCCCTGGGTCAAGGTAGAGCCAGAAACTTCATCTTTAACCACTAAATTGCCTCTGCTTTTCAGCCTGGGGATGGGTGGAGCACACAGGGCTAGGATGGTCAAAAGTATGGCAGCTGGGATTGGGTGGCTTCACATGCCCCTTCTGTGGATAATCACAAAGCTGCCTCTTTCACAACCTTGGAAATTTTCCAGAGAAAAGCAGGGTGGAATTTGGCAGTTGGCCAGTGATCTGAGCCTGGAATGTAAAGCCACCAGTAAAATTAATGTTATGGTCACTGTGAGCCCCATCTACGTACTGTGTTTGTAACTGGCCCCAGCTGTCCGATACCCCCAATGTTTCCCACAGGGTAAGACAAGAGAGAACATCATGTGAAGAATTGCAAAATGGAAAAGAAAGGTCTGAATTGTACACCTTCAACTCTCTTCTCTGTGAAGAAACTGTGAGTCGGGTGAAATTTTTTGTATGCAACACTCTGCTGTCTTGGGGAGGAGAAAAGACATCAAATTAAAACTGTTCTTTTATCCTATGTGTGTGGTTATTCTCAGTTCTACAGTCTTTGAAAAGGTGTCATAGATTCAATCCCAAGTCATAGAATCATTCACTATGGTGTCCTTATCTAAGGACAGCTGTGAGTTGATTTTTTTTTCCAGAAATGGTGGGAATTAGCAGAATCACAGAATGCCTATTCTGAGACATCAGTCCCTAGAAACAGGCATGTTAAAAGACTGGTCCAGGCTGAGCACAGTGGCTCATGCCTGTAACCCCAGCACTTTGGCAGGCCAAAGAGGGCATATGACGAGGTCAGGAGGTCGAGATCATCCTGGCTACCATGGTGAAATCCGCTCTCAACTAAACATACAAAACAAAAAAAATAGCTGGGACTAGTGGCACGTGCCTGTAGTCCCAGCTACTTGGAAGGTTGAAGCATCAGTATCTCTTGAAACCAGGAGGTGGAGGCCGAAGTGAGCTGAGATCACGCCACTGCACTCTGACCTGGGTGACAGAGTGAGACTCAATCTCAATAAATAAATAAATACAAACAACAGCAACAACAACAAAATACTGGTTCTAAGGGAGGAGTTTAAAAGGTTGGAGTGCTTCCATGGAGAAGCTGAAAGCTACAGCAAGACAAGGGTTGGATTTAAGGGAGAGCTCATGGGACCATTGAAAACCACCTCTTCATCCTCTATGGAACAGAGGAAATAGTGAATGCTGATCTCCACTGCTTACTGATATAGGCAAGTTATCAGCCAGAGATAAACGTCTTAGTCTGTTCATGTTCTTATAAAAGACTATGAAACTGGAAAATTTATAAAGAAAAGAGCTTTCATTGGCTCCTGGTTCTGCAGACTGTAAAAGATGTGTGGTGCCAGCATCTGCATCTGGCAACAGCCTCACAAGGCTTCCACTCAGGACAGAAGGTAAAAGGAAAACAGGTATGTCACATGTAGAGAGAGCAAGATAGAGAAGAGGAGAAGGTATGACTCTTTTCAACAACTATTTGGATGTAAGCTGCATAGTTGGAACTAATATAGAGGAAAACACACTTATTAACCATGGTGAGGGTGCCAAGCCATTTATGAGGGATCCATTACCAGGGCACAAAGAAACACCTCCCACTAGGTGCTGTTTACAGTGTGGAGGACCACATTTCAACCTGAGGCTTGGTGGGACTAATGTCCAAACTATATCAATCGTCAAGTTTAAAAATCATGCAGAATTATTGTAAAGCAATCATTTTTCCTCTTTAGAATCCTGGGACTACAGAAAGCTGGGATTCATTAGCTTCCAGAGATTGGCAAGTTAGTATTCAAACTCTCAGGCAGCAACCTGAGAAGTCAGGTCAATAGTTGGGTAGTTTGACTAATTCATAGGAAAATTTAGAAGCTCAGTATATTGCTAGAGTGAGTGATGATGAAGACTGATGAGAAATGCCTATGTGCCTGCTCTTAGAGGACCCTAACAGATCCAGAAGTCAAAATTAGAAGCAAGATAGCTGGGTAGAAGCTATAAAAGTCAAAACATGGCAGGGCACCGTGGCTCATGCCTGTAATTCCAGCACTTTGGGAGGCCGAGGTGGGTGGATAACCTGAGGTCAGGAGTTCAAGACCAGCCTGACAAAAATAGTGTAAACTTGTCTGCTAAAAAATACAGAAGTTAGCCCGGCATGTTGATGGGTGCCTATAATCCCAGCTACTCAGGAGGCTAAGGCAGGGGAATCACTTGATCCTCGGAGGCAGAGGCTGCAGTGAGCCAAGATCATGTCATTGCACTCCAGCCTGGGTACAGACCAAGACTCCATCTCAAAAGAAAAAGAAAAGTCAAGGTGCTAGATGTACAATCTAAGTTCTTCAAGGTACAAAGTGGGAGGTAAGCTTTCTTGACTGCTTGAGATCAAGTAAGCCAGGAGGAAACAGTTTTGGAAGTGCTTGAATGTCTATTTAAATCCCTCTTTTACCTTGGAGGTCCTAGGAGAGTTATTAATGCCAATCTGTGTTAGAATCCAGAGACTGGCAAGTTAGCAATCATTTCGTTGAGAAGCAGCTGTTAACAGTTGGGGCATTACATATGTGGTTTAGTACTTCAGTCCTCTCAAAGAAGCTGTGAAATAACAGTTCCCTATTGACTCTAGGGCACTGAATCAATAGGGCAATGTTCAGACATAAACTCTAGAACAAGATCATGATTCCGTTTTTCTTACCTCTTTTTAAGTGAGTATTTTCATAATCCTATGTGCAAGAGTATCTCTACTAGTTTCTGAGTTTATCTCACAGGGAATTGATGTCGGTGTGGCTTTTTATTTGTTGTATTTGTGGATGGAGGAACAAATTAGAGCCTCCTATTTTATCACCTTGTTGGAGATACCATTTTTATTAATTTTTTACTTATTTTAAAAATTTAAAAAAACTTACAATTCAGCAAAATTAAAAGGCAAAACATCTAGACAGATATTTCTCCAATTAGGCAAATGCCCAAAAAGCACATGGAACAGGTACTCATAACCAATGATTCAGAAAATTCATTTCAAATCCAACATGAGATACCATACTTCACATACACACTAGAATGGCAATACATTTTAAAAAGCAGGAAATAGTAAGTGTTTGAGAGGATGTAGATAAATTGGAACGCTGATACAATGCTAGTTGGAATGGAAAATGATGCAGCAACTATGGAGAAATTTGGTGGCTCATCAAGAAAACAAAGATAATTATCACAGGACCAAGCAATTCCACTTATACATACACCCAGAGTTGAATAATTGTACTCAAACAAATATTGGTGCCTAGAAATACTGTGGTGGAAACAATCCAAGTAAAATAATGGATTAATAGCCTGTGGAAGGAGTGAAGTGCTATGATGTAAATGAACCTTCGGGACATCATGCAAAAGGAAAGGGACAGATACAAAAAGTTTTGTAGTGTGTGAGCACATTTACATTAAATGCCCACAACATGTAAATTCAGAGGCAGAACACAGATTGGTGTTTGCTAGCAGCTGAGGGAAGGGAGAAAATGAAAGGGACTGCTTAAGTGGTAGTTGGAGTTTTAGTTTGGAGTCATGAAAATGTTTTGGAACTCGATGGAGGTAGTTGCTGTGCAACACAAAATGTATTTGGTGCCACTTAACTGTTTACATTATAACATTTAATTTTGTTACGTGAATTTCATCACCACAACAAATAAACTATTTTTTTCATTTTTTCTTTGTCTATCCTTAGTTGCATAACCATCATCTCTAGGTGATATATGGTCATTTCTCCGGGAAGAGATTTGCTCTCTGCATGGAGGACCTCCATAATTCTCTCTTCCACATGATATGGGACCTTTAATATTAAAATGATGAAACATTATATAAAGAACATCAAACCTGAAACACTATTTTCTCTTCTCTCAGACAACTTTTTAAAAATTATTTCTTCTATGACTCCATTCTTCGTTCCCTAAATTACTAGACAGTCATGACACTGTGAATATTTCCTATGGCTTGGGATAATCTCATGGCTTCCACAAGACCAGTTCCTCTAACGAAGCTGAAGGCAGACATTAATTCTTAGGTAAAAGTTCATTTGTAATGGTAAATAACTACTTAGATATTATTTTTCTTTTCATATGAATTACTGGTGACTACCAATGGCACAGGGAAAACATGTAAAACCATCAAACTCTTCATGGATTTTAAAGTTTACATGCATTGTCCTTTCTGAGCTGAAGAAGGTAAATTTTCCCATGTTGTTCAATCCAGCTCACACACACAAATACCTTTGAAAAACTGCATGCTAAATTTTTATATAAAAGTTCTCCTATATCTCTAAGTGTTTGGCTCTATCTTACATGTTGACAAATTAAAATGTACTAGTGAAAACTTTCTAACTAGGGCCAAGATTTACTTTTATTGCAATAAGCAATACTGTTAAAGGAGTCATTACAACATTGTTGCTATTTCAAAATAGAAAAGGTTCTCCTTTAATATATTCTTCACTTGCTATTTCTTACAGGTCAGTCTTTCACCTATGATATGTTCACTGCCTAATTTTCCAATGGAAATGTGTTGGCTTGTGTACCCTGAAGCCTAACTTCATAATACCTAACTTCACCGATACTCTACATATGAAATGTAAAATTGAAAATGCCAGTTTTCAATTTCCTCCATATTAGGATGGAAGACTAAGTAATAATTTTAATTTGTTCTGCTTAAGCTTCTTTGCTAAGAAGTTTTATTTATTGTCTTGCTTTCTTATGCTGAGTCTGCAATCTTACAATTCTCCTTCTGAAAAATATTCAATCCTACTTCTATTCAATCCTACTTCTCACATCAGGTTGCTTAGTTCTAAATTCTCACCTCAAATAAATTTAACTCTTACACTAAGGATCTTGTATTAATGTTTAAACATCCAGGTATGATCTTAATTGTTGATTTACATGCCCTTATATTTCACAACTCTGAACTTCTGTGATATCCCCTTAATTCAAGAATATTGGACTCCTTCATGTCTACCTTTCAAGACTTAATTTTATTTTTAAATGATATTTAAGGCCAGTGACTGATTTTCTGCTAAATGCTCTTGCAGTTCTTTTAAATCTTCATATAAGCAGTAAGAATGTCTTGCACATAAGCATTATTGAGATATCAGAATCTGGATGGCCAAAAAATGTCCAGGACCAGGTGGATTCACAGCCGAATTCTACCAGAGGTAAAAGGAGCTGGGATCATTCCTTCTGAAACTATTCCCATCAATAGAAAAAGAGGGAATACTCCCTAACTCATTTTATGAGGCCAGCATCATCCTGATGCCTATGCCTGGCAGAGACACACAAAAGAAGAGAATTTTAGACCACTATCCCTGATGAACATTGATGCAAAAATCCTCAATAAAATACTTGAAAACCAAATCCAGCAGCACATCAAAAAGCTTGTGCATCATGATCAACTGGGCTTCATCCCTGGGATGCAAGGCTGGTTCAACATATGTAAATCAATAAATGTAAACCAGCATATAAACAGAACCAATGACAAAAACCACATGATTATCTCAATAGATGCAGAAAAGGCCTTGACAATATTCAACAACCATTTATGCTAAAAACTTTTAATATATTAGGTATTGATGGGATGTATCTCACAATAATAAGAACTATCTATGGCAAAACCACAGCCAATATCATACTGAAAGGAAAAAAACTGGAAACATTCCCTTTGAAAATTGGCACAAGGCAGGGATGCCCTCTCTCACCACTCCTATTCAACATAGTGTTGGAAGTTCTGGCCATGGCAATCAGGCAGGAGAAAGAAATAAAGGGTATTCAATTAGGAAACGAAGAAGTCAAGTTTTCCCTGTTTGCAGATGACATGATTGTATATCTAGAAAACCCCATCCGCTCAGCCCCAAATCTCCTTAAGCTAGTAAGCAACTTCAGCAAATTCTCACGATACCAAATCAATGTGCAAAAATCACAAGTATTCCTATACACCAATAACAGACAAACAGAGCTAAATCATGAGTGAACTCCCATTCACAATTGCTACAAAGAGAATAAAATACCTAGGAATCCAACTTACAAGAGATGGGAAGGACCTCTTCAAGGAGAACTACAAACCACTGCTCAATGAAATAAAAGAGGATACAAACAATGGAAGAACATTCCATGCTCATGGGTAGGAAGAATCAATATCCAATATTGTGAAAATGGCCACACTGCCAAAGGTAATTTCTAGATTCAATGTCATCCCCATCAAGCTACCAAAGACTTTCTTCATAGAATTGGAAAAAACTGCTTTAAAGTTCATATGGAACCAAAAAAGAGCCCGCATTGCTAAGTCAATCCTAAGCCAAAAGAACAAAGCTGGAGGCATCATGCTACCTGACTTCAAACTATACTACAAGGCTACAGTAACCAAAACAGCATGGTACTGGTACCAAAACAGAGATATAGATCAATGGAACAGAACAGAGCCCTCAGAAATAATGCCACATGTCTACAACCATCTGAGATTTGACAAACCTGACAAAAACAAGAAATGGGGAAACAATTCCCCATTTAATACATGGTGCTGGGAAAACTGGCTAGTCATTTGTAGAAAGGTGAAATTGGATCCCTTCCTTACACCTTATACAGAAATTATTTCAAGATGGAGTAAAGCTTAAATGTTAGATCTAAAACTATAAAAACCCTAGAAAAAAGCTAGGCAATACCATTTGGGACATAGGCGTGGGCAAGGACTTCACGTCTAAAACACCAAAAGCAATGGCAACAAAAGCCAAAATTGACAAATGGGATCTAATTAAACTGAAGAGTTTCTGCACAGCAAAAGAAACCACCATCAGAGTGAACAGGCAACCTACAGAATGGGAGAAAATTTTTGCAATCTGCTCATCTGACAAAGGGCTAATATCCAGAATCTACAATGAACTCAAACAAATTTACAAGAAAAAAACAACCCCATAAAAAAGTGGGTGAAGGATATGAACAGACACATCTCAAAAGAAGACATTTATGCAGCCAAAGGACACATGAAAAAATGCTCATCATCACTGGTCATCAGATAAATGCAAATCAAAATCACAATGAGATACCATCTCACACCAGTTCAAATGGCAATCATTAAAAAGTCAGGAAAAAACAGGTGCTGAGAGGATGTGGAGAAATAGGAACACTTTTACACTGTTGGTGGGACTGTAAACTAGTTCAACCACTGTGGAAGTCTGTGTGGCGATTCCTCAGGGATCTAGAACTAGAAATACCATTTGACCCAGCCATTCCATTACTGGGTATATACACAAAGGATTATATATCATGCTGCTATACAGACACATGCACACATAAGTTTATTGCAGCACTATTCACAATAGCAAAGACTAGGAACCAAACCAAATGTCCAACAATTATAGACTTAATTAAGAAAATGTGGCACATATACACCATGGACTACCTTGCAGCCATAAAAAGTGATGAGTTCATGTCCTTTGTAGGGACATGGATGAAGCTGAAAACCATCATTCTCAGCAAACTATCTCAAGGACAAAAAACCAAACACCGCATATTCTCACTCATAAGTGGGAATTGAATAATGAGAACACATAGACACAGAAAGGGGAACATTCTCACACTGGGGCCTGTTGTGGGGTGGGCAGATGGGGGAGGGATAACATTGGGAGATATACCTAATGTTAAATGACTGCTTAATGAGTGCAGCACTCCAAAATGACAGATGTATACATATGTAACAAACCTGCACTTTGTGCATATGTACCATAAAAATTAAATAATAATAATAATAATAATAATAAAGACTGCTATTGATAGAAAAAGATAATACGAGGAGAGTACCTCAACCTAGGTGCTGGGCTCTGCAATATGTAATAGTCCCCTCTTGACAAAGTCTAGAATATAAAGGAGAGTCACATTACCGAGATTTTGCAATCAGCGGTATGTTACAATTTATTTGGTGAGAAGAAAACAGACAGGAGAGGTGGGTAACATGATCTGGATGTTAAGCCAAACGATATTTTACAATGTCTCATGGGGGCAGGGCCCAGGCAAGAGAGAAAAATCACCAAGCTTATAGGCCCAGAGATATGTAACACTATCCTCTTTTGGCAGGGTCCAAGCAGAAGAGTCAAATTTTTATGATTCTAACCCAGCAATATGTCACAATGCACCCATGGGAAGAAATTTAAGCCAAAATGTCTTAACACCTGGGCACTATGCCTAGTAATATGCCAAGTCTCCTTGTCTTTGAGTGTGACACTCAAAGACACATACAAAGGCTGTGTATATGAGAGTCACAATCTCACATGTTTCCTGGGCCACTGCATGACCCTTTACAACATTTGAAGGCTTTATACTTCATGAATGAGAGTTGCAAACCACTCTGAGGCATATATGCTGCTATAGAATCATGATATTCCATATTTTACTAAACCAAGGCATGACCGTCAACATCTCTCCTATATGCTGGTTTCAGGGATGAGATTATTATTATGCCTATGAGCTGGGTCTAGAAATGTCACCATCCCACCTGTGGCCAGATTCACTTATGAAAGTTACAGCTCAAATTTTTTACTGTATTCACTTGTTAGTATCAGGACCTCAACAAAAGGCATTGTGAATATAAGATGGACACAACTTTTCCTTTCACCTCAATGTGTAGTTGAGAGTCACAATCTTAACATTTTGATGGGTCATGTTATGAAACTCTCTGTACCACACAAGAAGTATTTATGATATGAGTTAGCTCTATAAACTTCTGTGAGCTTTGTATAAATATCCAATGAAAGACCTTACCTATTGACCTAAACCTACTCATGAGAGGAAAAATGTCTCCTATTGGCTGAATCCCATTATAAGCTTGATCATTTTGTCTTTGAACTGAAGGAAGGTACGTGTCATAATTCATTTTTTTGTGTGTGCAATACCTAGGCAGAACATTAACATCACTTAGGTTCTGTGCAGAACAATAATGCCCTCATTAGGCAGGGGCTAGTAAAGAGGGTCACATTAACTGGGGGATGGAGCTTAGTAAATGAAACAACCACATGTGGAAGAAAGCAAGCAAAGTGATGAAAGAAAAAACACCTATAGATTGGGCCAAAAATATGTCAATACACTTTCTATGGCTCTGGCACAGGTAGGAGATCATGTCATTAGGGTGCTGTGCCAATAATATGCCATAACTCCCTCTTTATACATGACCTAGGCAGAAGAGTAACATTATCTGGTTGCAGAGCCATAAAATATGGCAAAATGTCTGTTCATGGGCATTGTTCAGCAACAAGTTGAAAGTCACATTACCTAAGTGTTGGGCTCAATATGTCACAATATGCCTATTGTTTAGGTATATTACATATACCTAGACAATTTAACATGTGGGCAGAATCCAGGCTGAAGAACCACATCACCTGGTCCTAGGTCCTGAGATATTCACAAGCCCTCTTTAGAAAAGTACCCAGTCAAGAGAGTTACATCACCTAGGTGCAAGTTCCACACTTATGTCACAATGCTCCCTGTGCAAGTTCCACACTTATGTCACAATGCTCCCTGTGGCAGGGCCAAGCAGAAAGTCACATCAGCTACGTGCTGAGCCCTGTTTTGACTGCGTCTGTATAACCCAAAGACTTAGCAAAATATATGTGAGTGTTATGAACTTTTGTGATGTTTGTACAAGCAGCTGATGTAGGACGTCATGCATGTCTCCAAACATAGTTATAAGAGTCAAAATATCCCCTATTGGCTGAGTTCACATATGAGAGTCATTATCACTCCTGTGACCTGTGCCTAAATATATGTTACAATTTCCTCTGTGGTTATGAAGCAGGAAGAATGGCCACATCACCTAAATGCTGGGCTAGAAATATTCCAGTATTCTCTTTGTAGTAAGTATCCTGTTAGAAATGTCACATAACTTCTGTGTTGTGTCCAGCTCTGTGGCATAATTTCCCTTGTGGGCAGTGTCCAGAGAGAAGAGGAGAGTCATATCACCTAAATGATGGGCTCCAAAATAAGTCACAATGCTTCCCTTTGGGAAAGCCAACAAGCAAGGTATTAATATCATTTGGATGCAGTGTTTAGAAAAACTACAATTAAGCAGGGTAAAAGCAGAAGGGAGAGTAATGTTATCTAGATAATAGATCCAGAAATATGTTAAAATTCCCCCAAGGACATTTTTAAGATAGAACATTCATATCACCAAGATACTTGGCTCAGGTATTTGTGAAAACCTCATCTGTGGACTATACCTAGGAAGAATTATTAAATCACTCAGAAGCTGGTCAAAGGTTTAGGTCACAATTAGGCTTGTTGAAAGGTTTAAGAATAAGAGTCACCATCCTGAACATTAGGTTGTGTTATATTCTCAAATGTATGGCACAATATCACCTGTGGCCAGAGAGGGCAAGAATTTCACATCAACTATGTGGGTGTGGGTCCAGTAAAATGTCAAAGTACACTTTGTGGGCAGGACCCTGGCAGAAGTGTCACATCACCTGGATGCTGCTTTCAGTGACATATTAAAATCCAGTATGTGTTCAGGACTTTGGCAAGAGAGGAGACTCACTTAGCCTAGGCAACTGGCCCAGGTATATGTCACAATGACCCTAATGTTCAGTACCAAGGCTGGAGAGAGACCTCAAATTAGTGCTGGGTGCAGTAATGTGTCACAATTTCCCTGTGGTCAGGGTAGATTTAAGACACAATTCTCCTTGTAGGCAGTTTTCAGGCAGATAATTTACATCACCTGGGTGATTGTCCCAGTGATACATAAAAGGGCCCTTTGCAGTGGGGGCTCTGGAAGCAATTATACATTGCTTAGGTGCTTGTTTCACATATCGCACAATTTAATCTGTGGTCTGGGACTAGAAAAGAGAGTCAGATTATTCATGTGCTGAGCAAAGTTACCTCTCCTTTTTATACTCTCAGAAAGATTTGGAGATAACTTTCACAACTTACACAAGTCTTTCTTTTGTGAATGTGATGAAATTTTTTTCTGTGAGTTGGGTTGAAGTAGAGCAGTCACAATCTCCACAATAAGCAAGATCCATGTATAAGAGTGCCAATACCACTTGAACATCATTTTCCAGTAGGGGAGTCACAGCACTACAGGCATGTTGAATCATGGTTCATGTTACCAAACCACTCATAAATCAGATCCATTTATGAGAGTAATTATTTCAACCTTTGACTGCTTTTTGTGTGTGAGATTTATTACCTCATTCCTAGGCCCTGTTCATGTGTGAGAATGTCAATGATGTCAGCTAGGTGTGCATTGAAGGGTCACATTCTCACTTCGTTGCTGGTTTCTGTTATTACAATCTTTGTATCATTAAGGCTTTATATGATATACTTGAGTGTTATAATCGTTCGTGAAATTTATACAAGTGAAAAACACAGGACTTTACCAATGGCCATGAGACAGGCTGTGAGAGTCAGTTGTCTCCACTGGATGGGTCCAGGTATGAGAATTATTATTGTGCATGTGTGCTTAAACCTGGTATATGTCACAACTTGACCTGTGAGCAGAAAAAAGCCAGGAGAGTCACATCACCTGGGTGCTGAGCCAGTTATGTAGTATAGTCTTACCTGTAGGCTGGGGCTAATCAGAAGAGTCATATCACATCATCTGGGTGCCAAACCAGTGATACAGTATATACTCATTTTTTGGATGGGCCTACTCAGAAGAGTCATATTACTTGGGTACAGCTTCAAATAGTATGTCACGAAGCCCACATGGACAGGAAAGAAGAAAAAGAGAGGGTTCCACCAATTCTTTTCAGCTCTACAATATGTATTAATTTCTTATCTTGGAAGAGTCTACAATATGCAGGAGACCCACATCACCTAGGTTTTGCAGTCAGCAGTATATCACATCTTCTATGGTGAGCAGGGCCCAGGCAGGAGAGGATAGTCACATTTTCTAAATATTAAGTAAAACGATATTTCACAGTGTCCTCTGGGGGCAGGGCATGAATAAGAGAGACAAATGACCGAGCTTAAAGGCCCAGAGATATGCAAAAATATTCCCTGTTTTCAGGGTCCATGCAGAAGAGTCACATTATTATGATTTTAACCAGGCGATATGTCATGGTTAATCTATAGGAAGGAATTTAAGCCTAAAAGTCTCAACATTTGGGTACTAGGCCTAGTAATATGCAGAACTCCTGGTCTTTCAGAACTCCAAGATTCACTGTGAGCTGGGTGTGAATAGGAGAATCACAAGCTCACATGTTTCCTAGATCACACTGTATGTGTGACACTCTACAACCTTTGAAGGCTTTATACAGTATTCATGAGAGTTGCAAGCCATTCTGAGGCTTACATGCTTGTATGAATTTTTACATATTGTCCTAAACACAGATATAATAGTCAACATATCTTCTTTAGGCTGGGTTTAGGGATTAGACCTGTTATTTTGCCTGTGAGCTGGATCCAGAAATGAGTCACCATCCCATTTGTGGCCAGATCCACACATGAAGATCACAATTCTGACTTTGTGCTCTATTGACTTTCAGACTCAGGAATGTAATAGTGGTCTTTATACATGTGAGATGGTGACAATATTTGCTTTCACCTGGGTGTCTAATGGAGAGTCCCAATCTAAACTTTTGCTGATCTCTGTCATAAAAGTCTCTGCACAACCCAAGAAGTGTATTCATTATGAGTTACTGTTGTAAAGTTTTTGAGCTTGATACAAATATGAAACAAACACAGGACCTCATCTATTGCCCTAAGCCTAGTGATGAAAGGCAAAATATCTCCTATTGGCTGAATCCCAGGATAAGTTTGACCATCCTACCTGTGAGCTGAAGTAAGGTATATGACAGAGTCCCATTTGTGATCAAAAAAGTAGGCAGGAGGATAACATCACTTAAGTTCTGTGTCAAGCATCATGTCATAATGTCCTCTCTAAGAAGGATATAGGAATTAGGGTCACGTTAACTGAGTTTTGGACCCTGCAATATGACAAAATCCCATATGTGAAAAAAGAAAAAACCTAGAAGTGAGAACCAAAATGCCAACAGAATGAGCCCAGGATATGTCAAAATATCTTCTATGGCTTTGGGACAGGCATGAGAGTCACATTATTAGGGTGCTGTACCCAGCAATATGCCATAATTCTTCATATATGCAGGACAGAGGCAAAATAGTAATGTTATCTGCATGCTGGGCCCTGCAATACGTCAAAATTTTTGTTTGTCTAATAACCTGAGTGCTGGGGTCAGCAATATGTCACAATCATCCCATTGTAAAGACTAGGCAGGAGAAAAGAGTCACTTCACTCAGGTCTTGGGCTCAGAGATATAACCCACTGTCCACAGTCTCCTTTATGCAGGGCTCAGGTAGAAAAGAAGAGTCATATCACCTATGTACTTTTCTAGTTATATGTCACAATCTAACATGTGGGTAGAAAAACCAGGAAGAAGACCCCCACACCGACATCACCTGAGTACAGCCTCAGGTAATATGTCACCATGCCCAATGTAAACATGTTCAAAGAAAAAAAAAAAGAATTACACCACAAGCATGCTGAGCTCAATAATATGTAATAAGTCCCTCTTTTGGCAGAGCCCACGACAAAGAAGGGAGCCATGTTACCTAAAATTTGTGCTCAGTGGTATGTCACAATTTCTTCAGTGAACAGGATCCATGCACAAGAGGAGAGTCACATTACCTAGTTGCTAAATCCAGCAATATGTCACAGTGTCACCTGTGAGCAAGGCACTGGCAGGAGAGAAATGTCACCTAGCCAATAGGCTCAGCAAGAGGTGAAAATATCTGCTGTTATGACATAATCTCGTGATCTTACCTTTGACACCATTATCTGTTTTCTAGTTGTGTATATGACAGTCACAAACCCCTGAGTGTGCTTGCCATTGTATGATACTTTCTGCAACATTTGAAAACTTTATACAACATGCATGAGAGTTGAAAACTTTCTGAGGCCTATATACTTATATGGACTCATAATCTTACATATTGCCCTAACCAAGGTATGTCAGAAAACATGTCTTCTATAGGCTGGCATCAGGGTTGAAATCATTATTAGATCTGTGAGCTGGGTGCAGAAATGATTCACCATCTCACCTTTAGTCAGATTCACTTATGAGAGTCACAATTCAAACTTTGGGTTGTATTGACTTGTTCGATTCAAAACCTCAAAACTAAGCTTTGTAAATGCTGGATATAAGTTAGTGTTGTAAAATTCTGTGATCTTTGAACAAACATGAAATGGAGGACCTTAAATATTGATTTAAACCTAGGGGTGAGAAGCAAAATATATCCTATTGGCTTAATCCCACAATAAGCTTGATCATCCTGCCTTTGAACTGAAGCAAGTTACATGTCATAATCCCATTTGTGGGCAAAAATCTAGGCCCAAGATTAATATCATTAAGGTGCTGTGCCAAGCAATATATCACAGTGCCCTATCTAAGCAGGGCCTAAGAAATGAGGTCACATTAACTAGGGCTGGAACCTACAATATTACACAAAAACACATGGAAGAAACCTAGCAAACTGATTAGTGCCAAAACACCTACAGAATAAGCCAAAGATATGTCAAAGTACCTTCTGTAGCCCTGGCATAGAGAGCAGAGTCATATCCTTAGGGTGCTGGGCAAAGCAATATGCCAAAATTTCCTCTTTATATATGACCTAGGCAGAAGAGTAACATTATCTGGGTGTTGGGTCCTGAAATAGAGCAAAAGTCCTATTCCTGGGCACTCTTTAGCAAGAAGATGGGTCACATGACCTAAGTACAGGGCTTCTCAATATGTCACAATTCTCCCACTGTAAAAGTCCAGACAGAAGAAGTGAGTCAAATTACTTAGGTCGTGGACTCAAAGATATGACCCAATGTCATTAATAGGCAGGGCTCAGGCAAGAAAATTAAAAAATTAAAAAAAAAAAGTGAGCCATATCACCTAGGTTCTTCTTTAGGTATAGGTCAAAATTTAATATGTGGGAAAAAACCAGGCTGAAGAGGCACATCACCTTTCCTGGGTCCTGAGATATCCACAAGTCCCCTTTAGTAATGGACCAAGACCAGAGAGTTATATCACCTAGGAGCAGGTTCCACCCTTATGATAAAATGCTCCATGTGGGAAGCCCATGAAGGAATTCACATCACCTAGGTGATAGTCCCAGAGATATGTAACATAACCTTCCTGAAAGCATGGCCTTGGCAAAAGAATACCATCACATTTGTTCCTGGTCTAGAAATATGTCACTATTCAAGTGGGCATGTTTCAAGCAGAAGAGCCATATCACCTATATAACAGGTCCTGTAATATGTCATAATCTTGTCTTTTGTGCATGGCCTAGGCAAAAAAAAAGTATCATTACCGGTTTACCTGATCTATGCATATGTCACTCCCTTGCCCTGTGTGCAGGAACCATTCCAGTGGGGAAAATTACATAATCTCCGTGATGGACAACATAATATGTCAAAAGGATGTCTGGGGGCATGGGTCAGGCAAGAATGTAACATCACCTAAGTACTGGATCCAATGATGTCACAATTCTTACTGACAGCAGGACCCAGGCAGAACAGTCACAAAACTTCAACGTTGGTCCAGGTAGATATCAAAATCCCATATGTAGGCTGTAACCAGTCTGAAGAGTGAAATCAAAAAAGTGCACTGAAAAGTTTTATATCACAGTCATGATAAAATAAAATTCTAGGGATTAGATTTACAATACCACATGTGTCTTGTTTTCATGTAGAACAGTAGACTTTATCCATCTGTGATGGTGAAAGTATTTACAGTCAGCTGGGTGGTTATATGAGACTCACAATTTGCTCTTTGTGCTAGGCCCTTTTATGACACTCTCTGTACAACATAAAGGTGTTATAAAGAATGTGTGAGTGTTGTAATCTTATGTGACTTTGTTAACAGTAAGAGATGCTTTGCTTCACTCATGTCTCTAAACTTAGTTGTAAGAGTCAAAATTTCTCCTGTTGGCTGTGTCCACATATGAGAGTCATTATCAAGCCTGCTAGCTATACCTAGGTATGTATGTCACCATGCCCTCTGTGGTTACTAAACAGGCAGGATGACACATCGCATAAATCCTAAGCCAGAAATATTCCAATATTCTCTTTGTAGCCAAGGCCCTAGCAGAGAAGTCACAGAACTTGGGTGTTATGCCCAGCTCTATCGCATAATGTCCCTTGTGTACTGTGTCCAGGCAGGAGAGGAGAGTCATATCACCTAAATGATGGGTCCAGAGATACATCACAATGCCTCCTGTTGTAACAGCCCAGGCACAAGGGTCATATCATTTGGATGTAGTGCATAGAAATGCTAAACTCTTCATTTTAATCAGGGTTCAGTCGGGAAAGTCACAAAACCTAGATGATAGGTCCAGAGATATGACCCCTTTGGATGATCCTATTAAGACAAAAGTCAAATCACCAAGGTTTTGTCCCAGTTATATGTAAAAATGTCATATCTGGGCTATAAATAGGATTAGTAAATCACTCAGGAGCTTGGCAAAAGCAAATGTCACAATAACACCTGTAGAAAGGCTCAGGCTTGGGTTGAGAGTCACAATCTGGCAAGTGTCCTGGTTCCTGGTACAAGAGTCACTATTAGGCCTTTTATCTTCTCTCAAGTATATGGCACAATATCACCTGTGGGGAGGGAGAAGAAAGGAAAGGAAAATCACATGTGGATGCATGTCCTGTGAAATGTCACAATTCTCTTTGTGGGTGGGACTCTTGGAGAAGAGTCAATCACCTAGATTCTGGTTTAAGTGAAATATTTAAATCCTCCCTCCTGGCAGGGCTTAGGCAGGAGAGAAAACAGATCACACAAAGGCAATTTGCCTTGACATATGTCACAATGGCCCTTCTGTGCAAGATCAAGGCAGGAGAGTGACCTCACCTTGGTGCTGGGTTCAATAATATGTCAAAATCTCTCTGGTGGTCAGGGCCAAGGCAGGAGAGAAGAAACATCACCTAGGGCCTGAGTCAAGTGATATGTTACATAGCTTTTTAATAGCAGAACTCCCCTCAAAAAAAGTCTCTCATCACCTAAGTGCAGTACCTAGTTATACATCACAATACACCATAAGTGCAGGGCCAAGGCAGTAGAAGGAACTCACATCCATTTACATGATGGATCTAGATAAAAGCCATAATCCTCTTTGTAGGCAGGGTTTAGTCCAAGATTTCACATCAGCTGGTTGCTGGTACCAGTGATATGTAAAAGTGCCCCTAGTTGCATTGCCAAAAAGTTGTTATACATTGCTTAGGTGCTGGTGCACTTATGTCACAATTTATAGGCTCTGGGCCTAGAAAGGAGAGTCAAAATACTCAGATGCTGGAGAAAGTCAAACTTCACAATCACACATTCAAAAATGTTCAGAAATAAATTTTACACTCTCACACAACTTCTGGCTTCGGGTATGAGAGTCAACATCTCCTTTGAGTTGGGTCGAAGTAAAGGAGTCATAATCTCAACAATGGCAAGATACATGTGTAAGAGCCCCAGTCACATTGAAGGTTGTGTTCCAGTAGGACAGGCAAAGCACCACAGATCTGGAAAATCACAGTTTAAATGTTACCAAACCGTCTGTGGATCAGATTCATGTATGACAGTAACAATTTCAAGCTTTGACTGCTTATGCGTGTGAGATTTTGGAACTCATTCATAGGCTCTGTTCATGTGTGAAAATGACAACTGTGTCAGCTGGATGTGCATAACACTTGGTTGCTGGTGCCTGTTAGGACACTCTTTGTACCATGCAGCTTTATATGATACACCTGACTAGGATACTTTTGTCTGAATTCTCACGGGGGCAGATCTAGGACTTTAGTCATGGCTATAAACTGGCTATGAGAGTCAAAGTGTCCCCCTTGGCAGTGTCTATGCATTAGAGTTATTATTGTGCATATCAGCTGAATCCAGGTGTATGTTAGAATTTCCTCTTTGGACAGAGACAAGAAAGAAAAGTCACATCGTCTGTGTCCTGAGTCAGAAATACATTATATTTTCTGTTTAGGCAGGATCCAGTCTAAAGAGTCATATCACCTGTGCACAATCTCAAATAACGTATCATCTTGACAACCGTATACAGGGTTGAAAAAATAGTGGGTAGTCCCATTCCCTAGGTGCTGGGCTCAGCAATATGTTATAATTTATTCTTAGGCAGATTCCAGCACAAAGAGGAGAGTCACACCACCTAGTTTTGCACTCAGTGGTATGTCACAGTTTCTTCATTAGGTGAGATCCAGGCAGGAGAGGAAAGTCACATTATCTAGATGTTATATCCAGGGAAATATCACAGTGTCCCCTGTGAGAGGACACTGTGAGGGGAGAGACACATCACCTAGCCGATAGGCCCAGAGATATGTGATAATATCCCCTTTGGCTGGATCCATGCAGAAGAGTCACCTTTTTATGATTATAACCCAGCAGTATTTCACAAATCACCCATGGGAAAGAATCTAAGCCAAGAGTCTCAGCACTAGGGTGTTAGGCTTTGTGATAAGATATAATTACTTCATCTTTTAGATGACAGCTTTAACTGTTACTTTGGTATGTATAAGTCTCACAATCTCACATGTGTTCTAGGTCATCTTATGAGACACTCTACAACATCTGAAGGCTTTATGCAAAATACCTTAGAGGTACAAACCGCTCTGAAGCATACATGCTTATTTGACTGAAAACATACAGATTGATATAAACCCTGTTATGATAATCAACAGCTCTCTTTCAGGCTGGATTCAGACAGGAAACCCATTATTATGCCTCTGATCTGAGTCCAGAAATGAGTCACCATCTCATATGCTGCAAGATCTACATATAAAAGTCACAATTCCATCGTTATACCTTGTTCACTTTTTAGAGTCAGAAATTCTATAGTGGGCTTTGTAAATATGAGATGCTAAAAACTTGCTCTCACCTGCATTTGTAATCAAGGGTCATGATTTTAATCTTTTGCTGGGCTCTATAAAACTCTGTGAACCACCCAGTTTGATAGAATGTGAGATAGCGTTGTAACCTTCTGTGGTCTTAGTACAAATATGCAACTCATAACCATAATTATTGTTCTAAGTGTAGCGATGAAAGATAAAACATAGCTATTGGTGGAATGCCAATTATGTTTGATCATCATGCCACTGACTTGAAGCAATGTAAATATTATAATCTCAGTTTTAGAAAAAAACTTGGTGGAAGGGTAGCACAACTTAGGTGCTGTGGCCAGCAATATGTCATAATACCCTATCTAGGCAGGGTTTAGAAATGAGGGTTACATTAACTGGGAGCTGGAAGGCTGGACCTAGCAATATGACATGATACCAAATGTGGAAAAACAAGCCCAAACAAATGAAGAGAGTAAAAACACCTACAGGATGGGCCCAATATATATAAAAATACTTTCAGTTGCTCTGGTACAAGCAGGAAAGTTACATCATCAGAGTGAGGGGACCAGCAATGTGCCATAATTATCTCTTTCTTCAGGACCCAGGTAGAAAAGTGACATCACCTGGGTGCTGTACCCTGCAATACCTCAAAATTTATTTTCATTGGCATGGTTCAGGGAAAAAAAGAGTCATTTTATCTAAGTATTGGGCTTAGTAATATGTCACATCATTGTATTGTAAGGGCTCAGGCAGAAGAAAAGAGACACAACACTTAGGACACAGGCTCAGACATATGGCCCAATGTCCCAAGTAGGCAAGGCTGAGGCAGAAGAGTCATATCACCTAGGTGCTTCCCTAGGTATATAACACAGTCTAACATGTGAGTTGAAGTCAGGCAGAAGAGACACATCACCTTTATGCTGGTTCCTGAGATATGTCACAATGCTCCCTTAGGACAAAATCCAGTTAAGAGAGTTACAACAAATAGTTACAGGTTTCACACTTATGTCACAATACTCCATGTGGGCAGGACTCAAGCAGGGATTTACATCACCTAGGGGACAGGCCAAGAGATTTGTCACAATGTCCTCTTTAGGACAAGGTCCTAGCAAAGGAGTTCCATCATCTGTGCACAGCCCAATCTAATGAGGAGAGTTACATCACCTAAGTGGCTGACACAGTGATATGTCACAATAATTTCTGTGGGCATGGCTTAGTCAAAAATGCAACATGACCTGGGTGCTTGAACGTAGTGAATTGACATGATTTTTACTGACAGCAGGGCCCAGGCAGGAGAGTTACATCACCTAGAGGTTGACCCAGGTAGATACCATAATAACATATGTGGGCTGAAACCAGACTAGAGTGTCAAATCACACAGGTGCTTCAAAAAAATTTAAATCACAAGAACACAGGAAGAAAATTCCCAGGATAAGATTTGCAATACCACATATTACTTGTTCTTATGAGTGACAGTTGTCTTCATATGTTTAAGATAGTGACATTCCTTACACTGTCAGCTGGGAGTGCATATGATACTCACAACTTCACCTTCCTGATAGGTTATGTCATAAAACTCTGTAGAAGCTGAGTACATTGTAAAATACTTGAGGCTGTTAAAATCTTCTTTGACATTTTTTATTACCAGAAATACATTTAATCACTCATATTTCAACAGCAAGTTATAAAAGTCAAAATTACTTCAATTTGTGAGGTCCACATTTGGCAGTCATTATCATGCCTGTGAGATGCTTGTAAATTGGGCATTGAAATAAAAGCTCAACAAGTTACTGCTAAGGCGCTAATCTGTTCTTTGCCAAAATTCATAAAGAATTATAAGAAGTTTTTTGCTTTTTACATTTCTAAGCCACCATTTTGGTTAAACTTTATCTACAAAATTATCTTTCTTAATTTCTGGATTTTAGATGCTACAGAGGGTCCCTGGTATATCCACAAGAGAGATAAACAGGATTATATGACAGGATTAATTACATGGGATTGCCAAAATGGCGTTTAATATTATTTAGATTATATTTTGGTGACTAATACTAATACACGTTCCAAAATTTAGTGAGATTTCTAAAATTCTAGTGTCTGAAGTATATGCTATAATCCCTACTTAAGTTTGTTATGTTAAGTTGTTGTAAACCATAGAAATAACGAAAATTTTTGCCATGTTTCTGACTGTAACTACCCTGGACATTTTGTTATACACAGATAAATGTTGTCCTGTTTTGATGTTTTTTATAAAGCATTTTCAATCAGCTACAGATCTTTGAAAAATGCTCTCAATTGCAGGTTTGTGATAACTTTGGAGCTTGTTACATTGGAATACAAGAAAAACTTAGAGGACTCTTAAAGAGCTAAAATATTCATGAATATCAAACAAAAGAAGAGTTAACTGAATGGACTGGACTAACAGAAAACTGAAGTAATCTTTCTGACTTTAGCTTGAAACATTACTACTACTTGTATAGTTTACCAGAGTCAAGGAAACATCTTGAGACATTTACAGCCTTTAATATGTGAGTAAGGTGTACTCCTGTGTACACAATTTGGATCATGTTTGTCTTTCTCTGCAGGGGTTCTCCAGAATTTGAAAAATAGATCCTCAGTGAAGGCTCCTCAGTGTTACAAATAAAATGTGGTTCACTGAGACATTGATAGATGCACAGTGAAGTAACTTCTGGTTTTTATTTGGAGCTCTCACAGTTAGGATTGAAAACTTTGGTTACAAACTCTCATGATGAGGAGTTATACTATGCTGTCCTCTTCTGAACATTTGTCTACCATCAAAGTTGTTTGAATTTGACAAGGAAAAAAGTGGGAGATTGTTTCCCTAACACCTATTTATCTCTCTTTCATAGGTGTTTTAGGTTGTGCTTTG
Source organism: Homo sapiens (assembly GCF_000001405.40). Classification (NCBI taxonomy): domain Eukaryota; kingdom Metazoa; phylum Chordata; class Mammalia; order Primates; family Hominidae; genus Homo; species Homo sapiens. Next base: position 8,487,367 of record NC_000024.10, on the reverse strand, counting down.
TCCAGATTGCTTAGAAGCTCATGATCATAGAGGACATATTTGTCAAAAGAAAGATTTTTTGCAGCAGGATAAAGTGAAGGTTTTTACTACCCAGGACCTATGGTTCCTCCAGACCCAGGATGAAACCATTACTGAAGCCAGAAAGTGATGAGAGAAGTTGAAAGTTGCTCACAAAGGAAGGAAAATTCTCTCTTTTGCTTTGAAATTGGTCACTGCCTGTTCTGGCATCAATGTTGCTTCTGAGTATGGTGTGCTTCATGTTCATCTTTCTTGGTATTCCACTGAAGGTTCATCTGAAAAAAGAGGCTTGAATCACAGTGATAAAGGGAACAACCGCATCCTTCTATCACCAAGCTGATACCTTGGTGAGCTTTGAAGCACATTGAGCAGAGACTGAAATCCTTCCTCAATATGGGGTAATTTGTGTCAAATTCAACTCCCGTGTAAATGGCACCAAGTTCAAGATGTCAAAGAATAGACTCAGAACCAGTGAATGAGATATGGTGTTTTACTGGGGGCTTACATAAAAGAGAGAAAGTCCAGTGTCAGTGGGCTTAGTAGGATAACTACACCCACTTTCAAAAATCCTGCAGTTTGTATAGTATTTTTATTTAGCACATTTTTTCGGAACAATCTTTCACCTGTCAGCCTTTATTTAACAACAAAAAAAGGGTTTCAATCTCCTGTGTGGCCTGTGTTCCATGCCACAGAATACGACACACCAGGGGCTCAGATGTTCATCAAAGATAAATAATAATTTCCTGGTTGGCCACTACTATTTGTTTTTCTTTGAGACAAAAACCTCACTCCTATTGACCAGACTGGAGTGCAATGGCATGATCTTCTCCTGCCTCAGCCTCCCATGTAGTTGGGATTACAGGCAAGTGCCACCATGCCTGGCTAATTTTCTATTTTTAGTAGGTAGAAAGTTTCTCCATGTTGATCAGGCTGATATTGAACTCCTGACCTCTGGTGATACACCTGGCTCAGACTATGTAAGTTCTGGGGTTACAGGCATTAGTCACGGTGCCCAGCCAGGCCACAACTCAATTTTTCTCACTTGGAAGTTTTAACACTCAGAAGCCCTTTTAATGTAGGGTTAGTCACCAGTTATTTCCAAGTAAAGTTAACATGGTCAGTTGCATCCATCATACAGTATGCTTCAGGCAACAGAGATTCTTCTTCCTGAAACTCTAGATTCAAATTCTTTTTTTGCTTTTTTTTTTTTTTAATCACTGGGTTGACAGGATTTTATCTAAGAGGACTCTTGTGTGTGCACATTGATGGTGTGGATATCTAAGTTAATAAGATGGCTTCTTAGTTGGTAGGGTCTGTTCCTGTTATGGGTGTGTTCAGGCTGCTAAGGTGCTCCTTCTCCAGCTTCTCATTTGACCATGACATTCTGGGCCCCAGTTACACTATTTTACAAGGTGGGACATGCTGAAACAAACCTTAGAATTGTGGTCCAGAATGACCAGGCTGAGGTTGCCTTTTAAAAGAGAGAACTGCCAGAGTTGTGTCTTATTATCCTTCTCCTTCTAACATATCTTTTGTTGTGGAGACCAGAAAAGAATCTAAGTATGTGACAGCCCCCCTCCTAGAGTTGGTACTATTTATACATGATTCTTAATTGTCGAGGTAATTTTTGAGATTTCCATTCCTGGCACAGCCTGAGTAGGCTAGAGCTCTCTGACCCTTGATGCTTGGCTCATGCAGTCATGAAGGGATTTCAAAAATTATAGGATATGGCAGGTAGAGAAAGGTCTGGTACAGATGACAAGTTGCAGGTGAGCTAATGGAAGGCAGGAAGAGAATGGGACCTGCTTGAAACAGTACAAACCCGGCCTGGATGTAGCTGAACAGTCAAGCCAGTTCTCTGATTTCGTCCTTGTGCCATGGAATTAACAGGCCCATTTCTGCTCTGGCCTGGATGCTTAAATTCTGGGAAGAGGCCCCCCCAAAATCTGACCATAAACTGGTCCCAAAACTGGCCATAAACAAAATCTCTGCAGCACTGTGACATGTTCATATTGGCCATTACGCCCACACCGGAAGGTTGTGGGTTTACCAGAATGAGGGCAAGGAACACCTGGCCCACCCAGGGTGGAAAACCACTTAAAGTCATTCTTAAACCACAAACAATAGCATGAGGATCCGTGCCTTAAGGACATGCTCCTGTTGCAGATAGCTAGCTAAACACATTCCTTCATTGCAGCCCATCCCTTTGTTTCCCATAAGGAATACTTTTAGTTAATCTATAATCTATAGAAACAATGCTTATCACTGGCTTGCTGTTAATAATACGTGAGTAAATCTCTGTTCGAGACTCTCAGCTCTGAAGGCTGTGAGAACCCTTATTTCCCACTCCACACCTCTATATTTACATATGTGTGTCTATAATCCCTGTAGTGCCCCTGGGTAAGGATCTCCCTGACTGATCTGGTCTTGGCACTTAATTCTTTGGTTCTAGAACAAAATGTGAATTCTGGACTCTGGAATTCCAGTTTCACAGTCCAGTGAAATGTAGAGGCCCAGGTCAGCCCGCAAAAGAAGCTGTGATTGGGCCTACTACAAATGACCAGTTGCTTCTCTGCCTACATTCACAAGGAATAAGAATCCTTTTTCTCAAGGCAAGCCCAGAGAGGATTCAAGCAAGCCCAGGGAAGTCTGAGGCTTAAGGGAGCCAGTAAAGAAAAAAACTGATGCCTCAGACACTTGCTTTTGCCCCTCCTGGATTATAGCTTTAGGGGCTCAATTTGCTCATTAGAAAAATTGGCAATGAAAGCCCCTCAGTGACAGGCTGCTCACCCCACTTTTACCAAGCCACTGCAAAGTGCCCACCCTCCAGCTCCAGGTACATCCTGTGCTTCAAAAGCCTGGGGGATCTCTGGGCTGAGTTCAGAGCCCTGAGAGGTTTCTCCTACTCAGGGAACCCTCATGCCTACCCATTAGTGCCCACCTGACAGCTCAGCATGTGTGCTGTATGTCATCCATATTGCCGGCTCTTGCCAAGCCCATGTCTCCCCGTGTTGGCTAGGAGCACATGCTCACTGAAACCCAGGTAGCCTGTTGATCCTACCTCCAATACAAAGTGTCAGTCAGGTGCCACCCAGATTTCCTCCTAAAATGTGATTTCAGGGGGTCACAGTGGCACATTCTGCTCTAACTTATTGACTAATTAATCAATAATTCACTTAATGTTTCAAACTGGGTGTGTGCCTTGACACACTTCATCTCCTTCCTCTAGTGGGGTGGCATTGGTGGGTGCCATCCTGATTTATTTGTGGAAAAACTATCAGGTGAGGCAGGACTCAACGGACAGGAACAGGTCAGAACACCTAGGCTGGCCTCCCTCAGGGCTTTCTGAGACCTCTGCAGGCAGGAGATCTCAGTGGATTTCCAGGCTCTTTTTCTAGGTTGATGCACAGAGCCCCTTGCTGGACCTCCAAGACTGTACAACTCTTTCAGCAACCTGCACCCACTGGCATCTAGGAGGTGAGCATCAATTTGTCTTTGTGAATATGGCCTTCTGCTTCATTTCCATTGGTTGTTCTCCTGGAAGAAATGTCTAGGGAATCCTGGGTCTGTTTTGGAGGTTTTCTAAGTGCAAAAGTCAGCAAGAGAGTATAAAAAATATAATTATAATATTTTCTGACCATTTCTATCTCAGAGTCACTTTTGCTTAAAAATGTACAAAAACATATATTAAGATTTTTACTCTTCACATTATTTTAATTAAGTCATCATACAAACCTTTTATTTTCCTGAAATTTATTTTCAGGCCAATCATTGAATTGTTGTTTCCTTCTTTGTTTAAATTGTTACTTGTTTTAGAAGCAAAATTTAAATAAAATAATATGCTACACAAATATTAACAGGTCATAGCAATTTATTTAAAATGTAATATGATTTCTTAAATGAGTAAACAATTTCCATAAACTTAGTTTATGTTACTTGTATAAATTATTTTACATCTTATTCTCAATTTAAAAAATTGCCTAGACATGTAATTCAGTTGACAGATTTTTTAATTAGGCAACTTAAAAACATTTTATTGTACATGGTAAGTAATACAATTCTCAAATATTTTATTTTAGCAATTAATACACCTGCCAATTGATATTCATATTATTTATGGAAGTGACATTATGAACATGCTTACATAGTTGCAAAAATTTAGGAGAAAAAAGTCTATTGTGGTCTTCAGTAGTAAAATTTAAAGATTATAGAAATGAGATTAAATTTACTGACTGCATTAACCACCGAAACTCAAAAGATTATTTACTTGTTCTTTGTCTTTCAATATCTGAAAAAATATTTCTAATCTTATTGGGTTTTACTACTTGCAGAAGTTGTGTTTTCATAGAACTTGATGCAACATAACCACTGTTTATATATCACTCAAATGTCCCAAATCTACCCAGAACTGAAGGTACATTGCAACCTCCCCCTCCAGGTTTCAAATGATTCTCCTGCCTCAGCCTCCCAAGTAGCTGGGATTACAGGCTCCCACCACAAAGCCCAGATAATTTTTGGATTTGTAGTAGAGGTGGGTTTCAGTATGTTGGCCTGTCTGGTCTCAAATCCCTGGTTTCTGGTGATCCACCTGCCTCAGGCTTCCAAAGTGCTGAGATTTCAGATGTGAGCCACCACATCTGAACCAAAGAATGTTTTATGAAATTTTCTGAAAAGATTATTATATATTTTGTCTACAATTAGCAACAGGCAAACAAAGAAACAAATAAAGCAGAATTTCCACAAAATGATTCTAAGCCAGGAGCAGTAATATTTTAAATAAATAAGTTTGATACAAAGCTGAGAAAATAGATTTGCTTTCAAAATCTTTGAAGTTTCTTATTTGATGGTAAGTTATCAACACTTGTAAAATTATCCGTTTCATTCTAATATTTTATTTGCTTCTCAAAATAGGTACACAGCCATAAATAACTATGATTCCTTGCTATAGATCTGTTGCAAACCTAAAGTTTATCTCACAATAATGTATCTCCTATATTTAAATTCATATAAATTAAAACTAAACATCTTTGCATGTTCAGCAGACCAGAGAAGTCATATGTTTAACAGAAAAAAGTAAGATAAAATTTTGTAAATAGTTGTTCAGAATTCAGAAGAATGTAGCTCCATTATACTCATAATCTCCATTAAAACCATTATAATAACCTTTAGTTACAAGAAAAACATGAATGTAAATTATAAAAACTATATTTTCTAAATTATTTTAAGTTAAAGGCCACTGACAAAAGAATCAGTAGAGATTTTATTTTACTGTCACCCAATAGTATATTGTTACCATCTGTTACCTACAAACTTGAGTAAGATAGGATATGTCAATATCAGTGGCAAGACATACATTCAATGTAAAATAGCATTAATAACAACAATTTTGGTTAACTAGAAAAAATTAAATCTACACATTGTCATTAAAAAGGTATTTTGAAATTCACTGTATTTTAATTACATTAATTTACAAATGGTAAAGCAGTTTTCCTCTAAAATTCAAATTGTTGCAGTTACTATGTATAATATTATCCTGATCACTTACCACACTCCTATTATCCTATCACTATGATACTGTTATAAGCCAACCAGTAATTGGCCTTTTCACTTAGAAATTCTTCATGTATCTTAGATTTCAGTTTTCTTAATGTTCCATCGCAAAATATATAAATCTGTCCATCTAATATAGAAGAAGCTCTCATAACTCTGGTGAAGCGACCATTGTCTATGTTCTTTTACATAAATTCTAGAAATGAAGACATAGCAACAAATGTAAGAGTTAAATTACATCAATATTTACTTTTGAAAAAATATTAAATTATTTTAATATAAAGAAGTAGGTTCCTATTATAAGACTAGAAGCAGCTAGTCTGTATAGTTCTCATGGAGAAGAATGCAAGGTGTGAATAAATACATCACCTTCATCTGAAACATCCAGGTACTTGGATTGGGAACAATCAAATAAGTTATGAAGAATGGGATAAAGCAAGGCAGGACAATGGGCCACCTGGGAACAACACGGAGCCAAGTAAACCTCCCCACTCAGTAAAGCAGTGGGTATATGTGTGACCCTGGGAAACCACAATTCTCCCACAGATCTTTGCAACCATCAGATGAGATCTTTTCATGAACCCACTTCATCAAGGCCTTCAGTTTAATACACAGAGTTAAATGGAGTCTCAGGAGATCAGCTGCTGAGGCCGGTACAAAGATTCAGGAGCTTTAGGTATTCAGGCTTTCTAGGTTTCCCAGAAAAAATACTTGCAACTCCAACGAAGCAGTAAGGTACATTTCTGTAAGTAACCATATAAAAGAGGCAGAATCCAGGAAGCTGAGCAGTGATGGTCTCTAGGACCCATGTCCACAGTGCCTCACAGGGTAAGACCTACTGGCTTAGCATTCTTGTCATCCATTGGTAGCAGCACTGCACCTCCCTGGAATGAAACTCCAGAAAGTCGAGTGGGACACCACCTTAGCTCCTTAGGCAAGTTACCCATTCCAGCCTTCTGGCTTTGAAGAGCTCAAGCCAACTGGGGGCAGAAAGAATTTCCTAGCACAATACAGGTGTTCTAAGAAGACATGGCCAGACTGCCTGTTAAATCAGGTTACCATCTCATTTTCTGTCACTGGAAAGGACTTCCTAACCAGAGTGTCCAGCTGTCACCACTGGTGCTTTTTGGTCAATGGAATTTTAAAAACTCTTTGGGATATAATTGCTAGAGGGAAGAGTGAGCAGCAATTTTTCCTATGTGTGTGACTTAGTTGTTCCAGTCTTCTGGATTTGGATAATCCAAATAAACTGGAGATGGAAGTAGTACCTCTGCTCAGCAGAGATGTACTACAAAAATGTAACTAGAGTGCGTTCTTAAGTGGCTCCCCAGTTATGTTCTCGTTGCTGAGTAAGGAATTTCAACAAGGGATTCCAGCTACCTTCCACAAGTGCTATTGGGCTGGAAAGAGGTCTATACCTCCCTGAGATTGAGCTCCCAGAGAAAAAGGGCACGATGCAATTGTTTAGTCTGACAGCATTCACTGGTGATAACTTCAGGTACTGGAAAATCTGAGGTGAATAGAAACTTCAGTGGACACCTAGAATACTGAAGCAGCCCTTCAGAAAAGTGGCCAGACTGTTATGTGAGTACCTGTTCTTGTATATTCTCACTGGGCAAGTTCTCCAAGCCTGGACTACTAGACAATCACTGCCAGAGCTGTTGAAAGAGTAGCAAATTAGCAACTCCCTGGAGAGAGCCTCCAATGGAAACTGAAGATATTTCTGCCATTGCCTCTGCAGTAGAACTGTCCTAGCTACCCTCAGACTAATGAAAAATCCAAAACCCTAAGTGCCTTATTCAAACATCAAACAAGCTGCAGTTTACCCAAGGACAGGAGGCCAGTGCATTCACCATGGGTCCCACAAACTACACACTGCTCCTCACCAGACAATGGACCCCTAAGATCACCAAAATTACAGATTCTCCATCATGAGCTGACTGCACTGAGGGATTGCTGATGTACATCTCTCTGAGATGCAGCCTTCAGAAAACAAGCAAAGAGATAGGGAAGCAAGCCAGCTCATGTGGTGATCAGAGGATTTGGTGCAAGAACATCTGTAGTAGTGTGGCCAGTGAAGGCCATTTCTCTGGGATCAACTTTTCCCATGAGAGACTTTAGCCCTAGGGAACTGTTGGACCTAACTACTACAGCTTTGCAAATCAGAAGAAGCTTGTCTAGCTTAGCACTCCTTGGTTTGCTGACCTCTCCCAGGCACCCAGTCTGGCAGTCAGATCCTTACAGGGCAGACTCAGGCACACTGGGATCCCATACTATACCATCTACACTGGTTAGTCACACATGACCCATGAAGAACTCCAGCTAGGCAGCCTCTATGACTGCACCAGCCCACATGTTTCTTTCCCACACTGCAGCTTCCCCCCAAAACATGGCAACTTCTCATATTAGTTTGCTGGCTCATGCCTTCAAAGGCAGATTTGGCTTTGCTTGGCCCACCATCAAATGGAAATGCAGTATGCACCTGCCACCACAGCAACTGCCACTGTAGATAAAGCTTTGGTGGGCCTAGAGCCAAAAAGCCTCACCACTACCTTTGTGGTAACACTGTGCAGAGAACAGCATATCCTCCCACACTATGAACAACCATTTCTTTTTTGGGGGGCAAAAAGAAGGCTTCAAAACTTCATTACCCAGCAACCTGACACATGCTAACACCACCTTTAGTGCAAGAGCACACACAGTCTCCATCAGAAACACCTATTCCCATCCCAGCTACTTTGCTCCTTCTACTGAGGTGAATAATCAAAGACATGCAGAAACTTCATATCAACTAGCACTCTGCTACGGCTGTGGCAATGTAGTCCCACAAAGTGGCAGACTCCAAATATCAAGGAGACAGGGAAGACAATTGGGGCTCAATACAAGTCCCCCTGAGTATGTAACCTCTGAGTTGTGAGCTAAGCATTGTCCCCCGACCCCACAACAAAAATTAATAATAATAACCTTCTCCCAGGAACAAGACCTATTGGATGAAAACAGCTTATGCCACAATCAAATACTCAAGAACATCAAATAGGATTAATAAAAAACAAAACCTGATTCAAAGTTCAGCAACTTCAAAGATATGCCCACAAAGATGAGAAAAAAACAGTGCAAAAATGTTGAAAAAAAAAAAGCCAGAGTGACTTATTTAATCCAAATAACCAAATTATGTTTCCAGTAAGGCCTATTATGACAGAGGTAGAATTCAGAATGTGGATAGAAATTAACTTTATAAAGCTATAAAAGTAAGTTGCAAGCGAATACAAAGAAGGGGAAAATGTAGAAACTGACAGATAAAACAGCCAGTCTGGAGGAAAATATGGCCAACGTGATAGAGCTAAAAAACACAATACAGAAACTTTATAATTTACTCACAAATAATTGCAGAACAGGCCAAGCAGAGGAAAGAATCTCAGACTTTCAGTACTGGCTTTCTGAAATAAGGCAGATAAGAATAATAATAAAAAAAAATGAATGAAACCTATGAGAAATATTTAATCTTGTAAAGAAACCAAATATATGATTTAAGAAAGTGTCTGAAAATGTTGGAGAGAATGAAAACAACTTGAATACATATTTCAGAATATCACCCATGAGAACTTTCCCACCTAGATAGCGAGGCAAATATTCAAATACACAAAATGTAGAGAACCTCAGTAAGATATCCCATGAGAAGGTCATTTGCAATACAGATAATCATGAGATTCTACAAGGTCAAATTGAATGAAAAACAAATTATTAAAGGCAGCTAGGGACAAAGGCCAGGTCAACTCTAAAAAACCAAGAAGACCTAATACACATCTACAGAACTCCCCACCCCAAGTCAACAGAATATACACTCTTCTCAGCCCCACATCACACTTATCCCAAAATTGACCACATTTTGGAAGTAAAGCATTCCTCAGCAAATGTAAAAGAACAGAAATTATAACAAACTGTCTCTCAGACCACAGTGCAATGAAACTAAAACTCAGGATAAAGAAACTCACTCAAAATCACTCAACTACATGGAAACTGAACAACTTACACTTGAATGACTACTGGGTACATAAGGAAATGAAGGCAGAAATAAAGGTGTTTCTCGTTCAGTTCATTTTGTTCTTTGAAACCAATGAGAACAAAGACACAACATACCAGAATCTCTGGGACGCATTGAAAGCAGTGTGTAGAGGGAAATTTATAGCACTAAATGCCCACAAGAGAAAGCAGGAAAGATCTAAAACTGACACCCTAAAATCACAATTAAAAGAACTGAAGAAGCAAGAGAAAACAAATTGAAAAGCTAGCAGGAGGCAAGAAATAACTAAGATCAGAGTGAAACTGAAGGAGATAGAGATGCAAAAAGCCCTTCAAAAAATCAATGAATCCAGGAGCTGTTTTTTCGAAAAGATCAAAAAATTGATAGACCACTAAGAAGACTACTAAAGAAGAAAAGGGAGAAGAATCAAACAGATGCAATAAAAAAATGATAAAAGGGATATCACCACTGATCCCACAGAAATACGAACTACCGTCAGAAAATACTATAAACACCTCTACACAAATAAACTAGAAAATCTAGAAGAAATGGATAAATTCCTAAACAAATACACCCTCCGAAGAATAAATCAGGAAGAAGTTGAATCCCTGAATAGACCAATAACAGGCTCTGAAATTCAGGCAATAATTAATAGCCTATCAACCAAAAAAAGTCCAGGACCATAGGCAATCACAGCCAAATTCTCCCAGAGTTACAAGGAGGAGCTGGTATTATTCCTTCTGAAATTAGTCCAATGAATATAAAAAGAGGTAATCCTCCCTAACTCATTATGTGAGGCCAGCATCATCCTCATTCCAAACCCTGGCAGAGAAGCAACAACAAAGGGAATTTTAGGCCAATATCCCTGATGAATATTGATGTAAAATCCTTAATAAAATACTGGTAAACCGAATCCAGCAACACATCAAAAAGCTTATCCACCATAAGCAAGTGGGCTTCATCCCTGGGATGCAAGCCTGGTTCAACATATGCAAATCAATAAATGTAATCCAGCACATAAACAGAACCAAACCCAAAATCCACATGATTATCTCAATAGATGCAGAAAAGGCCTTTGACAAAATTCAGCAGCCCTTCATGCTGAAAACTCTCAATAAATTAGGTATTGATGGGACATATCTCAAAATTATAAGAGCTATTTATGACAAACCCACAGCCAATATCATACTGAATGGGCAAAAATTGGAAGCATTCCCTTCGAAAATTGGCACAAGACAGGGATGCCCTCTCTGATCACTCCCATTCAACATAGGGTTTGAAGTTCTGGCAAGGGCAATCAGGCAGGAGAAAGAAATAAAGGGTATTCAATTAGGGAAAGAGGAAGACAAATTGTTCCTGTTTGCAGATGACATGATTGTGTGTCTAAAAAACCCCATCGTCTCACCCCAAAATCTCCTTAAGCTGATAAGCAACTTTAGCAAAGTCTCAGGATAAGACTTGTGCAAAAATCAATGTGGAAATATCACAAGCATTCTTATACACCAATAACAGAGTCACATCATGAGTGGACTCCCATTCACAATTGCTTCAAAGAGAATAAAATATGTAGGAATCCAACTTACAAGGGATGTGAAGGACCTGTTCAAGGAGAACTACAAACCACTGCTCAATGAAATAAAAGAGGAAACAAATAGAAGAACATTTCATGCTCATGGATAGGAAGAACCAATATCATGAAAATAGCCATTCTGCCCAAGGTAATTTATAGATTCAATGCCATCCCCATCAAGCTAGCAATGAGTTTCTTCACAGAATTGGAAAAAAACTACTTTAAAGTTCATATGGAACCAAAAAAGAGCCTGCATTGTCAAGTCAATCCTAAGCCAAAAGAACACATTATTTTCAATAGCTAACAAAATATTTTCCTAGATGGACCACGTGTGACACCACAAAAGAAGACTTAACATTTTTTAAGTTAAAATTTTCAATTATTTATAGCCCAAAGGAATAAAACTAGAAATTGGTAACAGAAAAAAAAGTTTTGTTGTTGTTGTTTGTTTCTTTCTTTCTGAGATGGGGTATTGCTCTGTCCCTAGGCTGGAGTGCAGTGTCACAGTGATGGCTAACTGCAACCTCCAACTCCTGGGTTCAAGCGATTCCGTGGACTCACCCTTTCTAGTAGCTGGGAATATAGGTGCACAAACCGCCATGATTCCTGAGTAGCTGAGAATACAGTCATGTAGGAAGACTCCCTGAAACTATTGCTACAGAATAAAAGATGAAATACTCCTGATTATTGTAAATACAAAATTGCATGCAAAAGCAGATGTTCATACCTCTGGGAATGGAATGCGACCCTTGTGGAGAGCCTATAAATGGATACATGGGGGATGCTTGTCTATATGGATAAGATAGGGCTACCAATGCCCACATCTTGCCATGGCTCTTCTAGGCCTCTTTAGGGTTAAGGTATACTCCCTTCTGAGAATTTCTGGTCTAACCAGTTGTCTAGCTTCACATCCTGTTTCTATGGATTGTTTATAACCAGCTTTTGCTGCAACTGTTACTGCTGATTAATATTTTGCTAATCACAGGTTATGGAAAGACTGTGTTTCTGTTTTAAGGCTCTGTTATAAATTACTGATGCACACACTATATTGTAAATTCTTATCTCTGTATACTGTACTCCTGCATACAGATGTTATGTTAAAGAATTACTTCATCCCCATGCGACCATCTCACCTCATAATCAAATGACCCTAAATCCCTCACTAACCTACCCCCACCCTCACTAAACTTAATAATAAATGCTGGTATATCCAGTGCATTGTTTACACCGTGGGACCAGAAGGCAGTGACCCCCCTGGACCCAGCTTTCACTACCTTGTGTGTGTCTATTATTTCTCAACCTGCTGATCTGCCTGGGAACAAAGAGAGAGCCCCATTGCATTGTGGGCTGCTGGCAAGATCCTGCAATATGGTCACACAAACAACCATAAATTACAATTTTTTTTTTATTTTTTAGTAGAGACGTGGTTTCTTCAGGTTGTCCAGGATGGCCTCAGCATCCTGACCTCTGCATGCACCCTCCTCAGCATCCCAAAGTACTGAGATTACTGGCATGAGCCATCATGCCTGGCCAACAACATATTTTGAGCATGTTCCTTTTAAGGGTTTGAAGATATAATATTATGATGTGTCCATGCTGCTTAGTGTAACCCACATATAAAACACACCCGTTTTAAATTTTAAATTTGAATTTTCCAATAATAGAAAAATAATCACAAAATTACATAAGACCTTGAGACCACAACAAGCTTTAAAAAGCAGAAAAATATTAGAAGCATTACACATAACAAATTTCAAACACACACAAAGTACTACAGTAATCAAAGCACTTTGATACTGGTATAAAGGTAGAATACCAAAAGTAATGAAATAGAATGCAACACAGACATATATTCTTGAATAAAGGGGAGAGACATACCACCTAGCTTTTACAATCAGCCATATGTCACAATTCCTATGGGCTTAGGACCCAGACAGGAGAGAAGAATTACATTACCTAGATGCTACTTTCAGTGATATTTCAAAATGTTCTCTGGAAGCAGGGCATAGGCAGCAGAGACAAGTCACCTAGCTGATAGAACCAGATACATGTGATATATCCCCTGTTAAAAAGGCCCAGGCAGGAGAGGCATGTTATTATGATCCTGACCTAGTGATATGTAACAATGCACTCATCACAATCTCACGTGTGTGCTGGACCAACGAATGACACTCTCAAAAACATCCAAGGGCCTTAAAAATCCTGCATGAGATGTTCAAACTTCTCTGAGGCCTGTGTGCTCATATGGACTCACAATCTTACATATTGCCTTAAACCGAGTTACGACGCTCAACATGTCTCCTATAGGCAGGGTTAAAAGAGAAGACCCATTTTATTTTATTTTTACTTATTTATTTAGGATTTTTTTTTTTTTTGAGATGGAATCTCACTCTGTCACTTAGGCTGTAGTGCAATGATACTATCTGGGCTCACTGCAACCTCCACCTCCTGGGTTCAAGTGATTCTCCTGCCTCAGCCTCCCAGGTAACTGGGACAAGGGGCAACTGCCACCAAGTCTGGCTAATTTTTTTGTAGTTTTTAGAGAAGGGCTTTCACCATATTAGCCAGGATGGTCTCGATTTGCTCACCTCATGATCCACCTGACTGTACCTCCCAAAGTGCTGGGATTACAGGTGTGAGCCACCATGCCTGGCCAGGAACACCCATTATTATGCCTGTGGTCTCTGTTCAGAAATAAGTCACCGTGACACCTGTGTCCAGATCCACATAGAAAAGTCCCAATTCCAACTTTGTGATGTATTCCTTGGTTAGACTCAGAACTTCTACACTGGGCAGTGTAAACGTGGGATGGTGACAATTTTTAATTTCATCTGGGTGTGTAAATGAGAGCCCCAATCTGAACTTTTTGCTGGGCCCTGTTATAAAATTCCCTACCACCAGAGTTTTCGCAATATAATTTAATGTTGTAAACTTCTGTGAACTTGGAAAAAATATGCAACCCAGGACCTTACCTATTGCCCTAAGGATAACACTGAGAGGTGAAATATATTTTTATTGGCTGAATCTCAGTCTAAGTTTGATCATCATGCCTGTGAACTGAAGAAAATTGTATGTCATAATCCCATATATGAGCAAAAAACTGGGCATAAGGATAACATCACTTAGATACTGTGCCAGGCAATAAGTAACAATGCCTTTTCTAGGCATGGTATAAGAAATTGGGTCAAATTAACTGGGTGCTGGACCCATCAATATGACACCATCCCACATATGGAAAAAAAACATGCCAAAATATGAGAGCCAAAACAGCTACATAATGGGCTACCGTTGTCAAAATACCTTCATTGGCTGAAGCACGGGCAGGAGAGTCACATCATAAGGTTGCTGGGCCCAGCAATATGTGTTATGTCATAATTTTCTCTTTATGCAGAACCAAGGTTGTAGAGTGACATCATCTGGGTTATAGGCCCTGCAATATTTCAAAATTCCTTTTATTGTGGCATAATTCAGGAAAAAAATGGAGAGTCACATATTGTGAGTGCTGGGCTCAGTAATGTTCCAAAATCCTCCTATTTTGAAGGCCCAGACAGAAAAAGAGAGTCACAGCACTGAAGTCATGGGCTCAAAGATATGTCACAATATCCCTAGCATGCAGGGTTCAGGCAGAAAAAGACAGAGATATTACTTACGTGCTTCCCATGGAATACATCATAAGGTAACACGTGGTCAGAACCCAGCAGAAGAGCCATATTACTTGGCTGCTGGGTCCTGAGATATGGCACAAGACTCTCTTAAAACAGCCCCCAGCAGAGAAAGTTACACCACCTAGGTGCAGTTTCTCTGCGTATGCCAAAATATCCCATGTGGGTAAGGCCCAAATATGGGATCACTTCGCTTGGGAGATGGGTCCAGAGATATGTCACAATGTCCTCTACGAAGCATAGCCCTGGCAAAGGAGTACCACTACTTGTGTGCCTGACCAAGAAATATTTCACTCTCAAGGTTGGCAGGGCCTAAGCAGGAGAGCCACATCTCCTAGTTGATAGATCCAGAGATATGTCATAATGTCCTCCTTTGGTCATGGCTCTGGCAAAAGAGTATTCTTGCCTGCAGACCTGGCCTTCCAATATGTCACTATCCTTTCTTTGTGTACAGCCCATTCCAGAGAAAAGAGTTACAACACGAGTGATGTGGACACAGAAATATGTCACAATAATTTGCATGGGCATGGCACATGCAAGAATGTAACATCATCTGGATGCTAGATCCAGGGATATATTACAATCCTTACTGAGAGAAGGATCCAGGCAGGAGAGTCATATCACCTAGAGTTTGGCCTAAACAGATATCACAATCCTGGGTTAGAAACATTCTGGAGAGTCAAATTACACAGGAGCCTGGCAAAAATTTTTATCACAATCACATTTTCAGAAAATTCCAAAGGTGAGATTTAAAATACCACCCATCTTGCTTTTATATGTGACAGTTGGCTTAATCCATGTGAGATAATGACAGTCCTTACTCACAGCTCAGTGCACATACAGGACTCACAATTTCACCTGTGTGCTGAGCCTTGCTTTGATGCTGTCTGAATCTAAAGACTGGGTAAAATATGTGTGAATGTTGTAATCTTTTGTGACCTTTGCAGAAGAAGGTGATTCAAGACATCATGCATGTCCCTAAAGTTACTTATGAGTCAAAATATTCTCTATTGGCTGAGTTCACATATGAGAGTCATTATCATTCCTGTGAGCTGTGCCTAGGTATATGTTACAATTCCCTCTGTGGTTATGAAGCAGATGGAACAGCCACATCACCTGAATTCTGGGCTAGAAATATTGCCACATTCTCTTAGTGGGCAGGATACTGTCAGAAATTTTACATAACTTGTGTTCTAGATCCACCTCTCTGGTAAAATGTCCTTTGTGGGCAATGTCCAGGCAGGAGGGGAGAGTCATATAACCTAAATGTTGGGCCCTAACATATGTCAGAATGCCTCCTGTTGGCAGGGTCCAAGTAAGAAATTCATATCATTTGGACGTAGTGTTTAGAAAAGCTACAATTACCAAAAAAAGCAGGATCCAGGCAGGAGGGGAAAGGCATGTATCCTAGAATATGGGTCCAGAAATATGTTATGATTCCCTCCTGGTGACTTTGTTAAGATAGCAAAGGCCAATCACTAATATATGTGTCACAGCTACTTGTCAAAATCTCATTTATGGGCTATACCTAGCCAGAAATATTAAGTCATTCAGGATCTGGGCAAAAGTACATGTCACAGTTACTCTTGTGGAAAGGTTAAGAATAAGAGTCAGCTTCCTGCCCCTCTCCTGAAGCCAGGCATAGGAGTTGTTATTAGACTTCTGTTATTATCTCTGGCATATTGCACAATATCAACTGACCATAGAGAAGGCAAGAAAGTCACATCACCTATGTGGTGGTGGCTCCAGTGAGATGTCACAATTCACCTTTGAAGGGCAGGACCCTGGCATAAAAGTCACATCACTTGTATGCTGATTGCAGTGACATATCCAAACTGCCTCTGTAGGCAGGACTGTAGCAAGAGAGGAGACTTATTTACCTAAGCAATTTGCCTAGATATATCTCACAACGTCTTCGATGTGCAGTACCAATGCTGGAGAGTGCCCTCACATTTTTTCTGGGACTAGCAATGTGTCACAATCTCCCTGTGGTCAGGGCCCAAGCAAAAGTGAAGAAACATCACTTAGGTGCTGAGACAAGTGATATGTTACATCACTTCCTGTTGGCA
This sequence comes from Homo sapiens, assembly GCF_000001405.40. NCBI lineage: Eukaryota > Metazoa > Chordata > Mammalia > Primates > Hominidae > Homo > Homo sapiens. The sequence goes on along the minus strand of NC_000024.10, from coordinate 8,470,477 downwards.
GAACCCAAAAGTGAGAATCATGTCACCTGTGTGCACTACCCAGTTATGTGTCACAGTACACTGTAAGTGAAGAGCCAAGGCAGTAGAAGGAATTCACATCACTTACATGATGGGCCTAGATATAAAACACAATTCTCTTTATAAGCAGGTTTCAAGCAGATATTTCACATCACCTGGGTGATGTTCTTAATGATATATAAAATTGCCTTTTGTAGGCAGAACCATGAAATGTGTAATATATTGCTAGGTTGCTTGTTCACAACACAATTTCTTCTATGGTCTCGTCCTAGAACAAACAGTCAAATTATTCATTTGCAGGGCAAAGTTACCTGTCCTAATCACACTCTCAGAAATGTTTGGGAATAAGTTTCACATCGCACACAAGTCCTGGTTTTGTGTATGTGGAGTCAACACTTTCTATGAGTTTGGTCAAAGTATTTGAGTCACAGTCACAACAATGGGCAAGACCCATGAATAAGAGGCCCAATCCCACTTGAAGATTGTGTTCCAGTAGGGTAGTCACAGCCTCATGGGTATGCTGAATCATACATCACCAAAAGACCCATGAAACTTTCTACCACCAAACAGTTTATACAATATGGGTTAGTGTTTTAACCTTCTATGAGCTTGGTAAAAATATGCAACCTAGGACATTACCTATTCCCCTAAGACTAACATTGCGAAGCAAAATGTATCCTATTGGCTGAATCCAAGTATAAGTTTGATCATCATGCCTGTGAACTGAAGAAAGGTATATGTCATAATCTCATAAGTGGACAACAAACTAGGCAAGAGGGTAACATCACTTAGTTACTGTGCCATACATTACATCACAATACCTTCTCTAGATATAGTATAAGAAATTGGATCACATTAATCGGGTGCTGACCCAACAATATGACACCATGCCAGATGTGGGAAAAAACCCAGCCAAGTTGTGATAGCCAAAACACCTACATAATGAGCCCAAGATATGTCAAAATACCTTTATTGGCTCAAACACGGGCAAGAGAGTCACATCATAGGGGTGATGGGCCTAGCAATATGCAATATGTCATAATTTCCTCTTTATTCAGAACCAAGACAGAAGAATGACATCTGGGATATGGGCCCTGCAAAAGGTCAAAATTCCTTTTCTGTGGAAACGGTTCAATAAAAGAGGAGAGTGACATATCCTGAGTGCTAGGCTCAGCAACGTATGAAAATCCTCCTACTGTGAAGGCCCAGACAGAAAAAGAGAGTCACATCAGTTAGGTCATGGTCTCAGAGATATCTTCAAATGTCTCCAGTAGGCAGGGCTCAGGTAGATGAGGAGAGTCATATCACCTAGGTGCTTCCTTTGGAATATGTCACAAGGTAACATGTGGGCAGACGCCAGGCAAAAGAGCCACATTACTTGGGTGCTGAGTTCGGAGATATGTCACAGGCTCTCTTAGGACACCACCCAAATTAGAGATTTATGTCATGAAGGTGTATGTTCTCTGCTTATGCCACAATGCTTCATGTGGCGTGGCCCAAGAAGAGAGTCACTTCACCTAAGTGATATATAGGCCCAGAGATATGTCAGTCAAAAAGTCATCTATACAGCATAACTCTGGCAAGAGAGACCCATCAACTGTGTGCCTGGATTAGAAACATGTCAATCTCCAGGTTGGCAGGGCCCAAGCAGGAGAGCCACATTGCCTAGGTGATAGACCCAGAGATTTATCAAAATGTCCTCCTTTGAGCATGGCTCTGGCAACAGGGTACCATCACCTGTGTGCCTGGCCTTTGATTATGTCACTATCCTTTCTTTCTACAGGGCGTATTTCAGAGATATTAGCTACATCACCCATGAGATGGACACAAAAAAATTTTACAATGATTTTGGCGCAGGTGACACTGGCAAGATTGTAACATCATGTGGATGTCAGATCCAGTGACATATCACAACACTTACTTACACAAGGGCCCAGGCAGCAGAGTCACCTCACTTTGAGGTTGGCGTAGGTAGATATCATGATCTTATATATGGCTAGAACAAGTGTGGAGAGTCAAATTACTCATGTGCTTGGCAATTAATATCACAATCACACTGTCAGAAAATGCCAAAGATGAGATTTACAATACCACACATGTCTTGTTTTCTGGTTGATATTTGGCTTCATCTGTGTAACATGATGACAGTTCATACTGTCACCTGGGTGTGCACACAAGACTCACAATTTCACCTGTGTCTTGAGTTCTGCTTTTACTCTGTCTGTATAACTCAAAGACTTTGTATAATATGTATGAGTGTTGTAATCTTTTGTAACCTTTGTACAAGAAGGTAATTTAGGACATCAAGCAAGTCCATAAACCTAGTTATGAATCAAAATAACCTCTATTGGCTGAGTCCACATATGAGAGCTATTATCATGCCTGTGAGCCATTCCTAGTTATATGTTACAATTCCCTCTCCAGTTTTGAAGCAGGCAGAACTGTCACATCACCTAAATGCTGGGCCAGAAATTTTCCCGTAATCTTTTTGTAGGCAAGGTTCTGTCAGAAATGTCACTTGACCTCTACACTAGGTCCAGCTCTGTGGCACAATGTCCCTGTTGGCAGTGTCCAGGCAGGAGAGGACTGTCATATTACCTAAATGATGGGTCCCAAAACATGAAACAATGCCTCCTGTTAACAGGGCACAGGCAAGAGAGTCATATCATTTGGATGCCACGTTTAGAAATGCTTCAATTACCAGAAGAATTAGAGTCCAGGCAGGAGTGGAGAGTCATGTAACCTAGAAAATTACTCCAGAAATATGTTACAAGCCTCATGAGGACACTGTTAAGTTAGCAAGCTCAAATCACCCAGGTGCTTGCCCCAGGTATTTGTCAAAATCTCTTTTTTGGGCTATACCTAGGCAGAATTATTAAATCACTCAGGAAATGGACAAAGGTACATGTCACAATTACACTCATGGAAAGGTTTAGTAATAAGAGTCACCACCCGGCACTTGTGCAGGATGTTAGCATATTTGTTGTTAATAGACTTTTCTTATGGTCTCAGGTATATGACATAATATCACCTGTGGCCAGAAAGAGGGTAAGAAAGTCACATAACCTACATGGGTATGGGTCCAGGAGATGTCACAAACCACCTTGTGGGCCAAACCCTGGAAGAAGAGTCACATTACCTGGATGTCGGTTTTAGTGATATATCTAAACCCCCTCTGTGTGTGGGACTTCAGCAAGAGAGAAGGCTTACTTCACCTAGGCAATTGAGCTAGATACAACTCACAGTGTCTGTAATGTTCAGTACCAAGGCAGGAGAGTGAACTCAACTTTCTGCTGGCTCAAGCAATATCTCAGAATATCTCTGTGGTCAGGACCCAGGCAAAAGCAAGAAAACATCACCTAGATGCTGAGCCAAGTGACATGTTACAAGCTTCCTTTAAGCAGTAACAAAAACATCACCTGGGTGCAGTTTCCAATTATGTGTCACAATTCATGTAAGTTCAGGGCCAAGGCAGTAGAAGGGAATGACATCACTTAGGTGATGAACCTAGATATAAGACACACTTTTCTTTGTAGGCAGGTTCCAGGCAGATAATTCACAACACCTGGTTGATGGTCCCAGTAATTTATAAAGTATCCTTTGTAGGCAGAGAAGAGGAATGTGTCATCTATTGCTTAGGTGTTTGTTCCACATAGGGCACAATTTTATCTGTGGTCTGGGCCTAGAAAATGAGTCCAATTATTCCTGTGCTGGGAAATTACACTCTCGGAAATAAGTTTCACATCCCACACAATTGTTGGATTCGTGTATGTGAGTCAACCCTTTCTATAAGTTGGGTCAAAGTAGAGGAGTCCCATCCTCAACAATGGACAAGATCCATGTATAAGAGCCCCGATTTCACTTTAAGATTGTTTTCAGGAAAGGAGTCACAGCCCCAGAAGTGTGATGAATCATGGTTCAAATGTTACCAAATCACTTGTGAATCAAAGCCATGTATGAAAGTAATTATTTCAAACTTTGACTGCTTTTTATGTGTGAGATTTAGTACCTCATGTTTAACTCTCTTCATGTGTGATGACAATCATATCAGCTAAGTGGGCATACAAGGGTCACATTCTCATGTCGTTGATGGATTGTGTTATGAAACTCTTTCTACCATTGAGATTTATATGATATACTTTAGAGTTATAATTTTTCTAAAAATTTATAATTGTGAATAACCCAGGACTTTACCCATGGCTGTGAGACTGGTTATGAAAGTCAAAATATCTCTACTGACTAGGTCCAGTAATAAGACTTTTATTGCACATGTTTACTTAACCCTGGTATATGTCACAATTTCTGCTGTGAGCAGAGACAAGGCAGGAGAGGCTCATCACCTTGGTGCTAATCCAATGATACAGTATAATCTCATTTGTAGTCTGAGCCTAGTCAGAAGAGTCACATCACATAGATAAAGCCTCAAATAGTTAAGTCACCAAGCCCACTATAGATAGGGTAGAAGAAAGAGAGGAGAGTCCACTGGGTGCTGTGGCTCTCACCTGTAATTGCATCATTTTGGGAAGCAAAGGCAGGCAGATCATGAAGTCAAGAGTTTGAGACCAGCCTGGCCAATATAGTAAAACACAGTCTTTACTAAAAAAGAAAATTAGCCAGGCCTGGTGGCAAGTGCCTGTAATGCCAACTACTCAGGAACCTGATAAATGAGAATCACATGACCCCTAAAGGCGGAGGTTGAAGTATGCTGTCATTGTATCTCTTCACTCCAGCCCGAGCAACAGTGCAAGACTCTGTCTCAAAACAAAAACAAAGACAGAAGAATAAAGAAGAAGGAGGAGAAGAAGAAGAAGAAGAAGAAGAAGAAGAAGAAGAAGAAGAAGAAGAAGAAGAAGAAGAAGAAGAAGAAGAAGAAGTAGGAGAAGGAGAAGGAGAAGGAGAAGGAGAAGAAGAAGGAGAAGGAGGAGGAGAAGAAGAAGAAGAAGAAGAAGAAGAAGAAGAAGAAGAAGAAGAAGAAGAAGAAGAAGAAGAAGAAGAAGAAGAAGAAGAAGAAGAAGAAGAAAGAAGAAGAAGAAGGTCACTTAACCTAGGTGCTGGGCTCTGCAATATGTAATCACCACCTCTCTGAGCAGAGTCTAGAATATGAAGGAGAGTTACATTATTTAGGTTTTGAAGTCAGCGGTATGTCACAATTTCTTTGGTGAGCAGGATGTGGCAGGAGAGGAGAGATATATTACCTAAATGTTATGCCAAACAATATTTCACAATGCCTGCTGGGGGCATGACACAAGGAGAAGAGACAAATCACCTAGCTTATAGGCCAAGAGATATGTGATAATAGCCCCTGTTGCCAGGTCCAGGCAGAAGAGTCACATTTTTATGATTCTAACCCAGCAATATGGAGCAATGCACCCGTGAAAAGAAATTTAATCCAAAATGTCTCAACACCTGGATACTAGGCCTAGTAAGATACCAAATCTCCTTGTCTTTGAGAGTAACCCTACTAACTGTGATCTGGGTGTGTATGAGATTCACAGTCTCCTGTGTTTCCTGGACCATTGTATAACACTTTACCTACATTTGAAGGCTTTATACAGCATGCATGAGAGTTGCAAACCACTGTGAGACTTACATGTTCCTATAGATTCACAATCTTACGTATATATTTCCCTAAAACAAGGTGTAATAGTCAACATTTCTTCTGTAAGCTGGGGTCAGGAATGAGACCCATTTTTATGTTTGTGAGCTGGATCCATTAATGACTCACCCTCTCACTTGTGGTCAGATCCACATATAAAAGTAACAGCTCCAATGTTGTACTGCATTCACTTGTTAGACTCAGGACCCTAACAGTGGGCTTTGGACATATAGGGTGGTGACAACATCTGCTTTCACCTGGGTGTGTAATTGAGAGTCCAAGTCTGAACTTTTGGTGGACTCTGTCATGAAACTCTCTGTATAACTGAAGGAGATGATACATTATGAGTGAATGTTGTAAAGGTCTTTGAGCTTGGTATAAATATGCAACCCAGGACCTTACCTATTTCCCTAGGCCTAGCGATGAAAGGCAAAATATCTCCTATTGGCTAAATTCAAATATAAGTTTGTCAATCATGCCTGTAAACTGAAGTAAAGTGTATATCATAGTCCCATTTGTGGGCAAAAAAATCTATGCCACAGGGTAATATCACTTAGGTGCTGTGACAAGCAACATGTCACAATACCCTCTCTAGGCAGGGTGTAGGAATTAGAGTCATATTTATTGGGTGCTGAACTCAGCAATACAGCACAATCCCACATGTGGAAGAATAAAAAGCCAAAAAGTGAGAGTCAAAACACCTACATAGTGGGCCCAGAGTATGTCAAAATACCTTCTGGTGTTCTGGCATCCTCATGAAAGTCACATCATCAGGGTTCTGGGCCAAGCATTATGCCATAATATTCTGTATATAGATGACCCAGGTAAAAGAGTAACATTATCTAGGTGTTGGACTCTGCAATATGTCAAAATATCTGTTTATGGCCATGGTTCAAGAGAAAAATGAGAGTGAAATAACCTGAGTCCTGGGCTCAGCAATATATCACCATCTCCCCCATTGTAAAGACCAGGTAGAAGAAGAGAGTCAATTCACTGAGATCATGGCCTCAGAGATATATCCCACTGTCCCCAGTAGTCAGGGCCCAGAAAGAAAAGGAGAGTCATATCACCCAGCTGCTTCCTTCATTATGCATCCCAATCTAAGAAGTGGGCAGAAAACAGGCAGAAGAGTCACACTATCTGGGTACTGCCTCAAGTGATATGTCACCATGCCCAATGAAGAGAGGTTTAAAGAAGAAAAAAAAAAGGAAGTCACACCATTGGGGGCTGGGATCAGTAAAGTATAATAATTACCTCACTTTGCAGGGTCCAGGAAAACAAAAAAGAGTCATGTCACTTAGGTTTTGCACTCAGTGGTATATCAAAATTTTTTCAGTGGGCAGGATCCAGGCAGGAGTGATAATTCACATTACCTAGATGTTGTATCTATCAATATGTCACAGTGTCCTGTTTGGGCAGGGCACTGGCTGGAGAGATAAATCACCTAGCCAATAGGCCTGGAGATAAATGAGAATATTCTCTGTTTGCAGGACTCAGACAGAAGAGTAACTGTATCAATATTCTGACCAGTGATATTTAGCAAAGCCCTTACGGAAACGAATTTTAACCAAAAAGTCAACATTGGTTTACTTTGCCAAGGGAGGTAACACAATCACCTCATTATTAAGGGTGACACCATTAACTGTTATAGAGTTGTGTATGATAGTCACAATCTCACGTGTATGCTGTTTGTTGCCTGGCACTCTTTACAACACCTGAGATGTTTATACAACATACATCAGAGTTGCAAAACTCTCTGAGGCCTACATGCTTGTAGGGACTCAGGACCTTACATATTGCCCTAAACTCAGGTATGACAGTCAACATCTCTCCTATATGCTGGTTTCAGGGATGAGACCACTATTATGTCTGTGAGCTGGGTCCAGAAATTACTCACCATTCTGCCCGTGACCAGATTCGTTTAGGAAAGTCACAATGCCAACTTAGTTCTGTATTGACTTTTTAGACTCAGGACCTCAGCAATGTTTTGTAAATGTAGGATGGTAACAACTCTTACTTTCAACTGAGTATCTAGATGAAAGTCACAATTTTAACTTTTTCAGACCCCACTATGAACCTTTCTGTACCACACAAGAAGTTTTTATGATATGAGTTAATGTTGTAAGCTTCTGTGAGATTTGTACAAATATACAATGGAGGACCTTGCCTATTGACAACAACCTAGTGGTGAGAGGCAACATATCTCCTATTGGCTGAATCCAAATATAGGCTTGATCAACATGTCTTTGAACTGAAGACAGGTATATGTCATAATCCCATTTGTGGGCAAAAAACTAGGCTGAAGATTAACATCACTTAGGTGCTGTGCCAAGCAATATGCCATAGTGCTCTATTTAGGCAGGACCTAGGAAATAGGGTTACATTAACAGACGGCAGGAGAAAGCAAAGCGATACATCCACACATGGAAGAAACCCAGTAAAGTGATGAGAGCCAAAAGAACCTGCAGAATAAACAATGGATACGTCAAAATTCCTTCTGTGGCTCTGGCATAGGCAGAAGAGTCACATCATTAGGGAGCTGGGTGCAGCTATATGCTATAATTTTCTCTTTATGTATGATCTATGCGGTGTAGTAACAACATGTGGTGCTGGGCCCTGAAATATAACAAAAGTCCATTTCATGGGCATTATTCAGCAACAAGATGAGCGTCACATTACCTAAGTACTTTACTCATCAATATGTCACAATCCTCCTACTGTAAAGGCCCAGAGAGAAGTAGAGACTCACATCAATTAGGTCCTGGGCTCAGAGATATGGCCCAATGTCACCAGTAGCCAAGGTTCAGGCAGAAAAAGGAAGTCATATTACACAGGTGTTTCTTTTGGTATATATCACAAATTAATATGTGGGTGGAAACCAGACTCAAGAGCCATGTCAACTGGTCCTGGGTCCTGAGATGAAAACAAGTCCTTCTTAGAATAGGACCCAGGCAAAATACTTACATCACCTAGGTGCAGGTTCCACCCTTATATCACAGAGCTACATTGGACAGGGCCAAGCAGGGAGTAACATCACCTAGGTGATAGGCTCAGAGATATGTCACAAAAACTTCTTTAAAGCATAGCCCTGGCAAAAGAGTACAGTTACCTTTGTGCCCGGCCTGGCAATGTATCATTATTCAAGTGGGCAGGACCCAAGAAGAGCCATATCACCTACATGATAGACTTCTGATAGGTCAAAATGCCCTCTTTTGGGCATGGCCCTGGCGTCCTCTTCTAAGTGATGGATACAGTGATACATCACAATGATGTCTGTGGGAGGCAAGAATGTAACATCACCTGGGTGCTAGATCCAGTGATGTCATAATTCTTATTGAGAGCAGAGCCCAGGCAGAGGAGTCACATCACTTCAAAATGGGCCCAGATAGATATCAAAATTCCATAAATAGGCTGAAAACAATCTGAAGAGTGAAATCACACAGGTGTTTGGGAAAGATTTATATCATATTCACAATGGAATTAAATTCTAAGGATTAGATTTACAATACCACACATGTCCTCTTTTTATGTAGGACAGTTGCTTTCATTCCTCTTTGATGTTGAAAGTCCTTGCTGTTATTTAGTTTGCATATGAGACTCATAATTTTCTCTGTGTGCTAGGCATTATGACACTCTGTATCCAAGGGTGTTACAAAATACATGTGTTAGTTATAATTTTTTGTGGCTTTTTACCAAAAGAAGATCATTGACATCACTCATGTCCCAAAATCTTGTGACAAAAGTCAACTTTATCTTATTGGCTGGGTCTCCATATTAGACTCATGATCATGGCTGTTAGCTGTGCCTTGGTAAATGTCACCATTTCCTCTGTGCTTACTAAACAGACAGGACAATCACGTCACCTAAATTTTCATCCAGAATTATTCCAATATACTCTTTGAAAGCAAGACTCTAACAGAAAATTCACAAACTTTGCATGCTAGGCAAAGCTCCATGGCATAATGCCCCTTGTGGAGAATGTCCAGGAAGGAGAGTGGAGTCATATTACCTAAACCATGGCCCCAGAGATATGTCACAATGACTCCTGTTGAAAAGGGCCCAGGCAATAGAATTGTGTCATTTGAATTCAGTGCATAAAAATGCTACAGTCTGCACTGGAATCAGGTTCATGCAGGAGAGGAGAGACACAGAACCTAGAAGATGAATCCAGCAATATGTTATGATCCCTTTTGAAGACACAGTTTAGACACAAGAGTCAAATCATCAAGGTTTTGCCCAGACATAAGTCAAAATGTCAACTCAGCTATAACTAAGTCGGATTATTAAATCATTCAGGAGATTGGCAAACAAAAATGTCACAATAACACCTATAAAAAGTTTCAGGGATGAGAGTCACCATTCTGCACATCCTGGCTTCAGGTACAAGGGTCATTATCAGGCCTTTGATCTGGTCTCACATATATGGCACAATATAACCTGTGAACATGGAGAAAAAAGGAAATTTTTATCACCTGAGTGGATGCTGGCCTAGTTGAATGTCACAATCCTTGTTGTGGACAGACCTCTAGAAGAAGAGTCCCATCATCAGGATGCTAGTTTCAATCATATATCTAAACCCCTCTTGTGGGCAGGGCTTAAGCTGGAGAGGACACAAACCTCACCCGGGCAATTGGCCTGGGTATATGTCACAATGGCCCCTATATTTAGGACCAAGGCAGGAGAGTGAAATTACCTTGTGCTAGTTTCACCTATATGTCACCATCTCTCTGGTGGTCAGCGCTCAGTCAAGAGAGAAGAAACATCACCTAGGTGCTGAGCCACATGATATGTTACATAGTTTTTGTATTAGTACAACCTCCCCCCACCAAACGAAGGGTCACATCACATGGGTGCAGTACCCAGTTATGTGTAACAATGCACCAGAAGTTCAAGGCCAAGGCAGTAGAAGGAAGTCACATCACTTATATGATGGACCTTGATAAAAGCCACAATGCTGTCTGTAGGCAGGGTTCAGGCCAAGATTTTACATCAGCTGGGTGCTGCTTTCAGGGATATGTAAATTGCCCTTTGTCCTATTGCCAAAGAAGGTGCTATATATTGCATAGGTGATTGGCGCACATATGTCACAGCTTGAACTGTGCTCTGGGCCTAGAAAGGAGAGTCAAAACATTCAGATGCTGGTCAAAGTTATACTTTTTAATCACACACTCAAAAATGTTCAGAAATACATTTCACAGTCACACACAAGTACTGGCTTAGGGTGTGAGAGTCAACATCTCCTATGAGTTGGATCAAAGTACAGCAGTCACAATCTCAACAATGGGCAAGATGCATGCATAACAGCCCCAATCCCACTTGAAGATTGTGCTCCATTAATAGAGTCGAAGCACCACGGGTTTGCTGAATCGAGGTTCAAATGTCACCAAACCACCTGTGGATCAGATTCATGTATAAGAATTACAATTTTAAGATTTGACTGCTGATGTGTGTGAGACTTAGTACCTCATTTGTAGGCTCAGCTTATGTATGAGAATGAAAATTGTGTCAGCTGGGTATGCATCCAAGATTCAAAGTAGCACATGTTTGTTGGTGCCTGTCAGGAAACTCTTTGTACCACTCATGCTTTATGTGATATACCTGAGTAGCACACTTTTCTGTGAATTCTCATAGGTGGGAGTCTAGGACTTTACCCATGGCCATAAGACTAGCAATGAGACTCAAAATATCCCCCCTGGCTTGGACAATCTATGAAAGTTATTGTTGTGCATATGAACTGATTTCACAAATAAGTCCAATTTTACCTTTGGGCAGAGACCAGACAGAAGAGTCACATCATCTGGGTCCTTAGCCAGGCATACATTATAATCTCCTCTGTAGGCAGAACCCAGTCAGAAGGCTCATATCACCTGGGTACAATCTCCAATAATATGTCATCATGCCCACTGTATACATCGTTGAAAAAATAGTGGATAGTCACACCCCTAGGTGCCATGCTCAGCAATATGTTATAATTCCCTCTCATGACAGAGTACAGAACAAAGTTAGAGTCACATCACCTAGGTTTTATACTCATTGGTAGTCACAAATTGTTCAGTGGGCAGGATCCAGGCAGCAGAGGAGATTCACATTATCTAGATGCTATATCCAGCAATATGTCACAGTGTCCCCTGTGGATATGACATTGGGAGGAGAGACACATCACCTACCTGATAGGCCCAGAGATATGTGGTAATATCCCATGGTGCTGGGGTCCAAGCAAGAGTCATCTTTTTATCACTCTAACCCAGCGATGCCTCACAACGCACCCATGGTAAAGAATTTAAGCATGTCTGTAAAGTATTTTATTTCTCCTTCACCTATGAAGCTTAGTTTGGCTGGATCTGAAATTCTGGGTTGAAAATTCATTTCTTTAAGAATGTTAAATATTGGCCCCCACTCTCTTCTGGCTTGTAGAGTTTCTGCTGAGAGATCCGCTGTTAGTCTGATGGGCTTCCCTTTGTGGGTAACCCGACCTTTCTCTCTGGCTGCCCTTAACATTTTTTCCTTCATTTCAACTTTGGTGAATCTGACAATTATGTGTCTTGGAGTTGCTCTTCTGGAGGAGTATCTTTGTGGTGTTCTCTGTATTTCCTGAATTTGAATGTTGGCCTGCCTTTCTAGGTTGGGGAAGTTCTCCTGGATAATATCCTGCAGAGTGTTTTCCAACTTGGTTCCATTCTCCCCGTCACTTTCAGGTACACCAATCAGACGTAGAGTTGGTCTTTTCACATAGTCCCATATTTCTTGGAGGTTTTGCTCCTTTCTTTTTATTCTTTTTTCTCTAAACTTCCCTTCCTGCTTCATTTCATTCGTTTCATCTTCCATCATTGACATTCTTTCTTCCAGTTGATTGCATCGGCTCCTGAGGCTTCTGCATTCTTCACGCAGTTCTCGAGCCTTGGCTTTCAGCTTCACCAGCTCCTTTAAGGAGGTCTCTGCATTGGTTATTCTAGTTATACATTCATCTAAACAATGGATGTGTCAAAATACCTTCTGTGGCTCTGGCATAGGCAGAAGAGTCATATCATTAGGGAGCTGGGTGCAGCTATATGCTATAATTTTCTTTTTCTGTATGACCTATGCAGTATAGTAAAAACAGTGGATTTCTCAGCAGAAACTCTACAAGGCAGAAGAGAGTGGGGACCAATATTCAACATTTTTAAAGAAAAGAATTTTCAACCCAGAATTTCATATCCAGCCAAACTAAGCTTCATAAGTGAAGGAGAAATAAAATACTTTACAGACAAGCAAATGCTGAGAGATTTTGTCACCACCAGGCCTCCCCTAAAAGAGCTCCTGAAGGAAGCACTAAACATGGAAAGGAACAACCAGTACCAACCACTGCAAAATCATGCCAAATTGTAACGACATCAAGTCTGGGAAGAAACTGCATCAACTAACGAACAAAATAACCAGCTAACATCACAACGACAGGATCAATTCACACATAACAATACTAACTTTAAATGTAAAAGGACTAAATGCTCCAATTAAATGACACAGACAGGCAAATTGGACACAGAGTCAAGACCCATCAGTGTGCTGTATTCAGGAAACCCATCTCACATGCAGAGACACACAGGCTCAAAATAAAAGGATGGAGGAAGATCTACCAGCAAATGGAAACAAAAAAGGGCAGGGGTTGCAATCCTAGTCTCTGATAAAACAGACTTTAAACCAACAAAGATAAAAAGAGACAAAGAAGGCCATTACATAATGGTAAAGTCATCAATTCAACAAGAAGAGCTAACTATCCTAAATATATATGCACCCAATACAGGAGCACCCAGATTCACAAAGCAAGTCCTGAGTGATCTACAAACAGACTTAGACTCCCACACAATAATAATGGGAGACTTTAACACCCCACTGTCAACACCCCTCTGTTTAACACCTCACTGTGAACACCCCACTGTCAACACCCCACTGTCATCATCCCACTGTCAACATTAGACAGATACATTCTTTTCAACACCACACCACACCTATTCCAAAATTGACCACATAGTTGGAAGTGAAGCTCTCCTCAGCAAATGTAAAAGATCAGAAATTACAACAAACTATCTCTCAGACCACAGTGCAATCAAACTGGAAATCAGGATTAAGAAACTCACTCAAAACCGCCAAACTACATGGAAACTGAACAACCTGCTCCTGAATTACTACTGGGTAAATAATGAAATGAAGGCAGAAATAAAGATGTTCTTTGAAACCAACGAGAACAAAGACACAACATACAAGAATCTCTGGGACACATTCAAACCAGTATGTAGAGAGAAATTTATAGCACTAAATGCCCACAAGAGAAAGCAGGAAAGATCCAAAATTGACATCCTAACATCACAATTAAAAGAACTAGAGAAGCAAGAGCAAACACATTCAAAATCTAGCAGAAGGCAAGAAATAACTAAAATCAGAGCATAACTGAAGGAAACAGAGACACTAAAAACCCTTCAAAAAATTAATGAAACCAGGAGCTGGTTTTTTGAAAGGATCAACAAAATTGATAGACCGCTAGCAAGACTAATAAAGAAAAAAAGAGAGAAGAATCAAATAGACGCAATAAAAAATAATAAAGGGGATATCACCACCGATCCCACAGAAATACAAGCTACCACCAGAGAATACTACAAACACCTCTACGTAAATAAACTAGAAAATCTAGAAGAAATAGATAAATTTCTCGACACATACACCCTCCCAAGACTAAACCAGGAAGAAATTGAATCTCTGAATAGACCAATAACAGGATCTGAAATTTTGGCCATAATCAATAGCTTACCAACCAAAAAGAGTCCAGGACAGGACTGATTCACAGCCGAATTCTACCAGAGGTACAAGGAGGAAGTGGTACCATTCCTTCTGAAACTATTCCAATCAATAGAAAAAAAGGGAATCCTCTCTAACTCTTTTTATAAGGCCAGCATCATCCTGATACCAAAGCCAGGCAGAGACACAACCAAAAAAGAGAATTTTAGACCGATATCCTTGATGAACATTGATGCAAAAATCCTCAATAAAATACTGGCAAACCAAATCCAGCAGCACATCAAAACGCTTATCCACGATGATCAAGTGGGTTTCATCCCTGGGATGCAAGGCTGGTTCAACACATGCAAATCAATAAATGTAATCCAGCATATAAACAGAACCAAAGACAAAAACCACATGATTATCTCAATAGATGCAGAAAAGGTCTTTGACAAAATTCAACAATCTTCATGCTAAAAACTCTCAATAAATTAGGTATTGTTGGGATGTATCTCAAAATAATAAGATCTATCTATGACAAACCCACAGCCAATATCATACTGAATGGGCAAAAACTGGAAGCATTCTCTTTGAAAACTGGCACACGACAGGGATGCTCTCTCTCACCACTCCTATTCAACATATTGTTGGAAGTTCTGGCCAGGGCAATTAGGCAGGAGAAGGAAATAAAGGGTATTCATTTAGGAAAAAAGGAAGCCAAATTGTCCCTGTCTGCAGATGACATGATTGTATATCTAGAAAACCCTATAATGTCAGCCCAAAATCTCCTTAAGCTGATAAGCAACTTCAGCAAAGTCTCAGGATACAAAATCAATGTGCAAAAATCACAAGCATTCTTATACACCAATAACAGACAAACAGAGAGCCAAATCATGAGTGAACTCCCATTCACAACTGCTTCAAAGAGAATAAAATACCTAGGAATCCAACTTACAAGGGATGTGAAGGACCTCTTCAAGGAGAACTACAAACCACTGCTCAATGAAATAAAAGAGGAAATAAAGAAATGGAAGAACATTCCATGCTCATGGGTAGGAAGACTCAATATCGTGAAAATGGCCATACTGCCCAAGGTAATTTAAAGATTCAATGCCCTCCCCATCAAGCTACCAATGACTTTCTTCACAGAATTGCAAAAACTACTTTAAAGTTCATATGGAACCAAAAAAGAGCCTACATCTCCAAGTCAATCCTAAGCCAAAAGAACAAAGCTAGAGGCATCATGCTATCTGACTTCAAACTGCTACAAGGCTACAGTAACCAAAACAGCATGGTACTGGTACCAAAACAGAGATATAGATCAATAGAACAGAACAGAGCCCTCAGAAATAACGCCACATATCTATAACTACCTGATCTTTGACAAACCTGAGAAAAACAAGCAATGGGGAAAGGATTCCATATTTAATAAATGGTGCTGGGAAAACTGGCTAGCCATATGTAGAAAGCTGAAACTGGATCCCTTCCTTACACCTTATACAAAAATTAATTAAAGATGGATTAAAGTCTTAAATGTTAGATGTAAAACTATAAAAACCCTAGAAGAAAACCTAGGCATTACCATTCAGGACATAGTCATGGGCAAGGACTTCATGTCTAAAACACCAAAAGCAATGACAACAAAAGCCAAAATTGACAAATGGGATCTAGTTAAACTAACGAGCTTCTGCACAGCAAAAGAAACTACCATCAGAGTGAACAGGCAACCTACAGAATGGGAGAAAATTTTTGTAACCTACTCGTCTGACAAAGGGCTAATATCCAGAATCTACAATGAACTCAAATTTACAAGAAAAAAACAAACAAACCCATCAAAATGTGGGTGAGGGACATGAACAGACACTTCTCAAAAGAAGACATTTATGCAGCCAAAAAACACATGAAAAAATGCTCACCATCACTGACCATCAGAGAAATGCAAATCAAAACCACAATGAGATACCATCTCACACAGTTAGAATGGCAATTACTAAAAAATCAGGAAACAACAGGTGCTGGAGAGGATGTAGAGAAATTGGAACACTTTTACACTGTTGGTGGGACTGTAAACCAGTTCAACCACTGTGGAAGTCAGTGTGGCGATTCCTCAGGGATCTAGAACTTGAAATATCATTTGACCCAGCCATCCCATTACTGGGTATATACCCAAAGGACTATAAATCATGCTGCTATAAAGACACATGAACACATATGTTTATTGCGGCACTATTCACAATAGCAAAGACTTGGAACCAACCCAAATGTCCAACACTGATAGACTGGATTAAGAAAATGTGGCACATATATACCATGGAATACTATGCAGCCATATAAAAATTATGAGTTCATGTCCTTTGTAGGGACATGGATGAAATTGGAAATCATTATTCTCAGTAAAGTATCACAAGGACAAAAAACCAAACATTGCATATTCTCACTCATAGGTGGGAATTGAACAGTGAGAACACATGGACATAGAAAGGGGAACATCACACTCTGGGGAGTGTTGTGGGGTGGACGGAGGAGGGAGGGATAGCATTAGGAGATATACCTACTGCTAAATGATGAGTTAATGGGTGCATCACACCAGCATGGCACATGTATACATATGTAACTAACCTGCACATTGTGCACATGTACCCTAAAACTTAAAGTATAATAATACTAATAAATAAATAAATAAATAAACATAATATTTTCAGTAAAAAAAAAAAAAAAGAGAATTTAAGCAAAAAATTCTCAACGCCTAGGAGTACTAGGCCTAGAGATAGGACACAATCTCTTCATTTTTTAGTGTGACATCTTTAACTTCTAGCTTGATGTGTATATGAGAGTGACAATCTCATGTGTTTTCTGGCTCACCGTATGACACATTCTACAACATTGGAAAGCTTTATGCAACATACATAAGAGTAGCAATCCACTCTGAGGCATACATGCTCATAGTGACTCACAATCTTATATATTGCTTTAAACCCAGCTATGAGTCAACATCTCCCTTATAGGCTGGGTTGAGATGGGAGACTCATTATTATGCCTGTGATCTGTGTCCAGAAATAAGTCACCATCTCATCTGTAGCAAGATCCACATATGAAAGTCAAAATTCCATCTTTGTACCTTATTTACTTGTTAGATTCAGGAATTCAACAGTGGCTTTTGTAAATGTGGGATGATGACAACATTTGTTCTCATCTGCATATGTAATCAAGAATCACAATCTTAATCTTTTGCTGGACCCTGTTATAAAACTCTGTGTACCACCCAGTAAGTTTATAGAATCTGAGTTAGAGTTGTAACATTCTCTAAGTTTTGTACAAATATACAACTCATAACATTACCTATTGCCATATACATAGCGACGAGAGGCAAAATATGAACTATTGGTGTAATCACAATTTAAATTTGATCATCATCCCTCTGAATAGAAGCAATGTAAATTTAATAATCCAATTTGTAGGAAAAAACTTGGCAAGAGGGTAGCACAACTTAGGTGTTCTGCCAAGCAATATGTCACAATGCCCTCTAAGCAGGATGTAGAAATGAAGGTTACATTAACTGGGCTGCTGGAACCAGCAATATAACACAATCCCAAATTTGGAAGAAAAATAGACAAATGATGAGAGCAAACACACCTACAACATGGGCCCAAGGTATGTTAAAATACTTTCTGTTGCTATGTCACAGGCAGGAGACTTACATCATCAGGGTTGGGGGCCCAAATATATGCCATAATTCTCTCTTTATGAATGACCCAGGCAGCAGAGAAGCATCATCTGTGTGCTCAGCCCAGTAATATGTCACAATTCCTCTTCTTAGGGAAAAGTTCAGGAAAAAATGAAGAGTTATATTATCTAAGTATTGGACTTAGAAATAGTTCACATTAACCCATTATAAAGTCTCTGGTGGAAAAACAGGGTCACATCACTTAGGACATGAGCTCAGATATATGGCCAAATATCCCAAGTAGGCAGGGCTCAAACAGAACAGAAGACTCATATCACATATCAGGTAGTTGCTTCCCTAGATACATGACACAATCTTACATGTTAGGTGAAAACAGGCAAAAGAGCCACATCACCTTGATGCTGGATCCTGAGCTATGTCACAAGGCTCCCTTAGGACAGGACCCAAGCAAGAGACAGCAAACTGGTGCAGTTTTTGCCCTTATGTTTCAATGCTCTATGTGGGCAGGACCCAAGCAGGGAGTCATATCACCTAAGTGATAGGCCCAGAGATATGTCACAATGTCCCCCTGAAGCATGGCCCTGGTGAAAGTGTAGCATTACATTTGTACTTAGCCTAGCAACATGTCACTATACAGGTAAACATGACCCAAGTAGGAGAGCAAAATCACCTAGGTGAAGACCCAGAGATTTGTCATAATGCCCTTTTTAGGACATGGCCCTCACAAAAGAGTACCATCAGCTTTGTTTCTAGCCCAGCCATATGTCACTATCCCCCACAATGCACAGGGCCCATTAAAATGAGGAGACTTACATCACGTAAGTTGTTGACCTAGTGATATGTCACAGTGATTTCTGTAGGCAGGGCTCAGGCAAAAACATAACATGACTAGGGTGCTGAATCTACTGATATGTTATGATTCTCACTGACAGCAAGGCCCAGGCAGGAGAATTACCTCACCTAGAGGTTGGCCTAGGTACATATCACAATAACATATGTGGGATGAAACCAGTCTGGAGAGTCAAATCACAGAGGTGCTTGGCAAATATTTATGTCACAGCCACACTGGCAGAAAATTTCCTGGATAAGATTTACAATACCGCACATATCTTGTTTTCAGTAGTGACATCTGGCTTCATATATATGAGATGGTGACGGTCTTTACTATCAGCTGGATGTGTGTATGAGACTCAGAATTTTATCTTTCTTCTGTGTTCTGTCATTAAACTCTCTGCACAAGCCAAAGGCTTTATAAAATTTCTGAGGCCATTATAATCTCAGACCTTTTTTTTTTTAGCTGAGAGTATTAATCACTTATATTTCTAAAGCCCATAACGAGAGTCAAAAATTACTCCTATTTGTGAGGTATGAGTCATTATTATGCCTATGAGTTGTGCCTAGTTATATGTCAGTTTTCTCTGTGGTAATGAAACAGGTGTGATAGCCAAGACACCTACATGCTGAATCAGGAATTTTCAAATATTCTCCTTGTAGGCAATTTCCGGGAAGAAAAGTTGCTTGAAAGGATGAGGAAAGAGAGTCATGTCATTTGCATGCAGTGCTTAAAAATGCTACAACCTCCAAGGCGGTGGTTGCAGTGAGCTGAGATTGCACCACTGCACTCCAACCTAGGTGACAAAAAGAAAAAAGAAAAAGGAAAAATATTGCTACAATCCCCAATGGAAGCAGGGTCCAGGCAGAGGAGGAGAGACAGGTAACCTAGATGATGGATTCAGAGACATATTACAATACTTTCTGAGGATATTGTTAAGACAGGTGAGTCAAATCACCGTGGTGACCAGCTGAAGTATATGTGTGAATCTCACCTGTGGACTACACCTAGGCAGGATTATGAAATCACTCAGAAGCTGGGCAAATGTATATGTCACAATCACACTAGTGAAATGCTTCAGGATTGGGAGTCACCATCTTGCATATGACCTGTCTCCGGATTTAAGAGTCATCATTAGTCCTCTTATCTCATCTTAAGTACATGGCACAATATCACCTGTGGGTGGCAAGCAAGTGGGAAGGTCACCACACCTGGGTGGGTGCTGGTCCAGTGAGATGTCACAATCCATCTGTGGGCAGGACCCTGGAAGAAGAATCATATCATCTGGATGCTGGTTTTAGTGATATATCAAAATTCCACCTGTTGGCAAGGATTAAGAAAGAGAGGAGGCTCATGTAACCTAGGCAATTGGAATAGATACACATCACAATGGCTGCTATGTGCAAAACCAAGGTGTGAAAGTGACCACGCCTTGGTGCTGGACTTATCAATATGTCACAGTCTCCCCTGTGATCAGGTCGAGATAAGATAGAAGAAACATGACTTAGGTGCTGAGCAAAGTGATATGTTACAAAGCTTCTTGTTGGCAGAACCCAAAAGGGAGAGTCACATCACCTGGGTGCAGAACCCAGTTATGTGTTCAATGCACCATAAGTGCAGGGTGAAGGCAGTAGAAGAGAGTCACATCACTTACTTGATTGATCTAGATATAAGCCAAAATGCTCTTTTTAGGCAGCACTCAGGCAAAGAATTCACATCACCTGGATGCTGGTCCCAGTGATACATAAATGTGCCAGCTGAGTGTTTATCCAAGAGTCACAATAGCAATGGCTTGCTGTCCCTGTGGATATATCACCTAGGTTTTATACTCAATAGTAGTCACATTGAGTATAAATCCTGACTCACTCAGGATTTATATCATATGCCTGAGTGTCATAGTCCTCTGTGAACTTTATAAAATTAGTAGACCCATTGCTTTACTTATGGACATACGACCAGTTTTGAGAGTCCAAATGTCTCTTCTTTATGGGTCCAGGTATGATAGCTATATTTGTACATGTGAGCTGAACTCATGTATATGTCACTATTTCTCCTGTGGGCAGAACTAAGGAAGAAGAGTCTCATCACCAGGATTTTGAGCTCAGAATACATTATAATCTCTTTTGCAGACAGTGCCAAGTCAGAAGAGTTATATCATCTGGATACAGCATTAAGGTGCTAGCCTCAGCAATATTTAATAATGCCCTCTTTTTTCAGACTCCAGAAAAAAAGAGGAGAGTTGCATTATTTAAGTTTTGCATTCAGCACTATGTACATATTTCTTTAGTGCACAGGACCTAGGCAGAAAAGAGAAGTCACATTTCCTAGGTGCCACATTAAAAGATGTCACAATGTTCCCTGGGAGCAAAGCACAGCTAAAACAGACAAATCACCTAGCAGATAGGCTCAGAGACATGTGACAATATTTCTTGTTTGCAGTACCCAGGCAGAAGAGTGTTATAATGCACACATGGGAAACAATTTAAACAAAAGTTCTAACAATGGGCTACTAAGCCCAGTGATATGACACAATCTCATTGACACAATAAGTCATTGGGGCTCTTATACATGGATCTTGCCCATTGTTCAGATTGTGACTCCTCTACTTTGGCCTAAGTCATAGACAGGATTGATTCACATACATGAAACCAGGACTTGTGTGGGTTGTGAAAATTATTTCTGAACCTTTCTTAGCATGTGATTGGGGCAGGTAACTTTGCCCAGCACATAAATAATCTGACTCTCTTTTCTAGGCTCAGACCACAATGAAATTGTGCCATATGTGGAACAGGCACCTAAGCAATATATAACATGTTCCTTGAGTCTGCCTAAAAAGGGTACTTTTATATATTACTGGTACCATCACCAAGGTGATGTAAATTATCTGCCTGAAGCCTGACTACAAAGAAAATTGTGTCCTATATCTAGGTCCATCACATAAGTGATGTGACTCCTTTGTACTGCCTTGGCCCTTCAGTTACAGTGAATTGTGACACTTAACTGGGCACTTCATCCAGGTGTTGAGATACTCTTTTTTGCATTCTTCTAGCAGGAAGCATTGTAACATATCACTCAGCTCAGAACCTAAGGTGATATTTCTTCACTTTTGCCTGTGCCCTCACCACAGGCCGATTGTGACATATTGCTGAACCAACGGGCCAATGTGAGGTCACTCTCCAGCCTTGGTACTGCACATAAGGGCCATTGTGACATATACCTAGGTCAATTGCCTAGGTTAACTGAGTCTCCCCTCTTTCCAAAGTCATGTTCACAATGGGGCTTTGATGTCACTCAAACCAGCAGCCAGGTGATGTGACTTTTCTGCCAAGGTTCTGCCCACAGGGTGGATTGTGATATCTCAATGGAGCCACACCCATGTAGGTGATGTGACTTTCTTGCATTCTCTCTGACCAGAGGTGATATTGTGCCATATACCTGAGACCATAACAAAAGCCTAATAACAGCTAATACGCCTGGAGCCAAGACATGTGCAGTATGGTGACTCTTAAACTTTTCCACAGGTGTAATTGTGACATGTACCTTTGCCCAGCTCCTGAGAGATTTAATAATTCTGCCTAGGTATCACCCACAAATGAGATCTTGACAAACACCTGGGTCAAGCACCTTGGTGATTTGACTCTTGCTATCTTAACAATGTCCTCAGGGGATTTTGTAACATATTTCTGGACACATCACCTAGGTTACATGGCTCCCCTCTCCTGCCTGTACCCAGCTCGCTTTGGTAATTGTAGCATTTCTAAACACTATATCCAAATGATATGACAATTTTGTCTGTGTCCTGCCAATAGGAGACATTGTGACATATTTTGGGGCTCAACATTTAGGTGATATGACTCTCCTCTTCTGCCTGGACACTGCCCGCAAATAACATTGTGCCACAGAGCTGTATCTAGCACACAAGTTATGTGACATTTCTGACACGACCCTGCCTCCAAAGAGAATATTGGAATATGTTTGGTCCAGAATTTAGGCGATATGACTATTCAGCCTGCTTTATAACCACAGAGAATGTTGTAACTGATACCTAGGCATGGCTCTCAGAAATGATAATGACTCTTACATGTGTACTCAGACAATAGAGGATATTTTGACTATTATAACTACATTTAGGGACATGTGTGATATCCCATATCACCTTCTTCTACAAAGGTCACAAAATATTACAACACTCACACATATTTTACAGTCTTTGGGTTATACATGCAGAATCAAAGAAGGGCTCAGCATACAGGTGAAATTGTGAGTCTTGTATGCACACCCAGCTGATAGAAAGAAAGAACTGAATGAAAGGACTGGACATGGATGAAATTGTGACATATACCTAAAAAAGCATCTAGGTGTTATGACTGTCTATTTCCGCCTGAGCACTGCCTACTTGTGTTATTGGGTCATATCTTTGACCCCATGGCCTAAGTGATGTGAGTTTCTTATTCTGTCTAAGCTTTTACAATGGGAAGATTGTGACATGCTGATGAGTCCAGTACTTAGGAAACGTGACTCTCATCATGTTGCCAAACAATGCTCACAAACAGGAATTTTGCTGTAGTTCAGGTCCCCCCACCTGGATTATGTTACACTTATGCATGGGCCATGCATAAAGAAGGAATTTCAGCATATTGCTGGGCCTAGCATGCTAATGATGTGACTCTCCTGCCTGTGCCAGAGCCACAGAAGCTATTTTTATATATCTTTGGCCCACTCCATATGTGTTTTGGGTCTCCTCACTTTGCTAGATTTCTTCCATGTGAGGTTGTGCCATATTGCTGGCTCCAGAGCCCAGTTAATGTGACCCTGTTTCCTATGACCCCCCTACACAAGGTATTGTATCATGTTTCTTGCCGTAGCACCTAAGTGATGTCAACCTTCTGTCTAGATTTTTGTCCACAAATTGTTATGACATATACATTTCTTCAGTTCAAAAGCATGACGATCATGCTTCTATTGGGATTCAGCCAATTGGATATATTTTGCCTTTCACCACTAGGTTTAGGTCAGTAGGTAAAGTCCTTCATTGCTTAGTTGAACAAGCTTACAGAATTTTACAACACTAACTTATATTACAAAACCTTCTTGGGTGGTACAGACAATTTCATAAGAGGGTCCAGAAAAATATTAGTATTGTGACTCTCCACAACACATTCAGGTGAAAGTAAAAGTTATTACCGGCCGGGCGCGGTGGCTCACGCCAGTAATCCCAGCACTTTGGGAGGCCGAGGCGGGCGGATCACGAGGTCAGGAGATCGAGACCATCCTGGCTAACACGGTGAAACCCCGTCTCTACTAAAAATACAAAAAATTAGCCGGGCGTGGTAGCGGGCGCCTGTAGTCCCAGCTACTCGGGAGGCTGAGGCAGGAGAATGGCGTGAACCCGGGAGGCGGAGCTTGCAGTGAGCCGAGATCCCGCCACTGCACTCCAGCCTGGGCGACAGAGCGAGACTCCGTCTCAAAAAAAAAAAAAAAAAAAAAAAAGTTATTACCAT